>NC_000003.12:60010000-60313030 GCF_000001405.40 Homo sapiens | reverse complement strand
TTTCTTCATCTGTAATCTGGGGGAAATCATATCAACCTGAATCAACTGGGTTATGGATGCACTCGGTCTCATGCGTGTCATTGTGAACACCAGTAAATACCAGCGCTCTTATTACCATCACAATTAGCACATTTTCTCTGTAGTGAATTGAGGTGATTCTTTGTGGAAGGTTTTGTTTTGTTATTTTTAAACATTTTCAAGAATTAGTTGTTCCTATTCAAATTGTTAGCAAAAAAATTGTGTGTGTGTATATACGTATGTATATACATAGTACCTACTTCAGGGAGGCGTTGTTAAAAATAAAGTAGGTCCTCCCTCAGATGCAGTGTTTTTTAATCATACTTCTCAAAGGTAGTTGATAGGCTGGCAGGAGCAGCTTAGATCTCCCCTAGGAACCTATTGGAAATGCAGAATCTCAGGTCCATACCAGAACTGTTAAATCAGAAGCTGCATTTCAACCTTTATTTGTTTTCACACTAAACTTTGCAAAAACACTTTCCTGGTAGAATGACCACTGGTTTTGGGTTAGTTCTAATGGAGTTCTTTAAAGGATTTTAACCACAGAATTCAGTAAGAAATACATTTTGTGGCTGGGTGAGGTGGCTCATGGCTAAGGTCCTGGCACTTTGGGGGGCCAAGGCAAGGAGGATCACTTGTGCTCAGGAGTTCGAGACCAGCCTAGGCAACATAGTGAGACCTTGTCTGTACAAAAAAATTTTTAAAAAAAATCAGCCAGGCATGATGGTGTATGCCTATAATTCTAGTTACTCAGGAGGCTAAGGCAGGAGGATTGCTTGAGCCCAGGTGTTTGAGGTTATAGTGAGCTATGACCATGCCACTGCACTCCAGCCTGGGCTACCCCCATCTTAAAAAAAAGATTTTTTTATCCCATTAGTACAGGAGAGCATCTATACTCCTACACATATATAATTAAAGGTTTCACCAAACAGTGTTTACCCTTGCTGTATGCTAAGTACTCAGATTTTTTTAAAAATTGTATTTCAGTTTAAAACATGCTGGTCACGGCCCACTAAATTGATTTTATAATTCAGTTTATAAAGAACTATTATACTGTATTACCTTAGGCAAGTCGTTTTTTTCTTCCTTAGGTCTTGATTTTCTCAACTGTAAAAATGTGTGGGTTGGACTAATTGATTTCAAATATCTGTTAGCTTGAACAGCCCTGAGATGCTCTATGAAATGTGAAAGTCCACCCCGACCATGTTTAAGAAAAGGGCATGTTTATTGGTTGTTGTATGTGTCATTTTATTGAGAGGGCCTGAAGGAGCCCATACAAATGATAGCTCACAAACCACAGCCTTTGCATAATAAAAGCTTATAGCTCAGAATGGTAGACAACACAGAGTGAGCAATTATGCATTGGTCCTAATGTGTCATTATTTTAGACAAACAAAATACAACTGTAAGCTTTTATAAATGTGCGTACTTTGTTAGTGTATAACTAAAATATAATGAGCTAGATTCTTTGCCTGCCTAATATACACTCAGAATATTAAGCAGTCTTGTGTTTGGAAAAACACAGTAGCCATATAGTGAAGAAACCAGACAACATCTTGACCTGTGATCAGAATTCACATCACCATTCATGAGCAAAGAGATATGTGTGTGTCTCCTGATGCAGTACCCTGAGAAGCATAACCAATATGGTACTTGGGTCCAGAATATACAACCTGAATCTAAACTCAAGGACACAGCAGAGAACCCCCAAATGAGGAATAGTTCTATTTAAACAAAATGAAACACACACACACACACACACGTTGGGGTAGAGGGGTTTGGGGCATGGAGGTGTACTGTTAAAAAAGAAAACAGAAAGACAAAGTAATGTTTGAGGTTAAAGGAGACTTAAGAGTTAGGAACACTAAATAAGATCCTATACTGGATTTTATATTAAAGAGGGGAAGATGCCAAAAGGGATGACGTTGGGTTAATTGACAAAATTGAGAAACAGAAGACAGTGGACTGGATATAATATTGTACCAATGCTCCATTTACTGAAATTAGTAACTGTACTGGGGTGGAAAAGAATATCTTTAGTTTTAGTTTTAAGAAGTATGCGCTAAATGCAATTTATTTTCAAAGGAAGCAGGAAAAAATAGTGTGTATACAGAGAGAAAGCAAGCAAGAAAGTGCACAAATGATAGGCAGATGGGGAAAAATATAATAACCAGTGAATCTGGGGCATACACAGTTGTCCCCTGTACTCATCTAATTCTTGGACCATGTAGATAAGTTTGAAATAAATTTCAAAATAATTTCAATTACAAATTTCATTTGTAAATGAGCCCTTTGTTTTCTTTCTTTCCTCTAATCTGTGTCCTTGTGTGTTTCAGGAATACGTAGAGTGCTTTTGTCTTGGGGGTTGTGCCTTTTAAGGCCAGGTTAGGTTGGACTGGAGGCTCCAGTTTTCCCCAGTAGCTGTTAGCTCTCTCAGAAGCCAACTGGAGAGGCTTGGACTGGTCACCTCCTGCACCTGTGCCTTTTTGGTCTGTTCCTCTTTTATCAGTACTGACCCCTAGGCCTAGGGTGGGGGAAATTTATCATTGATTGTCTGTCTCCTTTGCTTCTGTTGGTCTTTCTCACTTGGCCTTAGGCTTTTCTTGACCTCCACCCAATTCTTGTTCTACTTCTTGCCCCAGGTAACTAAACCCTTATTCTTTTCAGCACCAGTTTCTTTAAGAGAGCACCATTCCCTTTTGACCTTGAAGAACACCTAGCATCCCTTGAAAAACACCACAGAACAGAGAGGCAGATGTCAACAGATGTTTGGACATACTGGTGGGTCAAAAGCCTTCAAATAACAGGTCATGGGCTCTGTGGAGACCTGAAATCCATGAAATCCATTTTGGTTTTTCTTTCAGCTTTGACTTGCCTTTCCCACGGCAGAGAAATGTGGGAGAAGTAAATAAAGGTTGCCTTTGTTTACTTGCTTTCTTGCCTGCCTGCTCTGCCTGCATGACCTGATTCCAGACAGCAGGCAGGTGCTCAGTAATTGTTAATTACCCTGTGAAGACGTGTCCTTGTCCTCAAGGAGCTACAGTCTTATGAAATGAGACACTCGAATGTGAAGTGGACTGAAAGCACGTGTGATTAAGTATATTTTAAAAATTATAGTAAGTAATATGTAGTGAGAATCTAGGGAACCCAGAGACCATTGTGGCTGTGGGAGCGACTTGAGCTGATAGAGGAAGTTGGAGAGCTGCGAGGATGTATCCCCAGGATCTATATAAAAAGCCACCACATGGTTCTATATTGAAAAAAAAAGTTAAACAGGAAAGGAAGCAAGCAACTATGGTATAGGATCTCAGATGGTTTGCAGAAGAATCTGACCTCAGAGTCTGTTGGCTTACTGAGGAGAGGAAGCTCAAACCCTTGGATCTCAGGGTTTCACAAAAAGCCTCAATTTGGAGTTTATATATTATTTCCAGTAGAAGGAATGCACAGAAAATCTTTAATAGAAGGTAAAAAGTCCTCTGTCACACCACTTGAGTATTTCCTTGCTATGCTTTTGGCTTAAACAAAAAGTTTTGTCGTCATCTTGGGACTGTCATAATCATTCTGCAGTGTATTTTTTTTAGTGTTCAAAGTAGCCTATGTTAAAATGGACCATACTTTTTGGACCACTGGTTTGAGGTTTTTTTCTTTTAATATACCAAAGTGTCAGAAGTGGAAATGGGGGTCTCTTGTCCTCCCAGAGCCTCTAACCATCCCCACCCACCCTTGTAATAAGGTTTTTACACAGCACTTTATGTATTTGGTGAGGTGGATTTTCCCCTCTCCCAAACACCTCCCTCAACCCCCAAGATAAATGGTTCCAAACCTTCCGCTGCAAGCAGAGCTGGTGTTTAGTTTATTGGTAATTAATTGCTAGCACTTCCCTGACAGAACATAATGGAACTACAGAGCAATCACTTAGAAAGGGAAACAACTGTCAATTATCACTCTAATGAATCCTGTTTACCAGAGGTGACGGCACTAAGGCTCCAAGCAGCCTAGAAAGTGGATATCTTAAAAACTCCATTTTCGTACTGGGTGTGTGATGTGTGAGATAATCACTCTCTAGGCCAGATTTTAAAGTGGCCCCAGCTGTGGATAACAGTATATAATTTCAGAGCTATTCTCACAGTTAGTGATTAAATACTCTCTGTTTGTATTTGAATATGAGTAAATAGAAACAACCATTCCTCACATTAAAAGTTTTAAATAGTATACTTTTGGTGATCAGTTATAGAGATGATTATAGGAGTGATGTGATAGATGACATTTAGTGAATCATCGGTAACCCAGGTCCTATGCTGAACATTTCATATGCATTATCTCAATTCTTAAAACAATGTTGTGTTCAGACAGTTGGCAGAAAGGCAAATTCATGCTCTCATGCAAATATAAAATGAACACATCAAGATTTTGTTCAGCTCACTAATTGTTGGGGGGGGACCCAATGTAACGTTAAAGTCAGTCCAAAGAGCATTTGAGAGGCATATATATATATATATATATATATATATATATACACATACACCTATACCTATACCTATACGTGCAATTTGGTAGAGTGTTGGGTTAGATACAGAAAGGATGATGTCCTCCTGGTCTGTAACAGCCCATACTAATTATTCCCTCTCCTGAGAGTTGTCAGTTAACCCTGTAAACAGAAAGTCAGGCCCAATAGTGGGAACTCTACACTGAAGGAATGCAGTAAGCTCAATCGCCTCTTTCCAAGTTTGAGATGACTTTTCTGTAAGGCAAGTAATACTGTCATCCATATGTGACAAATGAAGAAACTGAGGCTTTGTGAGGTTAAGTAACTTGGCCAAGGTTATAGTAAAGGTGGAGCTGAGACTGACTGAAGTCTGACTCCTTATATGGGTGACTTGAGCTTAATAAATGCATGGATTTATCAAGTTCAACTCCCAAGATTGCTGCTGTGCAGCACGATTACTGTCCGTTGTTTTCCTCTTATCTGCGAAGTAGTGTTGCTGATAGTACTTACCTCCAAATGACATTATGAGGATTCAGTGAGTCAGCACATAAGGCACTGTGCACAGTGCTCACTGCATAGTGATCCCTTGGTAAATGTTGGCTACTGTCAGCATCATTAGCAACAATTATCACAGTACACGTGTGTGCCGAACCACATGTGTCTCAGAGCAGTGTCCTCACCTTCTCTACCTTGGCCATGGTTGCCTTGAGGGTCTGGGCACAGACAGCATCTGAGCTCCAGGGATCATCATAGTAGGGAAACAGCTCTCTCCCAGTGTTTGTCCAGGGTCAACACTGGCTTCAGCTGACCCCAGGAATAGACTGGTCTCTTAGTATTTGAGAAAATACCTCTTTTCCTGGGAACAAAACAACAATGCAATGTAGCTCATAAAATATTTGCCCTTGCTGTTTTATGACCTGTGAGACATCAAGGATATACAGATCCATGATATTTGTAGCAGGTGTCATTTTTTAAAACACACTCAAAGTAAATATCATTGTCAAACAACACACTGAAGATTTTATTTGATGGTAAAAACTCAAGCATGGCATTCAATCCTTCTTCCAGTTCATATTCCCCTGTATCAGTGAGAATGGATTTTAAAAGTTCAAGACTTGTGTGGATATTATCTCACTGTCTTCCTTCGGGCAGATGAAGTATTACAGACATTTCTTTGAATCTTGTCTATTGGAATTAGGGAGTGCTGAACTATAGAAATCAAAGGTCAAATGACAAGATGGTGTGTGGCAGGCGAATTTACTGACTTTTCTGTTAAGACTTCTCTGTAGATGTTAAGAAAGTTTGAAGTTTTTGAGGAGATGTTTTACTGGAGACAGAGTGCTGTACTGCCTCCTCCTCTGTGAGATGAGAGCCTTATTGCAGTCAGCGTGTCTGCATTTAGCTGCCCAGTTGTGTCCATAATTTTATGTTCTCAGTTTTGTTGTGTGGGGAAGAAAGAGATAGTCATGTCAAAAGGGGGCATGGTTTCTTAATGTGGAAGTCTAAAGAATACACAGAAATAACTACCTCTGCCTTCACAGGATTTCTGTCAGATTTTTGCCTAATTATAAAAGAAGTGCAGCATAGAGGTCTTATTACTGTGGCTAAGATGAAGGAAAACACTCTCACGATCAATCCTCCATGATTTTATTATTATTGATAATTCAAACGATATGACTGTACTCTTTGAGCACTGACGAGCACCAAGTGTATTTTTAAACATGCCAAGTGTGATTAGTACTCCTTCTACACATTCCCTTAAATTTGTAAAATCATGTAATGTGTTTGTTTTTTATTTTATATTTAGAATTATTGCCTTGTAAACTCTCTTGCCATACTGCAAGCAGTGCAAAGAGACCCATTTTAATTTTGCACGTGTATTGTCAAGAATCATTATGAAGATCTACAAGTAAGGGTTGAACAGTTGTTCCTGATGGAAATGACGCAGACAGAAAGAAAAAGGAATTGAGGAGCCTCTCAGTCTAAAAACAGGCATATAAGTGATATCTTAGTAATTCGTGTCAGAATGCCCCAAAATCTGTTTTACGTTTTCTTTGCTTCATGGAAAGGCTACAGACTGGGTTAAGTATTTTTGCAGAGATTTCTATTCCACATAGCCTTGACTCCTTCAAAGCAAATTTGTTTTCTCTTTTACCTTTAGTTTCCTCAAACAAATTGGGACTAAAGTCACCAGTGAAATAATGCGGGATGTATTGACTTAGGGGAGATATGTTTTTAATTTTAACTTCTTGGGAAGTTGAGTTGACGTAAATCCTCTTTACCATAGTCTGCTGAGTTTTGCGTACTCTAGTTCTAATCAAAAGTCAGACAAAGTCAAAAGAATCTGGAGTTAATAAAATTCTCCTATTTGTTTTCCTTCACAACAGTGATATGTCTTAGACTTTTACGCTTTAATACCCCTCATGAAGACATACCACAGTACTACATGTAGGCTAGCTTTAGAAAATCTTGGAATTATGGTTTAAATTGTATAGTCATTAACTGACAGAATTTGCTTTTCTAAAATACAACTTTTAAAATTAGTTGTTGTGACCTTTATAAACATTAAGAATTAAGGTAGAATGTAAGTGATGCAGTCTCATTAAATTTAATCAAGTTCAATAAAAATTCCAAATTCAAAAACCGTCTTCATAAAACTGTGCGTTATCACCAAACCATTAAATAGCACATCAGTTTAAAATTATTAAAAATTGCTAAGTATCCATTTAGCATGAGATACGTGTTATGACTGCAGACACCTCCAAAACAAATCGACAGTCTATTGCACTGCATTCTGAGAATGTAAAAGCACCATTACTTACTGTTAATGGTACTTCTCTAATGTATGTAAATACCTCATCTGTACCCAAGCTCTTGGCAGTTATTTCTTACTTCTTCCTAGACAGTTTAAAGATCTTAATTTATTAATATTCACAACAAGTAGAAAGATAAACACATTGTTTTGAAGCCCTTGATGGATGGAGATTGGAGATGCACAGTGTTTGGGTTGAATCAACAGCCGAGAGTAGATATTAACTTGTTGGCAGTAACTCATGGCCCTGCATGAAACAGAACCTGGAAGAGAGAAGAAGAATTTAAAATGCTGTTATTGAGAATCTCTGGAAGTATATTATTCCAAGGTACCTTAGATTTTAAAATTTGGCCTCACCCTACACCTATTTTATGATTTGTCCCCACTACATCAAACTCAGTGTATGCTCTTGCCATGGTAAGCATTTTTTATTCACTTTACTGGAAATGATTGACAAGGACTTCTTCAGGATACATTGGGAGAGCAGTGTTTCCTATTTATTATGTCCTTTCATCTCTGCCTGACCTAGAATATTCATGCTTCTGTCTTAACAGGTCCCATGTTATAAAAGTTTAAAAAAAAAGAACAAAAAGGAATATTCTGTGTTTTCTTGCAAACCCCAGCCCCCAATCCAAACAAAGTGAATGGCTTACAGACACGAGTGGTAGGATTTTCACCAATTTAGATATAAAATGTGACAACGGACAGAATCTACATTCAATGTCTGTATCCTTCTCAATTGCCACAGACTGGGTAGTAGGAAAGCAAAAGCAAATTTTTGTAGTAAAAATCTTCTTGGCATTTTATTTTTATAGTAGATTAGATTCAGAGATTTTAATAAAAACTTGTCTTTAACTTTGTTTGATAGAGATGTACAATCAGCTTAGCTTGGTTGCTTAATAAAGTTAGATACTGAGAATTGATGAAATTTTAAATCCAGCTTCTAATTTAGAGTTCCCAGAGTTAGCAAATAGGAGTACAGGGACCCAGCTGAATTTGAATTTCAGATAAATGTAAAAAACAGTTTAGAATAAGTATGTCCCATGCAATATATGGCACATATACTAAAACTGTTTTATTATTTATCTAAAGATTAACTGCTTATCCTATGTTTTATCTAAAAACTCTATTTTATGATGATAAAAGATAAGTGCTTTTTGTAAGCATGTAAACTCACACACTTGTCTCATCTGTAAAATAGGAGTAAATGTGGCCATGACCTCTAAGGTTGTTGGGAGGATTAAATTCATTGATACCAGTAAAGCTCATAGAGTGTTTCCTGGCATCTAGTAAGCAATGTGAAAGTATAAGCTTTTGTTCCTGAGGTGTGGTGGTCATTTGCTCCAATAAGCCAATACATTTGCTCCTTTTCTCCTGGTAGAGATCTGCTAAAAGTAAAGGAATCTTTCTGATGCAATTGGCAGCAATTGTTGATTTACTTGCCAAAATGTAGGCTAACCCAAGTGACCCCTTGACTGAAATACTTAAAAATGTAATGTGCTAGTGTGTTCACAGGCATTTAAAAGAGCCACAGAAATTGTAATGTTTCATTTTGCTTTTCAAAGGGATACTTAATAAATGTATTAGTGTGATATATCAGGCATGCTCTAGAACATCTGTGTGTCTACGTAAAGAAGGAGAGAAGGAATAAAGGAGACAAGCAAGAGCCAAGGTGCAGGTCACAATTAGTAGTCATCAAAATGAAAGCAAGCTGTGCAAGGGTACAAGAATTCCCATCTCATTGGAGGGAAATGCATCATGATGTTGTGGGTGTCTTAAATGTAAGAGGAACCAGTGTTCCTTACTATTAATCTGTAATCCTCTAAGTGCTGGGCACTCCTGTCTCCAGTCCCTCATCTGAGAGCTGTGTGTAGAAGTCAGAGTGGGTTGGGTTATAATGCAATAACAAACAATATGAAAATCACAGTGGCTTAACCAACTGGGAGTATTTCTCATCCTTGCAAAGCCTGCGGAGGTTCTAGGTGATGCTCCAGGACAGCTCACCTCCAAGGGGTGGCTCAGCACGATTGTCTACTGCTGTCTTATGGCACCTTTATCTCAAGGCTTCAGGGATGAGAAGCATAGAAAATCACATATGGGCTGTGAAGCGGCACACATCAACACTGATCACAGCCTGTGGGACAGAACTGGTCATGTGGCCCTGTCCAGCTGCACTGAAGGCTCTGGAAATGGTCTTCCATGGGTCCAGCAACGGGAGAGGGCTCAGATTCATTAGTGAATGCTGCTTTGCCATACTGGTAAATGTTGCTGATAGACTGTGTTACTCTCCTCCACAAAGTCCATGAGCAACTTCAAAATTCTTTACTGTGTCACAGGCAGCATTTGGCAATCAAACTGGCAAGAGAGCTGAAACCCATTAGCCTTATCTGAGAACGAAAACACATTAGCCGTCCTGCAGTCTTCTTCTAAACCAGTGAAAATGCCTATGACAATAGGAATTTGGATGTCATGCTTAGTGAATTGTATTTTAGAGGTGAAAAGAAATAGTTTCTTCTGATAGCCTCTGTCACAGGCTTGCATATCAATTTGAATTCACCATTACTTCAGGGTGTGTTTGATGTGGGAGAAAGTGGTTTCCAGGTTTGGCAGTTGTCAGTCTCGATGACAATATTTTTAAAATGTACCTCCAATTTGTCTGAAATTTACATCCTTCCTAGCTTTATTCCCATGCAACAAAAATATTAAAGGTTTTTCATAACTGTGACGAACAGGGGAGAAACTTATTAACAAAGCTTTCAATAAAAGTTGAAAATTGATTTTGATCCTGGTGTAAGGCTGATGGCATCAAAGCTTTTTACAGCTCAAGGCAGTCTTGTCTAAGATACCTTAAAGTGATGCTTGATGAGAAATTTAGATCAGCCCCCATTTGAGCCTAGCCATTTCAGTCCAGTTTTCAATTAGATGGAATTTTCTGGTGAGTGACACTTTCTACCAATTAACTTTGATAAAGGAGCTCAGCCTCAGAATATTCTCAAATCAGGTATATGTGTTAGACGTCAGTGAAATATGATTGTTGGAAGACTGGGGAATACGAAAGACAACCTTTGAAATGGGAAGTCACATTTCAAAGTTCTGCAAAGTAGTTGCTTATACTAATCAACCATATTTGTTTTTTCTTTTAAATAGTTATTTAGTTCCAAGCAATGTCCTAGGCACTGTGATGATCACTAAATTGCATTAGAGGCATTTTCTAAAAATAAAAAGTGAGATGTGGAGGAAGAAAAGAAATATGGTAAAACATAGAATCAAGTATTTAGTTGTCTTTTTCGGGATAAATGTCAGAGGCCCTAAGATAGGAGAAATTATGCAGGGTTGGAGTAGGCCTGTTGTAGGAGGTAAAAGATCTGTGAATATTCTGTTGATTAAATATGCCAGGAGGAGAGAAAGGGAGAAGGGCATCCCACACTGAAGATATAAACATTTAGTCAGAAGCTGCATTTCTTGCCTTACCAATAAAAACCAAGCTTTCCTTGAACTCTTAGAGATAAAAATTTAAAAAAAGAATGACCAATATCTTCAAAAAGGAAAACATAAAAACAGCATCATTTAATTCCCACAGCATATTGATTCAAAGTGGCCTTCAGTTAAATTTCTAATTGGAACCTCCTGATACTTCTTTTTAAAAAGCAATTAAAGTAGAGGCAAAAATATTAGTCTGACATTGAATCATAACCACTTTAAATATATTTAGTCAATATGGGTATTTAATCATCTCCCGAGAGCAAACTTTTTTTTCCTTTTATAAGGTTACTCTTACAGTTTTTAATTGACAGGATGTATATTTAGCATTTAATGTGTGTTTTTAAAATTTCTGAGGAAATGTATGAGTGCATTTTTATTGTTTGAACTTCAGTCCTTACAGAAAAATAAGAGTAATCTGTGCTTCTACACCCTGCTCCCTACTCTGTAGTCCTTCTCCTCTAACTAGAAGTAATATTAGTAACTGTTAAAATTAGGTGTAAAATTTTCAATGTTTATCCTAATCACTTATTTTGCTAAAACCCGTTAAAGAGTATCAGAACAATTTTTAGATTCTAAGTCATGTTATGAGCTTGCTGTTGCAAAGGTGAACCAACACCAGGGAAACTGGGGGGTATGTCAAAAGGAACTGGAGAAGGGTAGGAGAAGGTTTTGGGAGCTAGAACTAGCCATGAAATGGTCCTAGTAGATCTGGGTCAGAATTGATCAACTAGGCAGTTTCTAGAACAGAGTTTATGTGTATGGGTTGAGCACATGAGGCTGAATGAGTTTGTGATAAAGAAGTTTAGGTTTAGTCAGTAATTATAGCTTGGCGAGATACAGTGTACTTGTTTCATGAGTCATAATGCAGATTTGCAAGTTATGGCTGATGTTTTCATTCTTTAGTAATACGTACATAAGGCTATGGTGAAACACACTATCTCTAGTTTATATGTCCAGCTTTTCCCTTGACCTTATGAAGCAATGCCAATATGACATGTCACATAATTATTTTCCTATTATGAAATATTATTTACTTGTTGACTATAAAGGTATTAAAGTGTTTTAAAATCATACTTTCAGGTCAAAATTTTATTTTAGGATAAATAAGAGAAAACCGTTTCAGTTTTTTAAATAAATGAACAGATAAGTCTCCTGAGAAACGGGAAGCCCAAATGGGAACTCTAGGGATCCGGGGGAATCTAGAATGGACTCGGGAGAGATGCTTTGGGTGCTTGAAAGATGATCTAGCTGCTTTTTAGAGATGAGTTTGGAAGCAGGGAAACTTGGGAGATGACTATTACAGTACAGGTAAAAGAGAATGGGGGCTGGATCTAGGGCTGATGGAGTGAAGCAGATGGATCTGAGAGCTATCTGGAAGGAGAACATCAGGACTGTGATATTCTTATTTTGACTGGTGGGGAATAGGGGGAGTCAGAGGTATCCAAAATGCCTCCCATATTTCTAGTTTGTGCACATGGATCAATAGTTGCTGGATCAATGCTGAAACACAGGACAAACTGGAAACAACTGGGTTTTGTTGGAGCAAGTGGGAAGTAGGCAGGGAGTTTATCATCGGAGTGCAATAACATGCCCTTTATTTATATCTTGACTGAAAATTGACAAAGCACCATCCCATTTCCTATCTCATCTTATACGACCACAACTGTGGAAGGGCACCTCGGTGATATCATCCCCATCTTACAGGAAAAAACAAAACAAAACAAAATATGGGGCTGCCTGAATATTTAAGTGATATTTAGAGATGCAAGGCTAGTAGCTGACCATCTTTCCATTAGAACTTGAGTCTTTTGACTCTAATCCTCCCCACTTTGTAACCCTTCCTTTTTTCTTCTCAAGTAAAGCTGTGAATATTCTCTTACTATCCCTCAGTTACACTTTTTTTGGTCTTAATTTCTCTTCTTTGATAGGATCTGTTGTGATAACAGTCAAGAGAAAGATTTTAGTTTTTTTGAAAAAGTAAAACAAGGGGACTTTCACTTCTAGGAAAAAGGTGTACTTTTTCCTCTTCCTCTCATTTAGGACAAGTAAAAAATCCTGAATATTGTATATAAGACAAAACTAAAAATATTCTGAGAGGTGGAGAGAAGTCAGATCAGCTAGAGACCTGGAGACACAAGAAACAATATGGTAGTGAATTCCCTAGACGTTGTTTTTGCCTTAGCTATCCCAGCCCTGGAACTAAAGAAGCTAGTAACCCTTAGCTGACAGAGGGCACAGACAAAAGGAAAGGTTACAGCGAAAGCCTGCTCACTGTAGGTGAAGGACTGGGAAAGGGGCAGTCTAGCAATATAGAGAAAATTTTTAGATAATATCTGTACTACTCCAGCTAAACACCACACATACACACATTGAAAAACGTGTGGCCTACCTACTCCTACCTCCAACAGCAAAGGCCAAGTGGGAGCCAAAACTACTATCGTCACTGGGATGTAATGAGCCACTCCAGCCTCCTTGTCAGGTTGGTATTACAGAAAGCCAAGTAGAGAGCCAGAATTCTCATATCCAGTGGGTGGTAACGAGTCCACATGGGGAGCCTGGATTTTCACCTCTACCAACAGTAGAGAAGTACCTTTTCCTCCACTCAGGGGTGATACCAGAAGAGGCATTATAGACAATTAGGACTTTCTCCCCTGCCCAGTAGTAATAAAGCCAATGTTTCCCAGGCAGGCAAAAGTGGCATCATATTTTTTCCATACTGAAAGAAAATAACTGTCAACTTAGAATTCTATGTCTAGTGAAAATGTCTTTCAAATATGAAAGGGAAATCAAGACACTCTCAGATGAAGGAAGAATATTCATTTATTTTTTAATTTTTGAAGTTGTATTGCCCCAAATGAAAATAGTAGGAAAAACCCTGCAGACCAACATCCTTCATAGACAGAGATGTCAAAATTTCTTAACAAAATGTTAGCAAATTGAATTCAGCAATGTATAAAGAGAAGTATACATCATGATCAAGTAGGGTTTATTTGAAAATCAGCAATGGAATCTACCGCATGTCAACCGTAAATAATGAGGTTCAAAGAATACGATTAAATGTGGAGTTTATCCTAGTGCAGAGCTTGAGGATCGTCACGGCTGACTCTACACAAATGGATCAGCAGCCCAATTTGGTGCTGTTGAGGTTTCATTTACATAGGCAGGGACAGAGAAGTTCCAGCAGGATTACAACATTTTCCATGCAAGACCAGTGCACATGCCACAGTAATTTGATTGGTTATGGATTGCTACATTCAAAGGAAGATTACTTTATTACTCTGTGAGAAAGGGTAATGATCTGAGGGGGTCCTGTCCCTGGCACTGCTTGGTCTTCTTAATTATTTACAAGAAAAAAGCCAGAAGTTGCAGCTGCATGCCACTTGACTCAGGCTGCAGAGCCACCTCTCAAGGTTCAGAATGATTTAAAGCTCTAACAGCTTTAAGTTGACTTATTTTAAGTTTAAATTATCTAATTTCATACACATTAGCAGGCTAAGAAAGAAAAATGACATGATCATATCAATTCCCACAGAAAAAGCATGTGGTGAAATTTAATACCACTTTGTGATAAAAACAGAACACTATAAAAGGAAGAGAATGTTTTCAAATTGATAAAGAATATCTGCAAAAAAGTAACATACTTAACATTGAAAGACTGAATGCTTTTCTTTACGGTTGGGAAAAAGTCAAAGATGGTGACTCTCACCGCTACTATTCAACACAGTGTTGGAAGATCGAATACTTTTGTGATATTTTGATATAATAAACATATTTGGCCTCTGCCCCTGGTTCCGGGTGCACAATTCCTAAAACTTGTGAAATCTCTGGAGATAAGAGTGTTTTTTAATGCTAATATGATAACTGGTGGCTGGGGCCCCTAGATAGCCTCAGAATGGGGACTGGTTGCTAGGAGAACCAACTATGTGGTATAAGCATCAGAACTTTGAGCCTTATCTCCTGACTCTAGGGAGGGGAGAGGGTCTGAAGGTCTGGATGATCATCAGTAGCCAATGCTGTAATCAATCATGCATAAGAAATGAAGCTTCATAAACACCTGAAAAGGACAGGATTTGGAGACCTTCCAGCTTACAGAACGTGTGATGATGCCTGGAGGGTGGTGCTCGTAGAGAGGGCACCTTCCCAGAGAGGGAAGGTCTACACTCCTTCCCACATACCTTGTCCTCTCCATCTCTTCCATCTGGTTGTATATCTGCATAAGTAAAGCATTTCCCTGAGTCCTGTGAGCCACTCTACCAAATTTCTTGAACATGAAGAGGAGGTTGTAGGAATCCTGATTTATAGCTGGCCAGTCAGAACCACACTTCACAGCCTGGGGTACACAACTGACATCCAAAGTGGGAGCTGTCTTGTGGGACTGAACCCCTAACCTGTTGGATCTGACAATATCTCTGGGTAGATAATGTGTGAACTGAATTGAATTCTAGGATACCCAGTTAGCGTCTGTTGGAGAATCTGGTGTGAGAAGTGTTGAGTAGTGTGTGAGAGTAGGAAAACACTTTAGTATTTTATGCCCCCTACGCAAGTTCTGATACTTTTAATACTTTCATTATTGATCTTGCCAGCACAGTGAGCCAAGGAAAGGAAATAAAAGACATACAGATTAGAAAGGAAGCAGTAAAACTAGCCTTTTTTTTGCAGGTGACTTCCTTGTAAGTCATACCTAGAAAAGTCTAAGGAATCTTTTTAAAAAATCCTAGAAATAATAGATGAGTTCAGAAAGGCCCCAGGATATTAGACCAGCATATAGAAACCAACTATGTTTATTTATATTAGCAATCAACAGATAGATACCAAATAAAAAATACAGCACCTTTTACACACACACAAAAATAAATACATGAAAATCTATCAAAAAATGTATAGAATTTGTATGGTGAAAACTACAGAATGCTGATGAGAGAAAGCAAAGATGATCTCAATAAATGGAGAGACATATTCTCACAGGTTAGAAGATTCATCATAGTAAATATGTCAGTTCTCCCAAGTTGATACAGAGTTTTAATATAATTCTTATGAAAATATCAGCAACAATTTTTAGTAGATATAGACAAGATTATCCTGAAATTCATATGTAAAGGCACAGGAACTAGAATAGCTAAAACAGATTTGAAAAAGAATAAGGTGGTAGGAATTAGTCTATCATCCAGTTTCAAGACTTACATACTTGTAATATTTATATGACCATGTGTCATTGACAGAAGTATAGACACATAGATAAATGCAACAGAATAGAGAACCCAGAAACAGACCTACACAAATATGCCCACTGGTCTTTTTTTTTTTTTTTTTGCAAAAATAAAAAAGCAATTCAGTTAGAGAAAGAATAGACTTTTCAACAAATTGTACAGTTAGGAAAAAAAATTAACCTATACCTCACACCTTGCACAAAATTCATTCAAAATGTCTCATGAACATTAATGTAACACTTTTAGAAAATAAAACTTTTAGAAACTAGCAGAGGAAAAAGTCATTGGGATCTATGTCTAGGCAAAGGGTTCTTGGACTTGGCATCAAATGCATGAGCCATAAAAGGAAAAATTGATTAGTTTAACTTCAAAATTTAAAAAATTTCTCTCTGAAAGACTCTGCTAAGAGGCTAAAAAGACAAGCTGCAGACTGGGAGTAAATATTTGAAAACCACATATCCAAAACAGGGCTATTATCTAACATTTATAATGAACTCGCAAAACTCAACAACAACAAAAAAGACAAACCATTTGGAAAATGGGCAAAAGACATGGACAGCCATTTAACTGATAAACACACAAAAAGATGTTCTACATCATTAACTCTAAGGAAAATGCTAAATAAAACCACGTTGAGATATCGCTGCACATCTATGAGAGTGACAAGTGGTGACAACACTAAATGCTGGTGAAGATGCGGGGAAAATGATTCCTTTCGTGTTGATTTTTATTCAAGTTGTGAGGTTTATGTGAAAGTTCTTCTTGCTTCCCTGTTCCTCCTCTTCTTTCCCCTCCTCCTTCCCCCCTTCCCCTCTATATTAGTCCATTTCACACTGCTGATAAGAACATACCGAAGATTGGTAATTTATAAAGAAAAAGAGGTTTAATGGACTCACAGTTCCACGTGGCTGGGGAGGCCACACAATCATGGCAGAAGGTGAAAGGCACATCTTACATGAAAGGAGGTGAGAAAGAATGAGCCAAGCGAAAGGGGAAACTCCTTATAAAACCATCAGATCTTGTGAGACTTCTTCACTATCACAAGAACAGTATGAGGGAAACTACCCCCGTGATTTAATTATCTCCCACCTGGTCCCTCCCACAACACGTGGGAATCATGGGAGCTACAATTCAAGATGAGATTTGGGTGGGGACACAGCCAAACCATATCACCCTCCTTCCTATGTATGCCCAGCTGCGTTAGCACCATTTGTTGGAAAAGCTATCCTTTCTCTATTAAACTGCTTTTGCATCTTTGCTGGTAAGAATGTAAAATGATACAGTCACGCTTGATAGACAGTTTAGTAGTTTCTTAAAAACTAAACATATAACTGCCTTACAACCTACTACAGTTTGAATAGCCTCCAATCCTCACGTCAAAATTTGATCCCCACTGTTAGAGATGGGGCCTAATGGGAGGTGTTTGGGTCATGGTGGCAGATCCCTCATGAATGGCTTAGTGCTGTCCGGGTAGCAATGAGCAACTTCTCACTCTTAGTTCCTGGAGCATTTCCCTGAGAGCTGGTTGCTCAAAAACTACCTGGCACCTTTACCCTCTCTCTTGCTTCCTGTCTCGCCATGTATGTGATCTCTACATGCTGGCTCCCCTTCTCCTTCAGCTATGAGTGGGAGCTTCCTGAGGTTCTCATCAGAAGCAGATGTTAGCATCATGCTGCTTGTAAACCCTGCAGAACCGTGAGCCAAATAAACCTTTTTTCTTTGTAAGTTACCCAGTTTCAGGTCTTCCTTTATATCTATTTTTTAAGAGATTTCTTTTTCTGTGTTGCCCAGGGTGGAGTGCAGTGGCTATTCACAGGTGTAATCATAGCCCACTGTAGCCTCAAACTCCTGGGCTCAACAGATCTTTTCACCTCAGCCTTCTGAGTAGCTGGGACTACAGGCCTGTGCCACTGACCTGGCTACTCATGTATTCCTTTATAGCGACACAAGCGGACTGAGACAACCCAGCATTTGTGATCATGGTCATTTATCCAAGAAACACAAAAACTTGGATCCACACAAAAACCGTTACACAAATGTTCCTAGCAGCTTTATTCATAATGGCCAAAAACTAGAAGCAATCCAGATGTCCTTCTGCAGGTGAATAGTTAAATGAACTGTGGTACATCCATACCACGGAGGCTATTCTGCATTCAGATGAACTATTGATACATACAGCTTAATCTCCAGAGAACTTCACTGAGCGTAAAAAGCCAATTTCAAAAGGTTATATGTTGTATGATTCCATTTATATAACATCCTTAAAATGACAAAAGTATAGAAATGGAGAACAGATGAGTGGTTGGCAGTGATTAAGGATGGTTAGAGGAGTGAGGGCGGGAGCAAATTAATGTGGCCAGAAAGGGGCAACATGAGGGACCTTTGTGCGAATGGTAATGTTCTGTATGGTGGGGGAAAAACACAGGTAAGTAATTTAACTGAGGCTGTAGGTTTACTTTTGTAATTGTTATTTTAGGCACAGCATGTGGCTGTACTCATTGTTTGTAAATTCATGCCTCTTGGTGTTTAGAAACTAAAAGTGTATATAATAAAATTAGATCAGTATTCTGGTGCAAGTTCTGCTGCCAGCTAACTTGTGACCTTGGTCACGTTCTTCATATTTCCTGGAACCTGGGTTCCTCTGGAGGGCTTTCAAATGATTCATCTCTGAGGTCCCTTCCAGCTGTAGATTTTGATGGTTTCATGTTTCAGTGCATCAAATGCATTTCACCATCTCAGAAGTACGCTTGGACATGCAAGAGTGAATCTGTTATGTTATTTATCTTATTCCATCAGATGTGCTTTGCGTGGTCTGTTTTAATGCATAGAACTTACTGGCATCTCTTTTCAACAATGACAGAAGCTATGACCCCATATTCACTCCCTATGCTTTTTTAAGTCCTGTAGATTCCCTCTTCGACCCCTGAAGACACAGTGCTGTGTTGCTCCTGGAAAAATGTTGAAAAGGACTCATAACAAATATTGATTCAAAATGAATTTGTGGTTTTAGAGAAGAATATATTGCTGAGATTGCTTTTTAAAATGTAATTTGCAGTAGGTTTACCTCCTAGTGAATTCCATGGCACCTCCTGAGGCACAGTTCTCATTCTAAACTAATATATTTTTTAAGATTTTGGTTTACCTCCCATAATGATGCATCCTAGCTCAAAATAGGACTTAATTCATGTAAAACTTGACTGGTATAATTTGAAAGCCCAATTTCTAAACTTTTAAGTACATTTTGTGAGCCCTTAAATTTGCCATTCCTCTTTATCTAAAGTGGTTTTGTCCAGTGGGCACTGTTGATTTTCCCTAAATCCTCGGAGAGGAAAAGCCTAAGAGCTACACTTTCTCAGGATACTTTTTATGGCATTAAACAAGGGACCGTTTCATTTTCAATTCCAACCAGCAGGCATATTTTAGGCTCTTTCCCTATGCCCTATAATACTGTGGAAGAAAGCATATAGTTAGGTGACCTTCAGATCTGTACCTGACCTCCTTCCCCATTAAGTGACATGAATAAAACGTTGTTTGCTGGCAGAGAAGGTCGATAAAGTATACGCTTAATCTCCTTCCATGGAAATTAGTGACTTTGAAGCCATAACTGGAATATTTTTCCTCTTCTTTTCTTGTTTAGCTTCTGTGTCCTTTTTTCTTATATTTTCTAGCGTATAAATTCTGTGGTCTTTGACTTGAGATTTTTGGGAAAAGTGCAAGTAAGACATGAGTAATCTATTACTATGGGCACAGATTCCCCAATGGTCAGAACTGGCAAAGTCAAAATTTCTGTTTTCATCATTAAAATTAATGACCCTATATCATATTTAGGCTCCTCTTCTTTCTCATAGAAATGTAATCTTGGGAAAGAAATAATAACTATAAACCAAGGTGTATATTATACTATATTTGAACATCATCTCTAGATTACGTATGTTTTCAAAGACATTTTTATGCTCTGAAAGCTGTGGGTTTAATGTACTATATGTATTGGCATCAGGGGAACCAAAATGAAATATCAGTTTGATTTAGTGTTGCTATGGAGAATGTTTTAATGTTTCAATTCAATAGTTTGTAATATATTTAGGCATGCTTATACATGTATACTTCAGCAGATTTCTAGTTTGGTGAATGTTTTTTAATTGACTATCAGGGATTTAATAATAGCCATTTGAAATAAAGCCAATAAAACAAAAAAATACACATTTCAATTTCATTTTATGACTAGGCTTTCTTTAAAAGAGTTGCACACTTTTTTTCTTCATAGAAAGCTTTTCTTGATGTTTTCTGATATGTCCACTGATGGCATTCAGCTTTCATTCTTTGATTTCCTGTCTTCGTTAGTTGGTGTCTATAATTGCTTGGGTATGGGATATCTTGGCCGGCAATTTAGTTACATCTAATTATCAAGTCACAGATAGAATAATATGGCTGTTTCACACAGTTTTGTTCTGAGTATTATATGCTCTTATCCTGGCTTCTAAGGCTTTCTTAGAGCAGGACTAACTATAAATATTTGGTTGTAAAAGTTAAAGAAAGAAAGGAAAACCTCAAGAGAAATGGACGGCAGCTAACATCCAAGTTAGGAGGACACCCCTGATTTTCTCAGGCTTTTCAACTTTTATCTGGAAGGGGAAGGGGAACTCCCAACGTGTTGAGGATTTGCTCACAGTATGCTAATCCTGAGATGATATCCGACTACAGTATAATATAGGTCTTGGTTTATATTCAACTATTTCGAAGCGTCTCACAACAGCCTTGCTTAAAAAAAGACTTTTTAACACAGTGGGTTTTTAATATTTTGTTTTGAAGATGAAGGTGGTTTTCTGGTGATTATTGCAGCTGGTGTTCTCATTGCTAGTGATTTCCACCTGGGCCCTACCTTGAGCTCAATAACAGTTCACCTGGCAAGGTTGGCGCCACAGCTTCAAGTGGTGGCTCTCACGTCTAGTTGAATATTAGTATCACTGGTGTTGGTAGTCATTTCTAAGGGCTGCTGTGCCAAATTATCACAAACTTGGTGGCTTAAAAATCACCGGAATCTATCATCTCACAGTTCTGGAGGCCAAAAATCTGAAATCAAGATATGGACAGGGCCAGACTCCATGGGAAGTCTTCAGGGGAGCATACTTCCTTGCCTCTTCGAGCTTCTAGTGGCTCCTGATATTCCTAGGCTGTGGCACTCTGGCTCCAATCTTTCCTCTCTTTCCATGTGATCTTTTCCTCTGGGTCACTGTGCCCAAATCTCCCAGTCCTTTCTCTCATAAAGATACCAGTCATTGGATTTAAGGCTCACTCTAAATATGGATAATTTTGACACAGGAAGTGGAAAGAAATTATTTAAGCAGATAGTAAGGGTAAAAGAGTTCTCAGCAGAATTTTCTTTCTAATGAAAAGCATCCCAAGAAATTATTTTTTTCCTACCAAAGAGCAGCCTGAAAAATCGAGCTGAAAACATAAATAAGCAAGCTGGAAGCTTGCACAGGGGAATGCTGGCAGCTGTGCTAACAGAAAAGGGCTACCTGGGGCCCAGGCATGTCCGACATGGAGGCTCCATCTTCCCTTTTTTTGTTGTTACCATATGTACAGTAAAGAAACGGGCAACATGGCACAGCTCAGATAGAGGACGTGACAGCATAATAAAAGATTAGGGTGGAGGCGACCAGAAATTTGCATCCTATGCAAATGGCAAACCTAGTCCTAACCGGTTTTTCATGCCCTATACAAATGGCACACCTGGTCCAACTAGTCTTTCACCCTATGTAAATCAGACTCTGCCTCCTCACCAGGTATCTATAAAACCCCCTGTATTTCCCTGTGGACCGGCAACCCATTTTTCCAGAACCCCTCTCCCCAGCAGAGAGCTATTCTCTTTCTTTGGCCTATTAAACTTCCCCATTTAACCTCACTCCTTGTGTGTCTGCAGCCTTGATTTCCTCAGCTGTGAGACAATGAACCTGATTATCATCCCAGACAATGAGGCCGCTTTAGTCTCATCTGGAGATTTTTAATTAATTAATCCACAAAGATCCTAGTATCAAGTAAAAGCTAACTCAAATCAGGAAGTGATTTTCTCAGTCCAGCCTTTGGACTTCACTCCTCCAGCCCCCATGAGCTGCCTGGATCAGACTGCTAAGACTCAGGAGTTCTTGGCACAGCCACCTTTGTGAGCCCTCCCACCCCAAGTCCTCTGTCTTCCCCTCTCTGCTATTGTGTCAGATCTCTGTTAATTTCAGTTATGCCATTTTATCTCTAGGGAAATGAGTTCCAACTTCCAAACAGGCAAAACCCAATTCAGTATTTGGAACAGGACTCATTTGGAGACACAGTGTAATGCAGTGAATGAAGCACAGGCTTTGGAACTAGAAAAAAATGGTTTCATATTCCTTTTCTAGACCTTTCCTTGATAAGGTCTGAGACCCTACATGTTTTAACATCTCTGCTGTTGGTGTCAATATCTTATTGTCAGGATTAGAGACATTCCACTTCCAGATTCACTCACACGGTTGTTGGCAGGACTCAGTTCTTCTAGGGTTGTTGACTGTTGGTCTCAGTTCTCTGCCACATGAGGCTCTCCATAGGTCAGCTTGCCTTGTCTCATCAAGCAGGAAGAGGGCAGAGAAAGGGTGAAAAGGATGAAGTCACAGTCATTTATAAACAAATCACATTTCTATTTGTTAAAAGGAAATAACTAGGTCCAGCCCACATTCAAAGTGAGAGAAGATTACATAAGGGTGTGAATAGCAGGAGGTGGTGGGCTGATTAGGAGCCATTTTAGAAGCTGTCAAGCACAGTACTCTTTCCCAAAACCCATCTTATTTTTTCTGTTGGAATATCTCCTAGCATTTCTAGCTTAGGGTATGTGCTGACTTCTCGGAACACAGAGGGGCCTGGTGTCAAATTGGAATGCTGAAGCATAAGAGGTTAAAAAGTTGGCTTTGGAAAGCCACGCATAGCATCAGAAACAGTATTGTGATAAGAACCACAATCAGCTGAGATCCTGGTGGGTCATTATATCGTGAATTACTTTGCTACATGATTACACATGAACTATAGAGCTTCAGAAATAAACCACTGTAGTGGGCCAGGAGGGAACAATATGAACAGTCATTTAGAATGTGCTGCTGCAGAGAGAATAACTAAATGGCAGTTCTTTGAAGCCACTTTGCTAAACTATAGTTTGTATATCTGCTGAATGGTTCCGTGTAATAAACCATAGCAGCTACACTCTCATTCCTTCTTCTAAATACCCGGTTCTGAAACCACCATTTCAAGAGGATATTCTTGGGAGAACACGGAACATCATTTCTAGGCATTTCCATTTCTACATAATTAGAATAGAAAGACTTTCAAGTCAGCTTCAGGTTTTAGCTTGTTATATAAATAAGTTCACAGGAATCTCAAATGCTTTACAGAAATCTGACAGCAACTATAAAAGGCTTTTGAACATTTTTGTTGCCAAAGTCCTAGGGATTGCTGGAATCTTAAATAGCCCGTTTTAAGCTCCAATTCAGAAGCTTTTTGTCATGTTTAATAATGTGGTGAATAATTCCTTTTCTGTTAGTCGTTTCCTCTTTTATAATCCACAAGGATCTTTGAGCCATGGAATGGATATTTTCTGGAGCTATAAATTAAAGGTCCTTTCGATCCCAAACTTAAAATGGCCTTTTAATGTAGCACTTCTGTAAATCCATTTATCTAGGTCTAAAGATTCATTAAAATATGTTTAAATGAAAGTATTATGTAGGTATATGTCCAATGAAATGAGTGATCATTTTGAAATGAGAGAACCATGGAGAACAGATGTTCCTGTGTACAGTAGGAAATTTAATAGGAAGAAAATTATTTGTAGAGAATATTAAATACTAGAATGGTCTTCTTATTCTTCTTTCCTCCTCTTTCTTTTAAAGTAAATTAAGTTTAGTCCAGGGTCCGGTGAACCCCATTGGGTTTGTGGAGAGTGTTTATGAAAACTTTAAACTTGGATTAAAAAAATGATATCTTCACTTACACTAACCTCTGAGTAGATTTTAGCCTTTCTTTCAAGTGTGAATATAGGCAAAAGACCACGGTGGCATTGGCAGTACTTGTGACTTTCTCACCAATAGAAATCACAGATACTGTCTAATCATATTTCAGTTATTATATGTATCCCAAAACATTTGTGCTTATCATTCCTTTGAAGATATAGTTGTTAAAGCTTCCATTGGGTTTCATTGTATAATGTCTTAATAAAGAAACAAATATTAGTGTATTACATATATTTTAAAATATTTTCATGGCTATGTTCTAGTATAATCTGTATTCTCATAATCCTATGTACTTTTTTTTAAAAGTATGATTTTTGGAAGTTGTACACAGACTTCATCAGGTGGCCAAATGGACCCAGGCATGTGTGCGTGCACACACCCACACCCCCCTCCACACACACACACACACACACACACACACACACACACACTGTGCCAGAACCTAGAAAACAGAATGATTAAGGAGGTTTGCAATTCGTGGAGCAAGTGCTGGACCACAGTCACTTTGAATACATGGTGTCATTTAATCTTTCCACCAACATTGTGAGGTAGAAGTCATTATTATTCTCATTTTATAGATGCTGGATCAGAGACTTTGAGGGCACGGTAGCCAGCCTTCCAGGTGGCTTCCAGTGATCCTTACCTTTTAAAATTCTCCTCCTAGTGACATCTCCTCCCACCTTGTATTATGTTATCTCTTTGACCAGTAGAATACAGTGAAAGCAACAGTGTGCGTCTTCAGAGTCTAGGTCATAAAATCTTACTCATTTTGGGAAAAGCTAGTCACCATTTTGTGAGAACACTTAAACAGCTTTATGGAGAGCTTCCTCTAGCAAGGAATAAAGTTTCTTTCCAACAGCCAGCGCCAACTTCCAGCCTTGTAAGTGAACCTGAGGTGGATGCTTCAGCTTCAGCCAAGTCTGCAGATTATTCCCAACCTGGTGGGTGTTGTGACTCCAGTTTCCCAGAGACCTTGAGTCAGAACCACTCAGCTAATCAGCTTCAAACTTCATGACCTGCAGAACCTGTATAAGATACTAAATATTTATGGTGGTTTGAAGCCCTGAATTTTAGGGGTTAATTTGTCAAGTAGCAATAGATAACTGATACAGAGGGGTTATGTATCTTTCCCAAGGTCATATCAGTAGTAAATGAAAGAGGCTGGATGGGAACCCACTGGTGCTGATGAAGTGTGTGCAGTTTCCCTCAGCTTACCTGCACAGAGATAATCAGAGAACCCTGAATCCTTTCTTTTCCTTTTCCTTCTTTGTCTCCCCATTTTTCTTCTCTCTTCCTCTCATGCTATATGCACATAATACTTGATGATGAGATGGTAGGTCTTCTCTTTCCACACTTGATCCCCTTAAATTCTTAAATAAAATAAAGCATATCACAAAAACACCAGGTAAAATTTATTAAGCACTTAATATGTGTCTCAAACAGTGTTCTAAGTATTAAAAGCAATACTAATAAACTGTCATATATGTAGTACTCTCAGCAGTCTAATGTCAGAAGTAGACAGAAATTTTGGCTGGGTGTGGTGGCTCATGCCTGTAATCCCAGCACTTTGGGAGGCTGAGGCCAGCAGGTCACCTGAGGCCAGGAGTTTGAGACCAGCCTGGCTAACATGGTGAAAGCCCGTCTCTACTAAAAATACAAAAATTAGCCGGGTGTGGTGGCGCACACCTGTAATCCCAGCTACTGGGGAGGCTGAGGCAGGAGAATTGCTTGAACCTGGGAGGCAGAGGCTGCAGTGAGGCAAGATCTTGCCACTGCACTCCAGCCTGGGTGACAGAGCAAGACTCTGTCTGAAAAAAAAATGGAAATTTTACTTTGTCTTCATAATAAACTTAACAGATAGGTAGGGAGATGATATTGTTGCATTTTATAGATGATCTGACTGAGTTCAACATTTAAGGAATTTGTTAACATGACATGGTTTTTTCGGCATCAGGAGGAAAAGTAGAACCTGCTAATATCAAAATATTAAAAGGCAAAAGAAGGGTCATCAGGCTAATTGCAACAGCATTTATTTGAAGTAAAGCCTTCTCTGCTCTGTAGATATAAAAATATCTGAGGCCTTAACTTTTTTTTGCAGGGAAGAGCTTGGGTGAAGACCATCTTACATTTGAATTTATATTCCCAAATTGGAGGGAAGCAATGTGCATGGGATGGTAAATTGATCTCTGGATTATTGCTTGACCTTTCAGTGACATTAAAATGAAAGAAAACTGAATAAAATGATATAGCTCCACAGTGTTCTAAGCCCATTGATACAAAAACAATTTAAATAGCAAACACCGACTTTCCCTGTTGCTCTTGTCTGATTTTTAAATAACATTTTCATTATGGTTGCTATAGTAGATTAAGCTCCTTGTTAGGAGGAAAATTCAGAGGCCACTCTGTTTGAGATAAAAAATGTTTAAACTTGTAAATATCACTGTGAGAGAAAGATTGGGTACCATAAGAGTTACTGTAAATTACTTAACTGATAGCACTAATATTGAAAATGTCCTCTACAAGTGCTTCTTTTAAAAATTCAATTCCCTTCAATAAAATTTGCATACTTCCAAGGGACTTAGAATTCTGAGATAAAAGATACGTAAGAATAACAAAAATACATTTGTTTGAGGGAAAAATATTTGCAACTCATATTATGTACATAGGGCTAATGACTCTAATTTATTCCAAGTTTCTAAAAACCATTATGAAAATGATACAATAGAAAAATAGTCAAAGATTGTTGTGGCATAATTACATTTTCCAAAAGTGGCCACACCTGCATTTCTAGTTCATTGTGGTGTTCCAGATTCTTGTCATACACTATCAGGAGGTGGAGTCTGTTTTCTCTTCCTTCTGTTGAAACTAGGATAGAGAATAGAGTAGGATGCACTCAGTGCAGGTGGAGTGAATAGCATTCACCTCATGCATGTTGGTGTGTGCTCCCCACCCCTGCTTCCTCCCCCTCTACACCCACTTACCCTCTCCTGGGATGCTTTTCTTTGGAATCCAACAGCCATGCTGTGAGAGAAGCCAAATCACGTGGAGTGGCTAGCCGTGAGTTATAAGAGTTCTAGTTGATGGAAGAAAATAATTGAAATGTATCTAGCATAAAGAAAAGACAAATATTTAAGGTGATGGATATCCCAATGCTAAGTAATATGAATGTATTACATTATCACATGTACCTCAAAACTATGTACATCGACTGTGTGTCAATTTAAACAATAAAATTTAAAAAATAGAGTTCTAGCTGACAGTCTCAGCCAAGATCTCAGCTGGCAGCCAACACCAAGTACAAGACTTTCTCAGTCTTCTTTTAAAGTGTTCAAACTGGTTAAGTTAGGCCCACCCAAGATGATTTCCTAAAATTAAACTCAACTGATTAGGGACTGTAATTATGCCTGAAAAATCTCTTTACAGCAGCATCTAGATCTGTGTTTGAACAAGTGGGGAGGGACTGTAGTTCACCTTAGCCAAGTAGACAAGTGAAAAATCCATCACAGGCTTTATGAAGATTAAGAAAATGTCATAATTTTTAAGTCTGCCGTTCATTATTCATTTTATTTATCTCACTCATTCTATAGTATAACTTAAAAATGTACTTTTATGGGTGGCTGGCAGACCACTGGAGAGATAATTCATGGGGCATAAACCTATTTTTGGCATTACTGGTTATGCCTTACTTGAGTTAATTCACCTCTCAAAACATTGGCAAATGTTTATTTTTTTAAAAAATCTTACACAGGTGCTTGGTGGAGTGAAAAATACTACTTTCTAAGGGTTAATATGACTATAATAAAAATACAGAATAAATATATACCAACATTTAATATGTCTTTAATGAAGAAACCAGTGCAATCCAGGGGCATTTTGAGGACCTGGGTACTTCTAGACATTTTGTTAAAAAGGAGTTGGAGAGGGAGAATATTTGAATAAAATTACTAGGTTTTATACAAGACTGATTAGTATCCCACAGGACAATTAAACCATAAACTTCAGTGGTTCTTTCGTACTAGACAAAAACTACAAGTTAACCTATAACTTGACAGTGGTGGTACAATAATCAAAATGTATATAGCAAAGCCAAACACAGATATGTTCTTTTAGAGAATTAAATAATCCTTGAGTGGGCTTGGGGAACAAAATTCTAGTACAGTATTGAACAGACACGCCACATACACCATTGCTACCACTACTGTTAGCTTTATTTCCTAGTTTTTGATCATTTTTGTTAACCAGGGTCATATTGACTTTGAGTCATAATATTTGCTACCATGAAATTCTTTAAAAAGTCCATGCGTTATCTTAGAAACATTATGATACATAAAAAAATGGGAATGTCTCATTCTTCAGATTACTCAGAAACAATGGGTGTAAATTAGCAAAGAAAGTGAGAAAAATAAATTAAAAAAGTGTAGCTCTTTATGTAAGTATCTTATCAGTACCATGTTTCATAACATGATTTCTCTCTTAAAATAGTGAAAACTCATGGTAAAACTAAGATGACCTACCTTGTAAATACAGGCAAGTGGGATAGGTTTCAGGATTAACTCAATAGATAAATTGGAAATTAGACCTTATCTGTTAATAACTTCAGTTCTCCTGCTGCCACATACTATGTTTGGAACTGTGTTCAGTGAGGATATTTTGTTTGCATTCACATTTTGTCTAATTTCTAGCTGAACGTCTACACCTCATTTGTCTTTACATTTACCATTTGCCAATGTCACACATTGTACTGTTACGATTCTTAAATGTAAGTGACATCCATTTTCGAGAAATAAGTGTTTCATTCATGAAGGGTCTTTTTAGGTTTATGTTAAGTTTGTTCTCATTTTCAGTTTGCTCTTCAGACAAATAGTGTAATATATACTGTTCTTCTTCCTTCTTATTGAATATTTTCTACTAAACCTATCTTTTTATGATTCTGAAATGCCAGCTTCAGTTTTTTTTATTAATTCATACTGACCCTGGGCAGAGCTGTCTATCTCAACTTAATGGCTATTTATAATATATGGATGGCATTCCCCTGCCATTAATGTTTAATGAACTGGCTCCTGATCCAATAGAGTCTAATAAAGGTAATCACTAGAATACATTGTCTTTCTGCAGTGCCCTAGAAACTTCTTTTATTTTCCCTATTGTATACCTTTGGCCCATAGTCTCCTTTTTTTACCTCTTTCGGTGCACTCTTCTCAACCTCTTTTTCATTATTTAGTCCAATTGCATACATTTTTACACTTAATTTCTTTACAGGTCAGGAAGACAGTCTTCTGAGTGGAAACTTTAAAAAATACCAGCCTTACATGATTGTTAGAAAGAAAGAAAACCTTAAATACTGACAGGATGCAGACTTATTTACATGTAGAGTAGAAGAAAAACATTTTTAAAAAATCTAGGCTGCTTCTTACAGACCGTATCCCTAGTGGATCAATTCTTTTTTTGTAATCTACATTTGAGATGTGTTAAAAACAAAATTGGGTCCTGGAATTAGATAATGGTGATGGATACATGTTTTTCTGAATATACTGAAAAGCATTGAATTACATATTTTAGAAGGATAAATGTTATGGTATGTGAAAAATATATACCTATGCTACATTAACAGTTACATATTTTTAATGATATGTATTAATATATATTATATGATTTTGTCACATATAATAGCATATATAAAACATTGGAACTGGATGACTTGAGGGAGCAAAGTTGAGCATTTCCTGATACTACAAACATGTATGTGTGTGTGTATGTGTGTGTGTGTATATATCCCTGTTTTTCGCTCTCCTAAATCAGTTCTTTCCAGATTTCCAGTGAAAGGAATTTTAGCTTGCTTATGAATGCCATCTAATTAGTTTATTTCTTTGTTACTGGAGAACATGAACAGAGGCCGCTATTTACTCAAGTGTGCACTCTCCAAAGGTCTTTCTTCATTCAGGATGACTTGATCCTGAGGGTTCTGCCATCTGTTACCTCTAAACAGCTAGCCAGCTGCTCTCTAGTCTTTCCAGTTTAAGCTCCATTCTTGGAACTGCACTTATTTCAGTCTGGTTGTTGTATTCACCTTGGGGCTCTGTATTCCTGAAACCATGGACTGCTGATATCTTAGCAGCCATAAGAATCTTCCTACTTGTTTGAAATAGGGGTTTCTGGATCCAGAGCCTAGAGATCATCCTAGGTATGTTTTCTAAGATGTACTTTTTAAAATAAAATTAAAATACTTTATTTTTTAGAACAGCTTTAGATTTTCAGAAAAATTGTGCAGATAGTTGAGAGACTTACCATAACATTTTCCTTCCGTGTCGCCACTATTCCCCCATCCCCGCCCCACCACCAAGTGTCTCCTACTATTAATACCTTGCATTAGTGTGGCACATTTATTACTGAAGTTAATGAACCAATATTGACACATTTATATTAACTGAAGTTCATACTTTACTTTAAAGTTCACTCTTGGCCTTCTGTGGTTCTATGGAGTTTTACAGATGCATATTGTCGTGTATCCACCATTACAGTTTCGTATAGAATAGTCTACATTGCCCTAAGAAACTATATTGGATCCCTGGTAACTAGTAATCCCTTTATTGCCTCTATAGTTTTCCCTTTTCCATAATGTCATATGGCAGTATGTCTGTAAGGTGCCTCCACACCTTTTTATGGCATAAGAGTTCTTTTAAAGAAAAAATTGTAGACTAGTATTCTGTCGTATGGATTTGCCACAGTTTGTTTATACATTCTCGTGTTGTGAAAGACAGATTATTATGAATAAAGTTTCTATAAGCTTCCCTAAGCAGACTTTTGTGTGAACATTAGTTTTCAACTCAGTTGAGTAAATGCTTAGGAACTTGGTTACTGCATTCTGTGGTGAAACTATGTTTAGATTTATAAGAAACTGTAAAACTGTAGTCCAAAGTGGCTATACCATTTTACCATTATTTCCACCAACAATGCATGAACGTTCCCATCACTCCACTTTCTTGCCAATATTTGGTATTATCAGTCTTATGGATTTAGCTATCCTAATAGGTATATACTGGTATGTCATTGTTTTAATTTGTAATCCCCTAATGACATATGATGTTAATATTTTCTACCATTCTGTGCCTTGTCCTTTCATTCTCTTAACAGTATTTTTTGTAGAGCAAAAGTTTTAAATTTTAATACAATTCAATTTAAAATTTTTTTTGTAGATAATTTTTTGTTGTTATATCTATAAACAAATTGCCAAACTCAAATCTAGTATTTTTCCCTGTGTTATCTTTCAGAGGATTTACATTTTGCATTTTTCATTTTACATTTAGTTCTGTGATGCGTTTTGAGTTTATTTTTGTAAAAGGTGTAAGGTCTGTGTGTAGATCCCCCCTTTTTTTTTTTTTGGCATATGGATGTCCAGTTATTCTAGCACTATTTGTTGTCTATTGAATTGCCTTTGCTCCTCTGTCCAGGGCAAGTTGTTTATGTTTGTATTGGTCTATTTCTGGATTTCCTCTTCTGTTCTTTTGATTCACTTACCTATTCTGTCACCAGTACCATGCTGTCTTGATCGCTGTAGCTTTGTAGCAAGTCTTAAAGTTGAGTAGTATCACTCCTTCAACTTTGTTCTTCAATATTTTATTGGCTATTCTGGATCTTGAGCCCTTCTCTATGAACTTTACAATCAGCTTTTTGATATTCACAGAATAACTTTCTGGGATTTTGACTGAAACTGCGTTGAATGTATAATCAAGTTGGGAAGAACCGATAACAGTATCAAGTCTTCCTATCCATGAACACAGAATATCTATTCGTTTATTTAGATTTTATTTCTTTCATCAGAATTTTTTATATTTCCTTACAGATCCTGTACATATATTGTTAGATTTTTACATCTATGTGTTTTATTTTTTACGCTAATATAAGTGATATTGTGCTTCTAATTTCAATTTCCATTTGTTATTTTCTGGCATATTGGAAAGAAATATTTTATCCTGTTTTTTTCAGGATAAAAGAAAAATTTTATCCTGAAACATTGCTGCAGTTGCTTATTTGTTCTAGAGAATGTTTTGTCAATTTTTTAGGATTTTTCTACATAGTCAGCCATATCATGAGAGCAAAAACAGTTTTATTTTCTTCTTCCCAATCGTTATATCTTTTTCTTAATATTCTTTCCTTTTCTTGTCTTACTTTTACCTAGGTCTTCCATTATGCTGTTGAATAGGAGTATTAACAGGGGAAAATCTTGCCTTGTTCTCAGTAGCTTGCTATATCAAATTATTACAGACTGGTAGCTTCAAACAATAGAAATTTCTTCCCTGACAGTTCTGAAAGCCAGAAGTCTAAAATCTAGGTGTCAGCAGGGCCGTACTCCCACAGAAGCTGTGGAGGGAAATCCATTCCTTGACAGCTTCTGGTAGCTCCATATATTCTTTGGGTTGTGGGTGTGGGTGTGACAGTGATCTCTGTGTTCCTGGTCACACTGGCTTCTTGATGAGTCTGTGTTATTTCACCTTTGCCTCTACCTTATAAGGATATTTATGATTGATAGCATTAAGGCCCACTCAGATAACTTAGGGTAATCTTCTCACCTTAAAATTCTTAATTTAGTTACAGCTACAAAGTCCTTTCTTTCAAAGAAGGTAACATTTTCATGTTTTAAAAGTTAAGACCTGATATCTTTGGGAGATCATTAGTCAGCCTACTATACTACACTGATCTTAAAGCATCCAGTTTCTCTCCATTGAGTATGATGTCATGTTAGCTGTAGGTTTTTTTGTAGATTTTTTGGTATCGAGTTGACGAAGTTTCATCTATTCCTAGTTTGCTGAGAGTTTCTACTCATAAATGAGTGTGGGATTTTGTCAGTGCTTTTCTGTATCTGTTGCTATTATATGATTTTTCTTCTCTGGCCAGTTGATACGCTAAGTTACGTTTGTTGAGTTTTTTTTGTTGTTTGGTTTTCTTCTATTGTTTTTTTTTTTTTTTTTGAGACAGAGTCTCGTTCTGTCACCCACGCTGGAGTGCGGTGGCACGATCTCCGCTCACTGCAAGCTCCGCCTCCCAGGTTCACGCCATTCTCCTGCCTCAGCCTCCCAAGTAGCTGAGACTAGAAGTGCCTGCCACCATACCTGGCTAATTTTTTTGTATTTTTAGTAGAGACGGGGTTTCACTGTGTTAGTCAGGATGGTCTTGATCTCCTGACCTCCTGATCTGCCCGTCTCGGCCTCCCAAAGTGCTAGGAATGTTTGTTGAGTTTTTGAACGTTCCACCAGCTGTGTACCTGAAATAAATCCTAGTTGTAGTATATAATAACTTTTATACATTATTAGATTTGATTTGCTAAGATTTTGTTGACGCTTTTTATATCATGTTCACGAGCGATATTAATTTCTAGTTTTTCTTTCTTTTAATGGGGTTTGCACGTGTATTCTGATTTTGCTATAGAGTAATGCTGGTATAACATAATGACTTAGGAAGTGTTCCCTCTGCTTTACCTATCTAAAGAAGGTTGTAGAGAATTGCTATCATTTTGTGCTTAAATATTTGATAGAATTCATCAGTTAAATTGTCTGGACCCAATTTATTATTTATTTTTAGAAAGTTAATTATTGATTCAATGTTTTAAAAAGATACAGATATAGATATAACCTGAATAGACCTATTCAGATTATCTATTTCTCTTTTTGTGAGTTTTGGTAGTTTGTTTCTTTTAAGGAATTGCCTCTGTTTATCTAAGTTATCAAATTTGAGATCACAGAGTTGTTCATCATATTTCTTTATCATCTTTTTAATATCCGTGAGATCAGTAGTGATGACCCCTCTTTCATTTCTAATGTTAGTAATCTGTATTGTTGCTCTTTTTTTCCTGGTTAGCCTGACTAGAGGTTTAGCAATTTTATTGATCTTTTGAAAATAATTAGCTTTTGGTTTTGTTAATTTTTCTCTGATTGATTTCCTATTTTCAATGTAATTGATTTCTGCTCTAATTTCTATTCTGTTTTTCTTCTGATTGCTTTAGGTTTAAATTGTTTTTCTTTCTGTGGGTTTCTAACAGAAGTTTAGATTATTGATTTTAGATCTTTCTTCTTTTTTGATATATGTGTTCAGTTCTTTAAATTTCCTGCAAAGCATTGTTTTCCTTGCATTCCACAAATTTTGCTAAGCTCTATTTTCATTTTTATTTAGTTTAAAATAGTTTAAAGTTTATCTTTAAGAAATTTCTTTTTGCATGCCTTATTTTTGTTGTTGAAAGCTGGAAATAATACCTCGAGTGATGGGAACTAAGAATTTTTTTTTTTGTTATGAGGTTTTATGTTAATCTAGCTTAGAGCTGGACTGTGTTTAATGCTTGCTGTAGCTTTAAGTTCCAGATGCTTCTGTGTGCTCGTATTTTTTGTCTTCCCTGTTGTCTTTGGGCTTTCCTAAGAGCTCCTTATTCAATAGAGTCTGTGTGTTTCACCTCTCAGTTGTAATCACCAAAGACCTCTTCACGTGGTGATGAGGTCTCAGGAAGGATAATTGTTGTATATTATGATTACATCTCAGTTTTCTTAGTGAGCCTGAGTTTCTAGGCTGCGATCTTCTGAAATGTTCTGAGCCCTTTTTTCGTCCCCTGACATTAGACAGGAAGGCTAAAAGAGTCTGGAGGGGACTAATTGCCCTTCTCCCAAGTCAGATAGAACTCTGGTAAAATAGCTTCCCTGAAAGGACGTGTCTTTCTTACAGAGAACAATCTGGGAAACTTCCAAAATGGTTACTTTTTCTCTTCCCTGAGATTTTTCTCCAGACTTCCCCATGAGAACATGATAGGGTTCTTGGACATAAAACTCAGAAAAGTATAGTCTCCCCTAAGACTAGGCTGCAAGAGTTTTTAACTCTCAAGCTAGTCTGCACTGAGCCTCCAGCAATTTGTCAAAATTATCATACACGTGTTCGTATCAGTTCCTAGGTCCTTCTGTTTTTGCTTTAGGTAATCTGATCTTATGATTCTTTGTGTTTACATGTTTCTCCAAATTTGGGGATACTAGTTTGCTTTGGACCTCAGTTCTCTGCTGAATCTAAAAAAGTCATTAATTTCCAGTTGGTTCATCTTTTTTCCTTGTCGTAAATATTTTTCTTGTTGCAAATTGCAGTGAAGCAGTGTCATTGGCTGGGATAATATCCGAGATTTGTCATCTCATGCCGGGAAAATTAAGGACAGGGACACACACACACAAGGAGTGAGTTTGGGAGCTGAGGATTAATAGGCAAAAGAAAGAGAAAGGAGAACAGCTTTCTCTCTTGAGAGAGAAAAGGGTGCCTGAATGAGACTTCCAGCCTGTGGCAGAGTGCATTGGAGTTTATAGGCAGGCTTGAGGAGGCGGTGTCTGATTTACATAGGGCCCAAAGATTGGTTGGACGAGGTGTGATGTTTACATAACATGCGAGGAAGCTGGATGCCCTACCCTGATCTTAAGCAAATGGCGACTTCTCCCAGCTGGCGCCATGTTGCCTGCTCGTTACTCTACATGTGGCTGGCAAAGAAAAGGGAAGATGGAGCTGCCATTTTGAGCATGCTTAGTACCAGGTAGCTTTTTCTTATTGGCACAACTGCTGGCATTCATCCATTGCAAGCTTCCAGCTTGCTTGTCTGGGTCTGCAGCTTGATTTTACAGGCTGCTCTTTGTTAGAAAAGAAAATGATTTGGCGGCTGCTTTTCATTCAAAGGAAAACCTTACGGAGGACTCCATACCCTCACTGTCTGCTAAATAATTCCTTTTTAACGCCTATATCTGCAGCTTCCAACTTCTTTATATGTCCCTCACAAAACATTTTTATGCAAATGGTTAAAAGAGAAAACCAGATCCAGAAATTAGGACCATTAATATGAAAATTGAAATTTTAAATGTTTTCACTGCTTTCTTGCTGACCACCAGGACTTCAGCAGGTAATTAAGATGTCAGCAAGATTTTTTTTAAGTAACTGAAAGTTCTAGCTGCTGTACTTATATACTTTGGATGCTTGTCCGCTCCAAATCTCATGTTGAAATGTAATCCCCATTGTTGGTTGAGTGGCCTGGTGGGAGGTGTTTGGGACATGAGGGTGGATTCCTCATGAATGGCTTGGTGTCATCCTTGCAGTAATGAGTGAGTTTGTTCTCAGTCTGTGAGTTCACATGAGATCTGGCTGTTTAAAAGAGGCTGGGACTTCCTCTACTCTCTCTCTTTCTCCCTCTCTTGCCCTGTGACATGCTGGCTCGCCTTTGTTTTCTGCCATGATTGTAAGCTCCCCAAGGCCCTCACCAGAGGCCAAACAGATGCTAGTGTTATGCTTCCTATACAGCCTACAGATCCATAGCCAAATAAACCTCTTTTCTTTAAAAATTACCCAGTCTCAGGTATTCCTTTAGAGTAATGCAAAGAGACTAATATATATGCCTTTTGCACCTTTGAAACAGAAGTTTAAAAAATATTTTTATGATTCACCTTGTTCGCTCGTGACACAAACACTATTGAGGCATCTCCATTGGCTGAGGCCAGTTCTCTCACCAGGTTTATATTTTATAGACTCTTGGGTTCTGAATGAGTACTCTGATATCTTTTGCACCTTCAGCCTCCTTTTTCTCAGCTTTGAGAAAAACGCTTGTGTGAATGCCTGGTCTTTTCACAAAATAAGCAGAGTATTTTAGACTTCATCTGCTGGACTTCCTCTGTCTCCAGAAGGAAACATTGTAGTATAAGAAATTACAAAAACAGGCCGGGTGCAGTGGCTCATGCCTGTAATCCCAGTACTTTAGGTGGCCGAGGCAGGCGGATCACGAGGTCAGGAGATCGAGGCCATCCTGGCTAACACAGTGAAACCCGGTCTCTACTAAATACACAAAAAATTAGCCAGCCTGGTGGCGGGTATCTATAGTCCCGGCTACTCAGGAGGCTGAGGCAGGAGAATGGCGTGAACCCAGGAGGCAGAGCTTGCAGTGAGCCGAGATCATGCCACTGCACTCCAGCCTGGGCGACTGAGCGAGACTCCATCTCAAAAAAAAAAAAAATTGCAAAAACAAATTCTCAAAACTACTGCTTAAACTTATCCTATTGGTCAGCTTGAAGGAGAGCAATAATTGCTGGATGTTCTTTAATTTGTAGAAACTGGCTTAATTTGTGCACACATAAAAAGAAGTCTAATTTCACAACTACAGATTGCAAGGCATTATTGTGTAGGATAGGACTGATGCCGAAAGACCACATGAGAAGATAGAATATCAGTTTAGTTTTAGTAACTGACTCTCCTTTATAAGAACTTTGACCCTCTGTAATACTATAGAACAAAATCTTCTTTCCTAAGTATGCATTTATTGATCACATATTATGTGCCAACCACTGTGCTGGTCACAGGTGTGTGTGTGTGTGTGTGTATGGCATTGACTAAGACAACATCTGTGAACTCAGGTTTCTGTGTAGTGGATATAAGATGAATGCCTACTGTCAAGTTTCCACAAGACTACCGGAAAAACCTGTTGATCAAGCAAAGCTATGATTTTAGATCTATAGGAAAAGAATATACAAGATTGAGAGAATCTGATTAGTTGCTCAAAATGGATAAATTAGGAGAGCACATTTATGGAGTTCTGGGCTTGTTCTGCATTACTTTAAGGCAGGTACTGCAAGTCAGAGAAATGATTGGAATTGGACAAGAGTTTAGACAAAGTAGTCTTGTGTTTGTGGCACAGAGAGGGTCTTGAAATAAGCCCTGGTGAGTAAGCTGATGACCTTGCTAAGTAAGTTAGTTGATTCATAGTTTTTTTTTTTTTTTCTTTTCTTCCAGAAATATTTCCCAGAGCAGGGAGCCAAGTTGTCAGTAATAATGAAAACAGTAATGAAAATATGCCTAGTTCCAAAATTTTCACAAAGGGACAAAAAATTTTTCTAGTTATCACAAATAAATGAACTTGAATCCTTAAAATATAGCCATAAGGAGTCTTTAAATAAAATGCAAAAATCTTTATTAAATGAATGAAAAGAAAGTTTCTCTTCCTTGAGACTATCATTTTTAAAAAACAGATAAATGTGGGGAAGTTTATTTTGTTATTCTAACATAATTCTGTTTGGGAATGAAAATTAAAATAGAATTTTTTTCCCTAAAGCAAAGTTATAGAACTTCCTATTGCAATTATCCATGCTAAATTTGCTGACATGAGTGTTTTCACTAAAGTCTTCAATACATAGGCTGTGCTGGGAAGGTCTGGGCCATACCTACTGTCTGGCTACTAAGGCCATGAATCTCTCTTAAAGATGTGTTTTGTAGTAGACCTGAACAGACTCATTTTAGTGGAGTCCAAGAGACTATATCTTCTGTTTTAATAGATTTGTTTTTTCTCAAATTTTTGAAAAAAGCTGTGCTACCACCTTGAATTTGGAACCACTTCTTGTTGTTGCTGTTATTGCTATGGGCATGTTTTTGTTATAGACAAGTTTTTGTTTCCATATCATTGTAAACATAGCTTATGACACATATTCTCAAATGTGCAAAGAAAAGTATAATGTTTGAGTTTATACATCCATGTAGTAAGTGTGGATCATTCATTCCATATATAAGATACATTTTTAGGTAAGCATTCAGGTAAAGGGTATTTTGTCATTTCGTTCTTCAAATATTTATTGAGTGACTGATATGTAAATGGTGATATATATATTAGGTGTTAAGGTGTTAGGGTTTTGGAGTTGGGGATTTAGTGGAAGAGAGTGGAACCAGTGCCTGCCCTCAAGGAGTTTATAATCTAGTGAGGTAGAGAAATGTTCAACCAAGAATGAGACACATAAGTTAGTATTAGAGCTCTGGTAAGTGGTGTGAAAGAGAGTTATCTGATATTATAAAATCGTGTAACCCTGTATAAGATGAACTTTCAAGCTGAACTGAGAGTAGAAGGCAGAGATGATAATGAGGCAGAGTGATTTAAGTAGAGAAAACAGATATGTAACATCCCTAAGGAGAAAGAACTAGAACTCAAAGGCTTATCATTACTGCCAAAATGTAATTTGTCATAGTTGTGTTCTTTCAATTGTCTTCGTTAAATATTAATTATTTTAATAAAAGTTATATAAGTGCATTTTAATATTTAATCTACACAAAGATGAGATACTTTTATTAATTTCTGTAAATGTTTCAGAACATTACTTTTTCTGTGATTTTAAATATTTGTGAAAACTCTTTCAATCTGTCCTTCAGGAAGACTCAGCTCTCATCTACATACTTGCCAATAGAAATAGTGTTTTCACGTTAAAGAAACAAGCTTAGAAGTTAGGAGGTACCATCATGTTAATTGCTGCCTTGTAATGGTTATTTATTGTCATTTTGTTTATTGACAGTGACTAGAATAGCAGTATGATCAGCATGATCATTATAAAAAATAATGAGGCTTTTTTCTTTTTTTTGAGACGACGGAGTCTTGCACTGTTGCTCTGGCTGGAATGCAGTGGTGTGATCTCAGCTCACTGCAGCCTCTGCCTCCCAAGTTCAAGCAATTCTCCCCCTCAGCCTCCTGAGTAGCTGGGAGGACAGGCACCCGCCACCACCCCTGGCTAATTTTTTTTGTATTTTTAGTAGAGACAGGATTTCACTATGTTGGCCAGGCTGGTCTTGAACTCCTGACCTTGTGATCCACCCGCCTCGGCCTCCCAAAGTGCTGGGATTACAGGTGTGAGCCACCATGCCTGGCTGAGGCTTTCTTTTAAACAGAAGAATTACACTTCCAATTCAATAAAATTTCCTCTAGAAGAGAATTGGATATTAATTCAAAGAAATACGAAGTTTTTATTTTACCCTATGCTTATGTAGAACATTAGAGAATTCCCCAAATCTCTAAATCTTCATTTTCCAACTAACTGAATGGCAGTGATAAAATTTCCTGTCTAAGCAAATTATTTCTCACCATAGATGTTCTCTTTATGTAAATCTTGCATTTTGAGCCTAATGTTGTAAGAAACCAGGTCTGATATGTGTAGTTTTTACTAATCCATTGTTTACCTTGTTAGAGAAACAGTGAGCAGGTTAGCTACCTAGGCGAATTGATTTGAATGGAGACAGAATTGTTAGACATACGTTAATTTGATAGCACCTTCAAGGACCAACTCAAGGGAGGCCTGATTTACCCTCATTGCCAGTCACTTGCTTTTGTTAGTAGTGGATGCAGGAGCTATCATGTTTCATTCTCAAAATCACAGTATCCGTTTGCACACGGAAAGGTGGAAGGAAGGCCTATGCAAGTGTCTGTTGAGGCATTTTCAGCTGGAGGTCTGTCTTGATTTGTAGATGCACTTCCCTCTTAACTGAGTTTTAGGATTACAGTTCTAACATTTCTGTGACTTCAAACTCAGTTTGTACAGAAGTGGCCATTCAGTGAGGTCCTCATCCTCATTAATGTTCAGAACTTCAAGAGTATTCTTTGATTAGTTTTGGGAGTCCTCGGTTTGTCCCCCTTTCTGTACCTCAAGATTTGATATGTTTTCACACCGGGGGAATTGGTAGAGTATCATTAAAGGATTCATCATTACTGCTTCCTGAAGATACCCTGTGCCCCAGATAGCCCCAGACACACACTGACTTTTCTGACATGTGATGATTTTGCTGACTATAATCTGGTCTCTATCTCTGCCTTTGCAGATCTTCTATATAATTTAAGGCCCAGCCTATGTGTCCCTGGTCTATGCAACCTTCCATTTCTCTCCCATCCTAGCTAAGAGTTGTGTTCCTGTCTTCTGTACCTTCAGCCTCATTTCTAGACATACTTGTTAAATTCTGCTTCATATTGGAGTTAATTGTATAAATACCACTTAACTCTCACTCTTAACTCCAAAGAGCAAGGTTAAAATTGTGTCTGGTTTTGTGTCCCGCAGAGCATGAAGGATGTGCTAGACCATCAGCAAGCCTTCATGAGAGGACTAGAATACGGGAGGCAGTACTGCAGCGTGGTGTAGAGCTTGAGCTCTGGAACCAGGCTGCCTCTGTCTGCATCTCACTTCCTCCAGTTAGTAGTCTATGATCTTGGACAGGTCTCTGTGCCTCAGTTTCCTCATTGGGTTGTTGTGAGGGTTTAATGAAACAATGTACATAAAGCACTTGGTACTACACCTGGAGTTTGGTAAGTTTTCAGAAAATGTTAACAATTATGGTCAGCAATTCAGAAGTGCATGGAGCCTCTACTATCTGCTCTTTTATACATTCACAGATGTTGAGTATTAGCTCTGTGCCAGGCATTATGCCATGTTGAGTCTGCAAAAATGAATAACTATCTTCATAACATGGAAGGGAAGGATCAATACCAACAACAGAATGCTTAGTATAGGACTTTTTTATGACAGTGATGTGTTGAAGTGAATTTCATGGTAATGGAAAGCAGATGTGCCATACATTGACCTCTATACTTTCCGTGCACTTGATAGTGCATAGAGACAGCAGTACTAACATCAAGAACTGAAATTTTTAGATTATTTTGAATCTCCAGTTCAATTAGTTCCTAACTTGTTAATGAACAAATCCATTATCAGAGATGCTAATAGGGAATAACATAAGCTAAGGTTTTACTTTCTTGTCTTTCTCTTTGTCTATGCTAATGGGCGTTTATTTTATTTTATTATTTTTTGGAGACCAGGTTTCACTCCCTTTCCCCAGGCTGGAGTGCAGTGGCGGGATCTCAGCTCACTGCAACCTCTGCCTCCTGGGTTCAAGCGATTCACCTGCCTCAGCCTCCTGAGTAGCTGGGAGTGTAGATGTGAGCCACCATGCCTGGCTAATTTTTGTAGTTTTTTTTGGAGAGACAGGGTTTCACCATGTTGACCAGGCTGGTCTTGAACTCCTGAGCTCAAGAGATCTGCCCACCTTTGTTTCCCAAAGTTCTGGGATTATAGGTGTGAGCCACGGAGCGTGGCTTCTGTGCTAACAAGCTATTAGTGACTTCAAAGGTGGGCAGCAGAAGTTAGCCCCCAAATAGCAGCAGTCCACTGTTATGTAGATTCCTCTGGTAATAGTCACCTGGAAGAAAATCTCCTATAGGTCCAGCATAAGTCCTCTATTACTGATTTCGGTTTATCTAGTTTGAGACCTTTGAAAGTTGTCTTTTAATGCCCTTTCTATGACCTATTGCAAGAAGATCATTGTCAGTCTGCTGTGCACTGTGTTTTAACAGCAGATATGGCTTTCTCTGGAAGGATAAAATCCTTGCCGGTGTTCCTCCCCATGGTTCTTTGTAGATTCTTTCTCTTTTTGCCATTACCTTCTTCGCCCCATCCCTCTTTCACACTTGGAAATGGCCAAAGCCGAACTAATCTCTGAAACTGAATATTAGAGCTCTGCCTAGAATCTTGGCCCATTTTTATTTGAGCTTTTTTCCTACCTCATTTTTGCTGGAAAATCCTTCCATTTGGCTTTTAATAGGGGTCATTTGTGAACAATATTTCATAACCAGTTACAGATTTCAATCTTCTGCATGTGTATGATAATTTATAGTCCAAGTGCTTTTATACTTGAACATCTTTTATGAGTTCTACTGCCTTTTCCCTGAAAGGAAACTGCTTTCCTCTTCCCATATTGCAGGTAAGGTTATTGAGGCAAATGGACTGGTGAAAATGTGGAATCTGTTTTAAAAAGGTAGAACCATGTCACTGTGCAAGTAATAGAAACTCAAAGTAACTTTAACCAAAATAGGGATTGTATGTGAAGGACACAAATGTGTCTCTCACTGCAGCAGGAAAGAGAGAGGGCAACAAAGCCTCACTGGGGGAGGCAAGCAAGAACTGCAGTTGTGGTCGGAGTCTGTGCTTTGGCCTTCTTTTTCTCTGTTTGCTGCCTTCTGTGCTGGGGCTCCATGCGCCTGCGTGGCCTGGTCTCTTAGACCACTGAGTCTCTGTCACCTGACTTCGCTGTCACAACAGATACAACCTCATCCCATGAATTCTAATTCCAAATTCTCTGGACTGAGAATCTGATTGGCTGGCCCAGTGTAGAGTCAGATACACCCCCTTGGTCATGTTAGTTCTGGCGTCGTATGAGGCCTGGTCATTTTCAGAGAAAGCTATGGGCCTGAATAGATACTTAAAAGAATCTTCTAACCAACCCATGAGTTTATAACTAATTACAAGGTCAGCAAATGTTCACCCATAGGGGTGTAACTCCCCATTTTTTATGAACCGAAATGGCAGTTTTTTAAAATGAAGTTAGACATTTCTCCCTCAAAGTTCCTGTAACACTTACAGATTCCTTTCTTAAACTCTTATTTGTTCCAACATTTCTATCTGCTTCACTAGACTGTGAGCTTCTTGAAGAAAATGACCCTGTGTTGTTCAGTCTTCACATACTCAATGCCTGGCTCAATGCTAGGATATTTTAAATGCTTAGCAAATGCTGGTTGAATGGAGAAATAGATAAAAGACTGCCTACCTCAAAAGATATTTCTTTGCACTCCCACATTTTTAAAATTTTTGTGTTTAAGTCATACACAGCTAAAAGATAACTGAGGCAAAAATATCTGCCTAAAGCGATAAGCTAAAGCAACTTTTGTGTTCTCAGGAAGTAGTATCCCATAGTGCAGTCATAACTCACTGGAAAATACCAAGATTTCTCAAAAGAACAGCCAGCAGGTGATCCAGGACAGTTTAGCTTCTGGTCAGTAAAAGAAAACTATTTCAAATGGAAAGAAATTCTAGATTTCAAATGAATGGACAGGAAAACTCCAGTGATTAACTACATCAACCAAAGGTTCCCAATAAGGTTAAAGACGTAGAAAACTGAAAATATCTTGATGGCTCATACTTATTCCTTTAGGTGTTCTTCTTAGTTCTTATTTTTTACTTTGAAAGTTTTAAATTAATCATTTACTAGTTTTTGATGGCTTCCATAACAGATTACTGAAAACTTAGTAACATAAAACAACAAAAATAAAATCATTTAACAACTCTGGAGGCCAGAAGTCTTAAATGGCTCTCACTGGGCTAAAATCAAGATGTCAGCAGGGCTGTGTTTCCTCTGGAAGCTCTAGTAGAGAACCTGTTTCTTTGACTTTTCCAGCTTCTCATGGCCCCTTCCTCTATCTTTAAAGCCAGAAAGGGCAGGTTGACTTCTCACTTTTCATCACTGTGACCTTCTCTTCAGCCTGTCTCTTCCATCTTTTAAGGACCCTTGTGATTATGTTGGGCCCACCTAGATAATCCAGGATCATCTCCCTGCCTTAAGGCCAGCAGATTAGCAACCTTCATCATCTGCAACCTTAATGCCCCTTTCCCATGTAAGCATATTCAGAGGTTCTGAGTATTAGGACATGGACATCTATAGGTGGCCAGGATTCTGTCGACCACACCTACACCTACTGTGAACACAGATACTATGGAGGATATAAAAGTAAACTATATATAGCAGTCACAATCAAGGATGTATACTGGCTAATGAAAAAGTCAACTTCACATAATGTAAATAATACATAATTGCAAATTCTCTGTCTCAAAATTTCCCTTTCTTCTTACTCAATAAATGTCCAGCTTCCTGGTCTCTGACTGTGCCAGTCCCAAGTCATGTTGCCTAGTCCAATTTTAGGGTTGCAACTAGTTCTGTTAACACCTTAATGCAACACATTAGGATATACAGCCATAAACAAGACATCAGGTTTTGAATAGACAAATGAACTGCTATGAATGAACTATGCAGTAAAGTGATTTCCTCCAACACTGTTAGTAATCTAATCTGAGAATGAGAAGTGAAAATTGCAAATTATCCCAACAGTACATCATACTTAACGTCCTCAGCCTAAATGCTATAGGAGATAGAGATTATTCAGCATAAGAATATTATGCTAAAAACTCAAAAGTTCAGACTGCTTTTCAAGGAGTTGAAGCAGTAGGGTGTTAACGCCTGAAAAGCTTTTTGTAGTTACCTTGTTTGCCCATTTAGACTTCAAGGGCAAGTTTGAGGTTCTATGAATGATATCCACAGTTTGCATTTAAATTTGAAGGTTATTTATTAAGTGACATTTTCAGTAAGATACAAAACCTACCTCCTGGTTAGTGATTGCACGAAGTCATTTTTAGTGCATGTAAGAGAGCAGTGAATCAGAATATTTATAGTTTAGCACTTTTAAAAATGTCCTTCAAATATGTGTGCACATAATAGCTTCTTAGACTATCAAGTCCAAGTTTTACAAGATTTAGGCTGAATATCACACATCTTCAATAAATAGTTTTGTATTCATGTACGTGGTGATCAGCAATCTAGAAAAAATATAATTCCAGAAAACTAATTTGTTAGGATCAGTCCTAGATCAGATATTTTTATTTTACTTGAATTGATCATTAGTAAATGCTTAAATATTTACTAAACGAATTAATGATGTATACAGTAGAAAATGCTAAGTGTGGAAGAACGGTCATATGTTAAGCACAAAATCTCAGACTGGGATTTTATAGTGGTAATTGCTATTGTGTTCAGAGGCCCGTGGAGACCTAGGATAAACATGCTGCATCTTTTGAGGAATTTTGCTTATTTGAGAACAAAGTTAAATACTTTACCTACTGAGTAATTTAAAATATTTTTGTATTATGACAAAAATCATATTATTGAGAACACAATTCACATAACATTTCTTATAATAGCATAATTTTTCCATGGTATTTTTATAAAGTATTTGAAAATTTTCATTACATTATGCAATTTGCAAGCATTTCCCATTTATTGTGTGTGTGTGTATATGTGACCTCATGTAGCCCTATAAGGCTTGTTACTAAAAAATAATTCAAAACCCCTACATTGTCCCTCCTTCCTCTCCCTCATTTCTTTTAAACTGATTATTTTAGTATTTATCTCTGTATCTCTAAGTAATATGTATACTTTTTTATTTTTTACATTTCAAGCTCTTTCTATTGATTTTGCACTATGGAAGCAGAGAACATAACTAATATCACTAGTCTTCCCTTCACTTCTATTGCACACGCTCTTCTTCTGTCCCTTATCTCAATGTAATTTTACTGCAAATTTGATGAAATTAATATTCATATTAGTACAGTATTGAAATGTCATCTAAAGCTGAAGTGTGGAGTAAACTACCATCACACTTTCTATCCTGCCTGACTTTTGATTTCTCTGGATGTAATAATTTTCTTGTTTTTTAATTTGCTTGGTTTTGTAAATACTTATCACTGTCTTAGCCCCCAAAGTCTTCACTGGTTGTCTAAATACCTTCTCAAGATGTTCATGCACTTCTGGTATTCTGGCACTTTCATCTTCCTAGAGACATCTCTCCTGCAGCCCTGCTCTCTCATTTTGCTGGGGTACTCTATGTCAGAGACCCTCTATTTTACTCTCTACAGGAACAAAGCTTAAGTCACTGGCCAGGATGAGGGGGTGTCGCAATCTCCTGGCTATCAGGAGTGGGAGATGGGATCTGAGGATCTAACTCCTCCTTAATCCTTTCCCTTCCCCTGCTCAAACATCTTTAGAGAGATATAATATATGTAGCATACCATTCACCCATTTAAAGTGTATATTCTGTGGTTTTCGGAACATTATCAGAATTGTGCAACTATCACCATAGTCATTTTTAGACCATTTTCATCACCACCAAAAGAAACCCCAGATGCATTAGCAGTCATTTCTGTTTCTCATGAAGCCCCCTCCGCGGCCCTGGGCATTATGATTCCATTTTATGTTTTTATATCTTGGCCTGTTCTGGACATTTCCTATAAATGAAATCACACAGTTGTGGTCTTTTGTGACTGGCTTCTTTCAGCTAGAATAATGTTTTCATGGTTCATCATGCTGTAATGTGTCTCAGTACTTTATTTTTTTATTGCTAATAATATTCCATTGTATGCGTGTACCACATTATTTATCTTTTCATCCATCAATGGAAATTTGGGGTGTTTCCACTTTTAGGCTTTTATGGATGATGCTGTTATAAACATTCATATAGAACTTTTGTGTGAACATATGTTTTCATTTCTCTTGGGTGTATAACTAGGAGTGGAATTGCTGGGTAATATATATACCTTTATATATACTATCTTTATGTATATAATAAATTAGATGCATCATTTTACATGATCACCTGCAAGATGTAAGGGTTCTGATTTTTCCCCATCATTATTAATTTTTTTTTAGTTATAGGTGACCTTGTGGGTGCCAAATGGTGACTCATGGTGTTTAGATCACCATTTCTCTGATGGCTTTTAATGCTGAGTATCTTTTCATTTGCGTATTGGCCATCTGAGTATCTTGTTTGGAGAAATGTCTATTTAAAACCTTTACCCATTTAAAAAATTTGAATCATCTATTTATTATTGAGTTGAAAAAGTTCTTTATATATTCTAGATACAAGTCCCTTCTCAGATATGTGATTTGCATATATTTTCTCCCATTCCTCTTTGATTGTCTTCTCACTTTATTAATGATGTCCTTCAAAATACAAACTTTTACATTTTGATGAAGTCTAATTTATATATATTTTTTCTTTGTTGTGGCTGTCGTTGCTTGTGCTTTTGCTGACATAGCTAAGAGACCCCTGTGTAATCCGTACTCATGAAGGTTTACATGTATGTTTTCTTCTAAGTTTTATACTTTAAACTCTTAGGTCTTTGATCTATTTCGAGTTAATTTTTATATATTCTATGAAGTAGGAGCCTTCCACTCTTTTGTGTGTAGATATCCACTTGTCCAAGGACCATCTCTTAAAAAGACTACTCTTTCTCTGTTTGCTTAATGTTTTAAGATATCAGAGCTCAAATACATTTCCTGCTTGCTAAATATGTCTATATATGTTTTTCATTTTCAGCATGTATGTTCCTTCTCCACTATCATTGTGTACTTCAGCAGAAATGTTGGGAAAAACTTGGTATAAAGAAAACAAACTTTAATAGATATGCTTCAACCAAGAAGGCTCTGGGATGTAGACTTTTCATTGAAAGGAGCCATTGAAGATAAACAGGAGAGGTTCATATTAAGCTAGAGGTCCAGGTTAGGTCGTGCATTCTCAGTGGGAGTGATATCACCCCCAAGCCGGTGAAAATTAATTCTTGGGAGCAATAAAAAGTCATTCTTTTTATGTGTAAAGCGCAGACATAGAGACAATACGTATAAGGATATAAAGAAAATCTGTGGTATTAAAATTTCAGGGGGGCAATTAGAAAACGCTCCTTGCAGGGATGATGATGAAAAAAAGATTGAGAAACAGTGAGGTGAAAGTCGCATTTCATCACAATTGCCTTAAAAATTCCTTCCTTAAGTGGCTCATTAATGAGTACATGGTTTTGATATATTGATATGTACTTGAACATTCAAGAACCACTGAAATAAAAGAAAGGAGAAAAGGAGAGTCCACATTCAACTCCCTGGGTTTTGAAGCCATTCCTAGCAGAGGCTTTCGAAGGACTTCTAAATGCTCTATATGCAGTGTTTGCTCTATTGTGCTTTTATATTAACTCTCTATTAACTCTCTTAATGTATTATTGTTAGTGTTATTAGGATTAAATAAGATAATAGAACCAGTAACTTATAGTGATAAAGTGCTGTGTGTACAGAAGAGGTTTTCAAGTCTTTTCTTAAGTTGAGTATTTCTAATGATAATTTTCCACTGTGATAATTTTTTCTTTTTAAGCTTTAGCTTTTCTAGCTACTGGTCCTTGTTATATGTAATATGAGCTGAACTATTGGTAGGAAGGCTTTATCAGTGAGTGCATGGCTAAATGTATTCAAAATCCTTTTATGACTTGAATCTGTCCATGGTTTTGACTTTGCTGCTTTATCATGTCTATACTTGAGAAGTATTATGTTTGCTCATCAGGCTACTCCTACATACAGAGTGGTCCTCAGAGAACATTTTCTTCTAGGATTTAAGTGATGAAAAGCAAGGCTGAATGGAGATTTTGGTGAAAGGCTTTCTCTTTGGATCCATCTCTAATATTTTTCTCCCCCACTTTGGGGAATTCACTGGAAGCTGATGCCACATACTTTGTTGATGGTACCCTTAGCTAACCACCTCAGGACATAACAAGTTTAATTTGAACAGATCAAATAGATTCAAAGGAAAAATATTTAAGATGATTGGTAAAATTCTCAACGTAAATCTAAAATCTTTTCATTTAAAAAAAAAAACACTCACTTTCTCCAGACCAGTTTCCTAGGAGACTGCCAATTATTCTAATGTGATAAGCTAGATTGCAAATGAAGAACTTGTTGAAAGATGCATTTAAGCTAAAGACTTTATTTCTTTAGTTTTAATTTTTTGATATCATTTATATACAGCAACACACATAAAATTTACATACACTGTGGATTACTGTAGAATACTGTCATCAAATCAATAAGTTTCTTCCACAGTTTTGCATTCCACCTCCTCTCTACCACCCCTGGCCTCAGGCATCCACTGATCTGCTTTGTGATGCTATAGATTAGGTTTGGCTTTTTAAGTATTTTGTATAAATGGAATCATGTAGCATGTATCTTTTTGTTCCTGGGGCCTTTTCTCCTTCTTGTTACTGCATGTGTCAACAGTTCATTCCTTTTCATTGCTGAGTAGTATTGTTGCATGATTATACTACAGTTTGTTAAGTCATCTGATAGTGGACATTTAGGTTGTGTCTACTTTATGGCTATTATGAAGAAAGCTATAATTTTTCATAGATGAGTCTATTGGAGAATATGTTTGCATTTTTCTTGGATGCATACCTACAAGTGGAATTACTGAGTCACATGCTATATTTAAAGTCAAATTTACAAGGAATTGCCAGTGGTATTCTAAAATGGTTATATCAGTTTTCACTCTACCATCAACATTTGGAAGTTCTTAATTGCTGCCAATCCTTGTCAACACTTGATATTGTCAGTCTTTTTATTTCAGCCATTCTATTTAGCTGTGTAGCAGTATCTCATTTGGGTTTTAATTTGCATTTCCCTAATGACTAATGATAAGCATTTTTTTCCTGTAATTATGTTTTCTTTTGTACGATGTCATTTTGGGTACTTTGCTCATTTTTAATTGGGTTGACTATCTTACTGAGATATTAGTTATTTTTTATTCTAGATATAAGTCGTTTATTAAGTATTTGCATTAAAAATATGTTCTTCTAGTCTGTGACTTGGCTTTTTATTTCCTAAACTGTGCCTTTCAAAGAACTAAAGTTCTTTGTTCTTCAAATCCAAGTCTTTTTTTTTTATCTTTTTTTCTTTGTACTTTATATGTACTAAGTCATATAAAGTACCTAACCACATAAAGAGTTTATTTGGTTAACTCTTTAGGTAAGAGATTCACAGCTGGGATTGTTTTGCCGTCAGGGAATTTCAGTCAGTTAGCTGAACAGGAAATGTTTATTTCAGCGTCTAGCAGTTTTAGGGGTAAAAAGAGTTCTAATCTTAGCTAATCAATCCTGAGCCACAGAGTGGGAAATTGGCTAGAGGTAAAAAGGGTTGGGTCTCTTTCTGGCCTTGTTACAGGTAAACAAAAGGGGTGGTCTGCACATTTTGTGAAAATTATGATAGAGTAAGAATAGTCATATCTAAGTCATTTGGGGAAGGGTAGTTCTCTTCAGCAGCCATTTCCCAGAACCAAAAAGGGTGGGGATGTTTTGCCTTTAATTTTCAAAAGGTTTGTAGGGGTGGTTGTTAACCATCACTTTTCTGCAAGCACAGGGCTCAGGTAAAGTTTGACATTGTCAGGGCCTATTTGTACTTAGATTCTTTAATTCTTTTTGTATGAATACACCATGCTACTGGTTCCCTCATTAAGAAATTCATTTTGATATGTTTGCTTTATATTTATCTAAAAGCAATGTTTGTAACTTTTTAAAAATTATACTTTGACATTCTTTGGATCTTCATAGATGCTGTAGGGGACAAAAGATTTTTCATCTGTCACTAGACTCATGACTGAGACACTATGACAAAAGACAGATTAACCGGAGAAAAACATACAACTTTATTTAACATAAGTTTTATGTGACACAGGATCATTCCAAAATGAAGACCCAAAGACATAGGGAAATGTACATGTTTTAATGTTCAGTTTGATAAAGTAGATGGTAGGGGAGAAATATTATAGGAGGATAAAAGGTTATGGTCTAATGGTAATAAACTGGGCTGACTTGGGAAGGCCTGTTTGTTCAGATTCTTCTGTGTCCCTTTGTCTTCAGAGAGACAGAGATGTTCCTTTTCTCCAGGTACAGTGAGAGAACCTCTGAAATGGGAGTCTTAATGATGTACTGCAGAGGTCAGAGAATTACTGTATAGTCTGCTTCAGAGGAGAAGGGCAGGAAGAAGGTCCAAGAGACCTTCTTGCTTCTGCTGTTTCCTCCAGTGCCAAAGTGGGGTGTCCTGAACGTCATCAGTAACGTACCTATTGGTCAGGAAGGCACGTTTACAAAGTCAAGCTTATCCATTAAATATTTCCTCAATTTAATTTACTATGAGGATAGTTTCTATGTTGAAGAGGATCTGACATCAGGCTGGTTTCTTTTTAGTATGTCTTGAAGTTTATTGTTTCTTGACTTGTGAAAATCAACAGGGTCTCTTACAAATAGACTCCCTTACCATAAACTCCTGAATTTTAGACAGTAAAATAAATGTATCAACAGGACTCATGAATGTGATAATTATAGTGTATTTTGATGATTCTAATACTCACCGTCTCTGAAATTAATACGTTCCTTGCGATTGGTACCATCTTAGGTAGGATGTAATATGATATATATGTCTTTTGTTTTTCTTTTCTCACCTGTCGTGGATATGTTACTGGGAAGGGTACCAATCCAGAGCCTAAGAAAGGGTTCTTGGACCTCATGCAAGGAAGAATTCAGAGTGAGTCCAAAGAGTAAAGTGAAATCAACTTTATTAGGAAAGTAAAGGGATAAGTACTTTTTTTATTCCAAAATACTTTTGTATTCCAAAAAGTAAAGTGAAAGCAAGTTTATTTGGAAAGCAGTTTGGGCTGCTCAACTGAAAATACTTATAATTATTTCTTGATTAGATGCTGAACAAGGGGTGGATTATTCATGACTTTCCCGGGAATGGGGTTGGCAATTCCCGGAGCTGAGGGTTGGGTTCCTCCTCTTTTTAGACCATATAGTGTAACTTCCAGACTTTGCCATGGCATTTGTAAACTGTCATGGCGCTGGTGGGAGTGTGTTTTAGCACACTGATGCATTGTAATTATCATATAATGAGCATTGAGGACAACCAGAGGTCACTTTTATCACCATCTTGGTTTCGATGGGTTTTGGCCAGCTTCTTTACGCATCTGCATCTTGTTTTATCAGGTGATTTGCACCTTGTGTCAACCTCCTATCTCGTCTGTGACTTAGAATGCCTAACCTCCTGGAAATACAGCCCAGTAGGTCTCAGCCTTATTTTACCCAGCCGCTATTCAAGATAGAGTTGCTCTGGTTCAAACACCTCTGACAGATACAAGAAAAAAATAGCATAATATATTTTATTAGAATTCATTAAGGTTATAGAGGCATTTATTTGCAAAAGCTTTGTGTTAAGTCTAAAGCCCCAACAATCACTTTTTCACTTCTGTGTTCTATTGTTTTGTTAAAAGTTTTCAAACTTCTAAACAATAGTGAATACGCCAAGTTTTAACGCTTACACCTGGCAGGAAGAAAAATAAGTTCTGTATTTTACACTTTGTTTCTCCTGACACTATTTTTTTCTTTTTTTTTTTTTTAAATTTAGTCAAGACAGAAGTTTCCTGCAGTGGCAGGAATCCAGTAACTGAGGCTTTTAAATATCTAGCTGTGTTACTCACTATTTTGCTGCAGTCATCATACTTAATTGGTACACCCTGAAGTGTGAACCAACCTCCTACACCCTCTACGGCCCTTAGAACTGGAAGGATGGTTTTGCTAGATCTTCCTTAAGAACACTAATATTTTTTTCTCTTCTAACTTGTAGTGGTTAGATGCACAGAATTCAGACCTGAGTGTTCACTGGCGTTTAAATATTGCCTTAAAGCAAATCCTTTCTGACCTTGTGGTTATTGAGACACTTGAGCCTGTGGTTGTATTCTACCCTATTCTCATTCATTTTCATGCTCTGGAAGGGGCCCAGTGGTACAGGGGTATCCATTGCTAGGTCCCAGCCTCTTGCTTTCCCTCCCTTGAATTATTTCCTTGTCATCCCATTGCCAGGGTGAAGTTCACACTCCCTGAGTTGGCATAGGAAATCTGACCCACTCTTTACTCTTTCTCCACCTCACTCTGGATTCCAATTTATATTGGATACCCTTTCTAGAAAACCCATGGTAACAGCACTTGGGGTGCATTATTGAAACATGATTTTGAGTTGGGCAGCCTAGCTACTTACTGTCTGCAAGTCCCTGGGCAAGTTAATTAACCTCTCTGAGGCTGTGTTGCTTTTTATGTTAAGTGGGGATAATAATAGTACTTAGCTCCTGGAGTTACTCTAAGGATTTAGCAAGGTGATGAATGTAAATTACTAAGCTTAGTTCCTGAATATTTTAAGATACTCCCTTAAAACAAATGTAAGCCATTATTATTTGCAGTTGCCATAACTTAAGGTCTTCCCATCCTGTCCTCAGAATGTTTTGATGTTTTGTAGCCTTCCGGCTTTGAAGGTCTCTCCACACCCACTACTCATCTTCTTCCTTTTCATCTTATCTGTGGTTTGGATTTCAAAGTTTTAATCAAGATTCCATAGCTTTCCCCTGAACAGATTGTATAGCCAGTACCCAGCCGCTCATCTGCTATGTCTGAGCAACATTTGTTGAAAGAAAGATTGAATGAAAACTAGTGTCTATTTCCAGTAGTTTTAGTTTTCAGATATTTTAAGGGTGATAGGAAAGGTCTCTGCCCACTTCTTCTATTTCTCTACCTCAGCAATTCCTGGCCTGCTGCAGAGATTCCTATGTAGTTTTGACGGCTATAACTTTGGTAGTCATTTTAAATGGGGACAGGTGAAAAAAATCTTTCGGAACCACATCAAGGTAGGTCTTTTTTTTTTTTTTAACTGAATAGGGTTCAGGACACATGACTTCAAAATATGGCATCTTGATATTTGAGAACATAGCAGAAGCAGGAAGATCTCTTTTACCTTCCCCTTCCCCTTCCCCTTCTCATAAGACCCTCATTCAAGAGGTACCCTCCACAGATCTGGAGAAAGGGAACATCCTTATCTCTGAAGATACAGGGACACAAAGAAGATTTAGCAAACAGGCCTTCCAAAGTCCCTCCCAGCTTATTACCATTAGATCATATTTTTTCATCCAATAATACTTTTTCATTACTATCCACTTTTCCATCAAACCAACATAGAAAAAGACACAGGCTTCCCTATTTTGAGGGTTTCATTTTCCTATGAAGGCTCCCATGTCACGTAAAATTCATTCAATAGATTTATATGCTTTTTCCTTGTTGATCTACCTTTTGTTATAGGTGCCTCAGCCATGAACTTAGTGGTGAGTGAGGAAAATATATTTTTCCCCTATACTACTATCACAATTTAATATTTTAAAGTAATAATCTTAGGAAGCACCATCTAAAATCATGGACTTTTCAAAGAAGGGATGCCATATGTCAAAGATATAATGCACTGGACAGTTAAGGAGGTGATTTTATTTAGGATACTGCTACAGGGAGAGCATTAATTATGGTAGAACATTTTGAAGAAGAGGAAGTGGGCCTGGAGTTTTAGAGAGGCCGCTAAACAAGGGAATCCTGAGGAACGATGGAGATGGGATCTTACAGAAAGGATTGAAGATTTCTTAATTCTGGTTTTCTGGGAGCACAGGGCTCAGGTAAAGTTGAACGTTGTCACAGAGTGTTTCATGGGATGTACAACACCACAGACTAGTCACCTGCCAGGAAGGGAAATTTTATTGTAATATTTGGAGGTGGCAATATTATTTTTCACAAAAGCCCCTGCTGATATATGATGGAGTGTGTACAAAATCTGCAGAGGTGTGTGTGTGTGTGTGTGTGTGTGTGTGTGTGTGTATTTAATTTCCAACTTTTAAGTTCAGGGTTACATGTGCAGGATTGCAGGTTTGTTACATAGGTAAACATGTGCCATGGTGGTTTTCTGCACAGATCAACCCATCACCCAGGTATTAAGCCCAGCATCCATTAGCTCTTCTTCCGGATATTCTCTCTCCTCCCCGTTGACCCTCCGACAGGCCTTAGTTTGTTTTGTTCCCGCCATGTGTCTATTTGTTCTCATAATTCAGCTCCCACTTACAGGTGAGAACATTTGGTATTCAGTTTTCTGTTCCTGAGTTAGTTTGCTAAGGATAGTGACCTCTAGTTTCATCCATGTCACTGCAAAGGACATGATCTCATTCCTTTTTAATCTGCATATATTTTTGAGCTAAAGCATGAGACATCAAAGAAATTTCTGCTTGTAGCAGTCTACTTTACCTCCACCTTCCTTGTCCTCCTCCTGCTCCCCTACTTCAGTGAAGCAAATGTTAATCCCTATGCCATGTTACTACTGTGAAATGTTTGAGAAGCATGGGTTAGGGCATCCACAGCAGCTATTATGTTGAACACTCTATGAAAAGCCACAATCCAGGGTGAAAGAGTAGCATCAGCAGAGGAAGAAAACTGGGAGAGTGAAATGTGTGGCACCCACGGAGTTTCTTTTATTGTCCATGCAGGATGTGAATGGACAAGCAGTGTAATATATGACTGACAGAGTAGATGATACTCTTAGTTTTGAATTCCAGGGTAACGTTTCTGGATTTAATTCATTTGGCAACTGGTGTCCATTGAAGGTTTTAGAGCAAGGATCTGTTAGGAGCTAAACATGTTAGAAGAACATTTTCAGCAATAGGTTAAGTCATAACTCTCAGACAGATACAGAAATGAACCTGTGTTAAAGATTTTATTTAATTCACAAGGGAAGCTGCAGATGATATAACTGGTTTAAAAGATAATCCAAACAACAGGCATGTTTATAAAACAGGAATATTGAAATGTGTGTGAAAATGGAGGCAAAGCTGTTTTCTTCCTCCAGGTGGCAGGAAGGAAGGAGGTCAAAGTAAACCTGTATCAAACAGGAAATAATTTGCATGTCTTAATATTTTGCATTACTATTAGTTACCTGTAATGTAACAGAGTTGTAAAATACCTTGAAGACACTGAACAGACCTAGACATTGCGTAGGTTCCACACATTTTTCTTTTTCTGAAGAACATGATGGGAGCTGAATATTAGTAAGATCATAGAGTGTGGAAATTTGTGTTGAAGAGAAAGAAACTAGAGATATTAAGGAGATTAGGAGACTATTGCACCTGACCAATCATACTGAAATGTATGATTAGAATTATGATGGTGCTGGGATGGCACAGAGGTGTGGATGCAAGGTACTAAACCAAGGTGGGATCTACCAAAGTTATCAATTGATTAGAAGTGGGAGATGAGAAAGGAGAGCCTGGTGGCTAGTGCTTGACTGGTATTTGGATTTGGCTTCTGCCTAGTTGTGTAACCTCAGGCAAGTTACCTGTCCTCTCTTAGCCTTAGTTAGCTCATCTACAAAATGGCGTAACCATAGGGTCTGTCTTCTGAATTAAGCAAGATAACATTTTGCCTCAGTCAGTTCCTGCTTCTATAACAAAATACCTTAGCCTGGGTGATTTAGAAACAACAAATATTTATTGCTTACAGTTCTGGATTCTAAGAAATCTTAAAAGGCTTGAGAAAAATGGGTAAATTTAGTGAGAGCAAGGAAATTTGGGGAGCTTGAGGTTGATGATAAGAGACATGGGAAGATGAGATATCCAATGCTGCAATGAAATTAAAGCATATGGAGGCCAGGAAGAGGCACCAGTTCTTAAACTTTGCTCATTTCAGTTACTAATGACTTTTAAGAGGCATAAATTGGGAATAGGCACGATGGGGAATTTAAGGGAGAGTCAAGAAGACAAATAAAATGAGAGCTAGCTGAGCCACTGGTAAGATCAATGGAGGTTACAGAGCTCAAGATCATCTCACATAGGTATAAAGGTGGGCCACATTAGAATTCATGCAGGTTTCCAGGTTTCACCATAATACCTTTTCAAAAATCAGGCTTGCAAGCCGACCCAGTTTACTAATTTCAAGTGTTTCACTTAGGGGCTGAGATCCCCCTCAAGGACAGGGCATGAAATAAGCCATAGCACTAACCATGAACACCAGTTTGTTGTTTGTTTTTTTTTGTTTTTGTTTTTTGAGATGGAGTCTCGCTCTGTTGCCCAGGCTGGAGTGCAGTGGCACAATCTCGGCTCACTGCAACCTCCACCTCCCAGGTCCATGAACACCAGTTATAGATATCCATCTAAGGCTGCAGACTAATGTCTCATGGTTCCTCCTGGAGGCCACTGACTGTTTTCTTTAGTCCTCATTTCTTTTTATTTTATCTTTTCTTTAAAAAAATATAAACTAGCCACCGAAATTTTTATTGGGACATTTCACATAGGAAAGTTAGATTTGGGGCGGCTTTTGGAAAATAAGTGATTCCAGCTACTCAGGGCCTTCATTCCATTCCTGAAAGCAGTTGGTGAGAAGTTGGGTTTGTCGCCCCGGGTGGTGCTTGCTCTGTCCGGCTGGCTGCAGTTCCCACTACTCCCTATTATCCTCAGAGCAAGTCTACTTTACTCGTTTTCAGTACCTGCCAGGCCCCTAAAGACATCTGTCTTTGCAACCCCTGTGCCATCCTGTGCAGTTATTGTCGAAGGTTTGGAGTTGTTTCTGCGTGGTTTGATGTTTAAACCCTGGAAAATCCCTTTACCCTAGGTAGAGAGTATTGAAATGTATTCCCGCATCTCATTATACTCATCTGAGGTGTGATAGAGTTGTTTACACCTCAGTGAGAAAAACAAACATGCCATATCTATTAAATGCATTAACTTTATAGAAAAGTTAGGTAGGAGGAGAATTCTCATGACACTTTATTCTTAACCTAAATCATAAGGAAAAGTTATTATAATTCTGCCATCTGTTCAAGTTTTTAAAGCCATTTTGGTAAACTTAATGCTAATGCAAAATACATGCCTTAGCACTAATTAACAAAAAAAATCTGTTTCATTCTTCTCAGATAATGAAAAAATATGTCAAGAACATGATTTCTTAAAGAATATCTAATTTATGGTGCTCGGGCCTTTAAACCATCCTTGTGATGTGCTTATGAGCACAACCATAAGAATAACAAAAAGTCACATCAAATATTCCCATTAGGAAAATCCCCAGACTACAAGCTTTAGACATTTACAATTGTAATTTAGATTCCTATTTCCACTTAAAGATTACTGTCCTTTCTGTCTCATATAAGGCTTTGGTATTGATTTTTGGGTAGGGGAGTGGATTGTAATGGAGGGCTGAAGAACATGGGAAGTAACTGTAAGGCCAGTATTGATTTAATGTCCAAGTCCAAATACCACATTACTCCTGTAGAAACCTAATTAATTGAAATATATGTGATTTGAGTATGTTATATTAAATATTGTTGGCCGATGACTTTTCAAACCCTTTTAGTTATATTTTGTTAGAGGAATAGAACAAATCCAGTTATATTATGTATTTTTTTGCTAATACTCTAGGTGTTTTAAACTTGCCTGATTTTCCTGCCACCACCTTCTTGTCTCTGCTGTGCGTTTGATATAGTATCTCTAATTTATATTGGGAAAAATCATTTTATTTGGTTACAAGCCCACTCACAAATCTTCAGCACTTCATTTCTTATTAGATAAAATATGGAGTTATTAGGGTCTTTGCTACCTGTTTTTCCGGTTGTAGTTCTCACTGTTCATTGCACTGGGAACTCTTCACTCCAGGGAAATGATTTCACTCAAGATACTGATTATACCTCACACAAGGGTTAGGTCTTGCTTTGGTCTGCAGGATGCCATGACTTTTATTCTTGTTTTCTTGAATACCCAAACCATTGTGCCCTAAGAAGCAATTGGGAAAATGATGATGATATTGCTGAGTGTGTGCCTATATGTGTGTCTGTGTGTGTAAAAGAGAGAAAGCAGATATGATAAAACCTTAACAGTTGAAGTAGGGTATTGCAGGTATTCATCGTACTAACTTGCAACCAATTGTAGGTTTGAGTTATTTTGAAATACAATGTTGTAAAGAAAAGAAATAGTTGAGATTAGATTAGTAACTCACAAGTAAGTGCTGGCCCATTTGAGGCTATATAACAATCAAATATATTTAATTCTTGGTAATATTCAGAAATTTCCTGTGCATTCTGGAGAAGGATACCACGTTTTGTCCTGGTGTTTTATTTCATTAGTTTTTCCAGTGCTGCTCCTTGAAGGAGGACATATTGGCTGATAAGAAGGTGGATTAGTTTTCAGAATGAAATTGTGACTTCCTTCCTTCCTTGTTTCCATAGTTAACAGTCATATATTAAGTATTGGACAGTGGGCTTTGTCTAGAGATCCAGAGAAGAACCTCAGGTAATCTCTGTCCTGGGAAGTCTACAGTATAGGAGAATACAAATGAGAAAATCATTGACTGCAAAACAGAGAGAAAGGTGTGATGGTTTTCTCTTATGTTTTTTCCATGCCATTTGCAATTTTGACTATCTATAGACATTTGATATTATATCCTTACTGGTACATTTTTGTAATTGTTGCCAACTGATCATCACACTGAATACAATGAGTGATATCATTTGTTTCATTTCACATCATCCCAAATTGCTGTTCAGCAGAGTTGTTCTTAATAACTAGAAACATGCCAGAATACTTTCCATCCATATATTTTCTCCTTTTTACAATGTCGATTCAGAATATCATGACAGATCTTCCTTTTCTGACATTAATTGGTGATATACTAATGATAGCCTTCATTGTAAGTAAAAATGTATTAATTATGAGCCTTTTTTGGCAGTAGGCATTTTGATTTGCTCACTGGAGTGTAGAATGGAAATAAAAACTTAAAAATATAAGTAGCAATGAATACTTCAGTGTTCTGTGCTCTTTCAATGGTGTACTACAGTAGAAACTCGATGAGGCCACAGTGTTTTTTATTTTATTATTTGTTTTTATTTTTTATTATTTATTCATTTATTTATTTTGAGATGGAGTCTCGCTCTGTCACCCAGGCTGGAGTGCAGTGGCGCTATCTCGGCTCACTGCAAGCTCTGCCTCCTGGGTTCACGGCATTCTCCTGCCTCAGCCTCCCGAGTAGCTGGAACTACAGGCACCCGCCACCACGCCCGGCTAATTTTTTTTTGTATTTTTTTTTAAGTTGAGAAGGGGTTTCGCCTTGTTAGCCAGGATGGTCTCGATCTTCTGACCTAGTGATCCACCGGCCTCGGCCTCCCAAAGTGCTGGGATTACAGGCATGAGCCACCGCGCCCAGCCCAGTCTTTTTTTATTATCTGTTTATTAAATAATCATTATTTGCTCTTTCCCATGTACAGTACTAGCTGCTGGAATAAAGGTGTCTACTACCATAATACCCTTTGAGCACACGTTTATTTCCTTCTATTTATTTATTTTTTTCTTTTCGAGGCAGAGTTTCACTGTCGCCCAGGCTAGAGTGCAGTAGCATGATCATGCCGCAGTGCAGCCTTGACCCCCCTATGCTCAAGTGATCCTCCCACCTAGCCTTTCTAGTAGCTGGGACTACAGGCAGTTGCCATTATGATCTGCTAATTTTTTAAATTTTTTAAATTTTTAAAATTTTTTTATAGAGACGGGGTTTCGCTATGTTGCCCAGGCTGGTCTTAAACTCCTGGGCTCAAGCAATTTTCCCGCTTTGGTTTCCCAAAGTTCTGGGATTACAGGTTCCTTTTGTTTGTTAATGTCCAATATAAAGCACTGTTTTTCTTTGTCTACTTGTGTAGACTTTATTTCCTCTCGTCTGATTCATCTTTGTGTTGCTTGCATCAAGTGTCTAACACAGAACCTTTAACAACAGAGCTGTTGCAAAAATATTTTTGAATTAATACATTAATATGCTTGCAATCATATTTTGTCATACAGCCAATGATTAAGTTAGGCATATATGGAAATACTTGGCACACATTCGGTACTCATGACATAAAATTTTTCCCCATTTATTCTAGTTGGTTCTCTTTGGAATGCGTTTTCCAGAGTTAGCTGGAATTTTGGCCATTCTGGAAGTGCATTGGAAGGTCTTCATAAACTGTGAAACACTATTACATGCCTCGTGTTATTATGGAATAGATAACAAAGAGGCTACATCTGTCTGACTGCTGTGTTTGTCATGTCTTGCACATAGTTAGTTCACAGCAGGGCTTTGACTTACAAGCAAGATTTCCATAGGTGGAAATGGGAGGGAAAAGAAAGGTATGCTGTGTAGAAGAAATGGCATGAGCAGTGGCCCACACGCTGGACAAGGATAAGATCAGTTGAAAGATTAACTAGAAGTGCCTGTACTGGGTCAAGGATGGTTTTAGATACACACACACAACATGCATGGAGTGTATCTTATTGTGAGTCAGAAACTGGCATAACTATTCCCAAAGATACTTTTCAACACTGGAAGTACAATTTTTAAATATAAACTTTGGAATTGGAAAGATGAGGTTTTCAAATTTTAGTTTTTTCACTTGAGCTGGATGATCACAGACCAGACAACTAACTGTAATTATTTTTCCCTCTTCTTTTGTGCAATTGAAGATGTTAGTACTTTTTTCTCAGGGTGGTTGGGTGCTTGCATAGAAAGCCATCACTGAACAGTGGTTGATAGTAATAGGTGTCATAATGTTCCTCACTCCCTATGTACTACTCCCTCCCCAGAGAGAGCCAAGGCATTCCATAAAATCAACATGATCTGTTACAGCTTCTTTTGGGACTATATGATACTCAAGTGCTATTGACCTAATACTTAAAAGCCTCTGGCTGTTTTTTATGGATATGGTATACTTTGTTGCCCAAGGTAAATGCAATTGGAATAGCTTAATCCAGTGAAAGCTCTTTCCCCTCGATTGCATAAAGCTCAAAAGGTATGTCTTCATAAAATCTGTATGGGGGAAGCATATGTGAAAACCCACAAGGAAGTAATAGAGTTTGTTTGCACATCTCCCAGGGCTACTTACAAACCACGTGGGTAAAGGATGCCCAGCAATCATAATGTCACCTCTTTCGTTTTTGATCACCCACTCAGACAATGAGTTTTTGGGATTATCTGTGTTTGGTGAGGGCAGTGGGAGTTTAAAAAATCTTGTTGAAGCAGCTTATTTAGAGATTGCTGTACACATCACAATCCATCACTTAGCAGGCAGCAAAACCAAGTCTCATTGTCGATTGAAAATCAGGTGGTCTTTTTTTTAATTCTTCTTCTAAAGGAAGGTACTTTGGAGTAGTGGGTAATTGCAAAGCCTGAAGAAGAAAATTGTCATAAAAATGAAAAGAAGAAGATTACTTAATTACAACAGGTTCCTCCAGAAATCTTCAAGATGAATGGGAAAATTTAGCAGAGCTCTTAAATGCCACTGTAATTCAGCCCCATGCCCTGGAAATTCTAAATTGTAATTGACCCTAATTATATCAATACCCGCTGGTGAGAAAAGACCTGTTTCTTAGGAAGCTTTACTGCTGCTGAACTTTGCTAACAAGTCACCCATGACTTCAACAGATGTTTTGTACTTTTCTGGCCGAGGGGGTCCTTAGGAACCAACTTTCCTCTCCATTTGGCAGCAAATGATGCAATAATGCTCTTGAATTGTCAGTATATGAGGTAAAAAATGTGCTCCTTTAGTCATTGCTCAGACTATTTTTATCTTGCCTGTTAGCATGTTAGGATAATTTCACTAGTAAGCAACTAAAAATGTGACCCATTCTAGCTTAAGCAGACAATAGAATTTATTGGCTAGGATAATTGGAAACTATCTTGCTCAGCTGTAGGTGCGACTTTATCTAGTGCATGTATGGCCTCTCTTCCTCTACCTTTCCTTCTCTTTTTTTTCTCTTTCCCCTTTTTTCTCTCTACGTTTTTCTCTGATATGGTTTGGTTATGTCCCTACCCAGATCTCACCTTGAATAGCAATAATCTCCATGTGTCAAGAGCAGGGACAGGTGGAGATAATTAAATCGTGGGGGCAGTTTCCCCATACTGTTCTTGTGGTAGTGAATAAGTCTCACAAGATCTGATGGTTTTATAAACAGGAGTTTCTCTGTACAGGCTCTCCTTCCTGCTGCCATGTAAGGTGTGACTTTGCTCTTGATTCACCTGGCATGCGTGTGAGGCCTCCTCAGCCATGTGGAACTGTGAGTCCACTAAATCTCTTTCCTTTATAAATTGCCCAGTCTTAGGTATGTCTTTATTAGCAGTGTGAGAACAGATTAATACACTCTCCCTCTTTTTCCTTCCCCCTTCTCCCGTGTGTGTGTGTGTGTGTGTGTGTGTGTGTGTCTTGGCTGTATTTCCTTGATATTGTGCCCAGTCTCCAGGAGACTCTCAGATCATGGTTCTAATGTCACTCCTGGCACTGGGCCTTTCTAATTTGTCCATTCATGTCTTGTAGGAAAATGGAAAGGCTCTTCTGATAACTGTTGAAAAAAAAATCCTTCATCCTTATTGGTCCAACTTTCATCTCTCACTCATCCCCTGAGCCAATCAAATGAACAGGGTGATGGGATTTTGCCAGTTGTCCTCACCAGAGCTGTGGCTTATCCTTATAGCCCAAGTGATGGAGTCAGCCTCCCTCAGAGCACATGGGTTTTGTGGAGGAGGAGAAGACGCTGTTTCCGAGAAAAGTGTAAATAGATACTCGGTGTGTCAAATGAGAACAGAATTTTGTCTTCCAGATTTTTTAGTAATAGTTCATTCCCCCAACTTTTGTTTATAAAAATTGTGAAACATACGGAAAGTTTCAAGAATAGAAAAACGAACACCTTGTGAGGAAGGCAAAAATTCTACCCCTGCCTTGTTAGAGTTTTTTGGCTGGGCCTGAGAATTAAACTGATGTAAAACAGTTTAACAGAAGAAAAGCATGCAAATATACTTAATAGAAGTTTTATGGAGCCCTCATTAGGAAATGAAGACATAAAGAAATGGCAAAACCTAGATGCTTTTATATTCGATTGACTGAAAAGATGCAATTGTGGAAAAGTAAGTGAACTCTGTAGGCAGGCTAAAGGAAGATAAGAATTATTTTCACATGGTATCTTTGTGCAGCATTCTCCAGGTCTCACCTTTTCATCCTTGATGATAAAAATGTGACTTTCCTTCTGGTATAAAGAGGACATCTTCTGTATTGGGGTTTTATCCCTGCATTCGGGAAGAAAAAGGGGTGAGTCACAGCGCCCTTCTAGCACCTGCTGTTTTTTAAGTGCCTTTAGCTCAAAATAATCCTTATGCTAAAGTGGCATATGTAGGGGTGGCATATTCTGCCACCCTTCAACCTGAATACTAACCATTTAGGTTGAACAATTGTTAATGTTTTTTGGCACCCTATCTTAAGTGGTAGGCTATATCATTTTTCTTACTCCCTCCTGACAAATTTCTCAGAGTTTCTTCAAATGAAGATTTTAAAAGTTCAGTACTTTAGAATTCAAATGGAAACGAAATGTCATTTCCATGGTGCTGTGTCCTTTACCTGCCTTCTCTCCTTTGTTCTCTTTCTGAATAAAGCCAAGAATCATTCCATTTTCCAACACGCTGTCTCATACACCCTGAAGGGGAAATATTATACAATTAAATGCAGGCTAGCATTCCTCTAGCAAGGTAAATGCTTCTTATTTCACAGATCCCCAGTTGATCTCTTAAATGTAATTCCCCAATGATATGAAAGTTCTGAATTGTTTATCACCTCAGATCAGGAATATTATTTCTGAAAACAAATTTGTTATCATCAGCAAATCAGCTTTTGAAGGTTTTTGTACCAAAGAATAAACCTAGGGAGTGGATTTTGAACTCTTAGGGGGAAGAACTAAAGTTACTTTGAGGACGTTTTACAGCTTTTTTATAACGAGGCAGCTTCAAATGCAGATGAAGAGCAATGCACTGAAGAATGACAATTTTTAGATATGGTTATAAGTCATTCCTCTAACCTGGTAAAATTCTACTCTGAAGTAACGAATTCCAAACCTTGCATATTCATTTTTGAAGGTGTCATGTTTTCTCCTCGAAGGCTCCATGTGCTTATCGATTTAAAAAATTACTTGTAGTTCCCTTTTACATTAAGTTGTAGTTAGTCATAACAAAAAGAGTTAACATTTCTTAAGTCTTTACTGTGTGCTAAGCCCTTCACTGAGCTCCTAACTGCATTCTTTCATTTAATTGTCACAACTCAGTGAAGTAGATATGTGAATTTCTCTCATTTTAGAGATGAGGAAACTGAGGCATAAGATGTTATGAAAATTGCCTAAAATCAAGCAAGTGGCAAGCTGTGGCACTTGGACATGAACTTACGTTACTATGAAATGCCATTGGTTCAATTCATAAAAATTTGCCTAAATGTGAGACTCATAAGTTGAGAGCCAGAGGCTGGGCGTATATGATTATTATGAACTTTAAGATAAGATTACTGCTGTTTTTGAGCAAGAATGCCAAATGTTTAATTTTGTAAACCCAAAACATTTAATGACAGAAAAGCTTTAAAAAATATGTATCTATGTATAAGTGGTTTTTAAGTTTCTTTTCTTCTTCTTCTTCATCTTCATCTTCATCTTCATCATCTTCTTCCTTCTTCTTTCTTTCTTCTTCTGTCTTCTATCTTCTTTCTTCTTTCTTCTTCTTTCTGATGCAAGGTCTTGTGATATTTGCCCAGGCTGGCCTTAAACTTCAGGGCACAAGTGATCCTCCTGCCTCAGATTCCCAAGTAGCTAGGATTACAGGTGCACACCACCATACCCAGCTCTGAGCACTTCTTAATAGCCTTACTTGGTAGAACAGTTTTAGGTTTATAGCAAAATTTAGCAGAAGGTACAGAGTCATCCCGAATACTCCCTCCCCTTCCACATATACTTATCAATATTCCCTATCAGAGTGTCACATTTGTTACAGTTGATGAGCTGACACATCATTGACACCCAAAGTCCATAGTTTCTATTAGGGTTCACTCTTAGTGATGTATGTTCGATGAGTTTGGACAAATAGTTACTTGCATGTAATCTACCATTAGAGTATCATACAGAATAGTTTCAATGCACTGAAAATCCTCTGTGTTCCACTTTTATAAGCCCTATATTGTCATTCTAACTTAAAATACGTAATCAGCTGTTTAGGAGAATCATTTTGAAAACCCAGTAAGAGAAACAGGAACATTTGGCAGGTCAAGAATTTGCTTCAACTGCAGCAGAGAGGATTGTAGACTGTGTGGAGAATGTCAATATGAAGAAGGTCAATAATTTGTAATTGGTAAATTCCAACCAAAGCTGAAGAGCAAACCATTTCACTTTAAATAGGAGTAAATATAATTCAGAAAAGCTGAATACAGAGCTTGAGCTCCACTCAAGCTCCACTCCAACTGGAGACAGTTACGCTCTCACCCTTAAAATTTGTTCTGCAGGTCGGATCTGTGTTTTTTGGCACCAGGCAGAGATGTGGCTAATACTCACCTTGTGCCTCTCAGCCACCTGTTCTTCCTAATTAAAGACTCCCATTTTCTGCTTTGCTGGCCTCATAATTTGCAAATAAAATCCACGGGACATTTGATACGAATGTTAAGAAACCTGTGAACTGTTTGTTTCTAGTTTGTAAAGTAAAAGAGAGACCCTTCCCCTTCCTTCCCCTTTTCTCTTCTGCCATTTTAATAGGACATTTTTCCCCTCCTGGAAATAAAAGAACACTGTTGAAATGATTTGGTTTTCCTCCTTCAAAGATAACTCTCTATATATATTTGCTGGAGGTAGACTTTTTATTTTAGTATAACTGTTCTAAAAAGAATTCATTTATTTGCCATTTATAATTTTGTTTTTCTCTACATTTCCATTTCTACCTCATTTGCCTGTATTACTGCAATGCCTCTTTACTGGTCTGCCTCATTCCATACTTCTGATCTATTTCCTAAAGCACAGCCAGGGTAAACAATATAAAAATAAGCATTTTTTAAGCAGAAAATTATGAAGGGAATTAAACAGTTTACTTTAACATAAGCATAGGCAAATTTAAGAAAATTTTTTTTATATCTTTTGATTTTACAATTATTCATTGTATAAAAATGAATTTATTCTGCATTTATTGTCCAATGGCTTGTTTTGGTTTTGTCACATAAAATGTACATACAGATAGTTTTTTTCCAGTTCTTGTTAATGCCCAGATAATTGTTCACTGTATGCTTACCATAGTTTCTGGATCAGTTGCCAATATTGATTTATATTTTTAAACATTTTCCTGATATTAAAAACATTTCTGCAATAAATATTTTTGTACATAAAGTTTTGCCCACTTGTGTAATTCCACTAGAATTGGAAGTTCTGGATCAAGGGCTGGGAATATCATATATATTGCTTGATTATCTTTACAAATGACTATATCATCCTCAACATCACTAGTTTCTTTTTTCAATTAACAAAAAGGTTTTTCCCCTAATATCGTAGGTGAAAATAATTTTGTAATGAAATTGTAATGTTCAGTTAGTCACTTGTTGGTAAGGTTGATTAACTTTATGAGCTTATTGGCCATTTTGTATTTCTCCATGATAGAAGGTAATTATGAGTGAGTACTTTGAATATTGAACCCTGAAGTTTAGAACTTTGAAGGGATCATCTGATTCTAAGAACATTTCTAGCCTCCTTATAAGTTGAGCTTATGCTATGGGCCCTCTGATAAAAGCTGTGTGCATTGATGGTTGACAATATGTATGTTAAAGGATTTTTTGCTACATCGAAATGCAAAATTATTAGCTACAAGGAAATTAAAAGTGGGCCAACATACAGATAATTTTAGATATAAAGTATGTTTCAGTACTGATTTATTGTGGTTATTTTCATTATATTCATTAAATGAAGCTCATGACTTCTTGAATTCATATCCATATTCTCTATCCTAGGGGATCTGACTGCTGATATAGGCTGTATTTCTGTCAACCATAGTGGATTAGTTGCAGTTTTTACCTTTTAATTAAACAGCTGCTGCCGCTAAACACAATTTTGAATTACTTAATAGTCCATATTACTTTAGTCAATGCACACTACCTGAATGTTTTAATTATATGAAGCTATACATTTTTTATGATACAGTTTTTCTAAAAATGCATTGACAGACAGTAATAATTTGTTCTTTTGAGATGTCAGGAATATCTTAGCATATTTTTAAATAATCATAACTAAAATTAAAAGCCACGCTGATCAAATGTAAGATCTTTTGCTTTAAAATATAAATGTGAAACATCTAGAATTTTAAATAAAAGTCCCATTCAAGATGTTTGTAGTCTCTGTCTCATAAACAAGCAACACGTGTGGTAAATACTGTTGAGCACAATTCAGAACACTCAAGATCCTAAAAATCAAACTTCTCATTGAGGCCCCAATTCAGAAATTCATTGCCTTACAATTTTGTGGCTTCTGTGGCAACAAAGTTTGTTTAGGCGGTGTCATTTGGAAGCAGAAATCAGTCAGTAAAAAAGCTATTTACTGTTAATCAACATGAAATCTTGTAAAGGCTCATGATTATCTTGTTACATTATTCTGAGTTATATTCAGAGGTATTCCTTAAATTTTTGGTTTTAATAAGTTTAAGTGACTAATTTACTACAGCTCTGAGAAATTATAGATCCTGGGAAATTATTTTTAGAAAGTGACAATTGTGTGACCTTTTATCCTTCTCTCTTTATTTAATGGAAATTCCATCCCTCCCCCCATACATTTATGTGTATATAGGTATGTGTGTATCCTATAGACAATTCCCTTTCCTTGACATTTATAGGGAAAATATGAAGTATAATAACTGAAGTATTGAACATTAGAATGAACAGTTGAAAATTTGTCAGATTATATTTTTAGGTTTATCACTACACCTAAACTGCCTGAGAATTGCTGTGATCAGAAAAGCCACTTTTAATATATATACTGGCTTGATGGGAACTGGTATCTTTAACCTCAGCCTTTGATTGAATTTCTCTAAGTGGTAGAAGTAAAGGAGAATGGTGTAAGACCTGTCTGAGTTTTTCAGCTATACAAACCATTTAACCGAGTGTACATGATGGTAACGTCAGGATTCCTGAAATAAATTATTTCTGTTCTCCCTGCTGACTCTTACAGAACATAATTTAGAGAGCACATCTGGTACTTTCTGTCTGTTCTGTGTTGACCTTTCATTGATTCTTTATCTCCTTTCCTGGCTTTAAAAAACAAAAAAGTTAAAGTTTATTTTAGAACTGGGTGGTGGGATAATATTATAAAACAATGTAAAGCATCACCTGCCACTGTCGTACAGATTATATCTTCAACGTTTAAGAAGGTGGTTATCATTCCTCACGGTTGTAGGTGTTACCCTGTTCAAGATAATAGTTTCTGCTGTTGAACTGGTGTCTATAGATTAAATAAGAGCCGTTGCCTCTATCTTCTAAAGGACTTCAGGGGCTTAAACCGTGGAGCTTAAAGCATGATGGAATTTGGTCAAAAGATGTAGCCATTTGTTGAGCTTAAAGTCAAGATTTTAAGCTCAGTCCCTAGAGTGTATGCAGGCACAGGTCAAGCTCTCCCCATCGCCTCTCCATGGCCAGTAGTTCTTGACAATACTAATTTGTCAGTAGTGTTACATTCTCTGAAGAAACCAATTGAGTGTGGTTTGTTGATGTTATTTGTTTCTTTGTTTGCCCCACTAGAATGTTAGCTTTATGAGTGTGGGGATCTTGTCCCTTTTGTTCAGTTGTTGAATTAATGACAACATAGCATTCATTGAGTGTTAACTCTTTTCCCATCTGTGAATACCACTTAACCAGATAGTTATCCAAGTGAGCAAAATGAAGCTGCTTAGAGGTAACCCTGTATTTCTGTTTAATCATAGACCACCCTCCCAAAGGCGAACAATCCATTTGCTTCATATTCAGTGTTAAATATGAGTGGCCCAAATCTAATTTTTTTTTTTTTTTTAGTTTTGGACTGAATATTGACATCACACTGATAAAATGAGAACGCTGATTCAAGGCCATTGTGGTTCACTTGAAAATGTGCCTATCAATTCAAGTAAAGACCTAGTGGCTTGGAGATTAGACTAACATCTACTTCTCCTGGTGTGTTAATATGCTGACAAAAAGCAAGGAGATGGAGAAGCTTGGGGAGATGTTCACATATGTGTATGTGTTTATATAAATATATATATATGAACATATGTGTTTGTATGAGGAAGAAGGACTGAAAGCAGTGCTGTCTAATAGAGTTTTCAGCCATTATGACCATCTTCTAACCAATAGAAAGAATGAAAGAGAGAAGAAGGGGCAAAAGCAGTCAACTTGAAATTAGAAGATGTGGTCTTTATTTCGGGGATCCCTGTGCTCAGCTAAAAATAAATAATATAGTTACTGATGGGAAGAGGTGAAGAGGTATTGGAGTTATCTAAGCAGTCAACTTTGCCTCAAGTACCTGCTCTCTGCAAGGCATTGTTCTAAGTGTTGAAGCTACAGATAGTAGTGAAGAAGGCAATATAATTTATCTCATGAAGATTATGTGGATTGGGGAGAAGCAAACATACATACACACGAATATAGAACATGCCTGGAAATAATATGTACTTTGCAGAAAAATAAGGACCCAAATGGGTTTTGTGAACATGTTAATGAAAAAAGGATGTAAGTATGTACTGAGAAACGGTTTGGGGTGAAATATATAGAGTTTGAAGCCAACATGAAATATTATAGGATTTTAAACAAATTTCCTCTGAAAATAAGCAAAATATCAATTTTATTTGAAATATACAGCTACAGATAAAAATCTATTTAATACCATGTGATGCTGTAAGATTGTTTTCATTAACATCCTCTTGTATACATTCTTATTCATACTGGAGAAGCTGGGAAGAAATAAAACGTGAAAGATAATACATATTTTTAGTTGTTACCAAATATTAATAATGGCCTAAATCAATGAAGTTTTAGTGTAATTACATACACACCCTGTTTTTATAATGATTGCATTGTGATTTTCATTTTCCTAACCAATAATTGTGATTAGTCATTTGATTGTTACCACAATTTTTCTCTACCTAGGAGCTAAAGAACATATTAAAATCCTTGGAAACTTAGATAAATTACTGTAATGAATTACAAAATTACTAGAGGTGATGATGATCAAGAGAATAATAAAGAGTAATTAGAGTAAGCTCCACTTCTTCCTCTTTTATAGCAGTCCCTTTGTCTTAGAGTAAAATTAAAAAACAGAAGCAAGATAAACTAACTCCTACTAGTCATGAATATAACTCATCTCTTCTCTCTTCATATGTAGGAATAGGCGGTACCTATCTGGGAATGGGTCCGCAGAAACAGTATATTTAACTCTCTCCAGGCAATTCCCTGACATTTCAGAACTGGTTTCTCTACCGTTTATCTCTCTTTGCCTCTATCCCCACCTGCAATCTGTTGCTTTTCTCTTTCTTTCAACCCTTACAAAAAAAGCAAAAAAACTACAGATTAATAGGAAGATAGTACCTTTACATAGAAATATTTTCTTGGCCCATTATAATAAATGCATGTAAATAAATATTTTTTTCATACTCATGAGCGTGCTTATTAATGGAAAATTAGGGGACAGTACTTAAAATTCCTAGAAAATTCAAGATTTTTAATATAAATTTGACTTAAAACATGGGGGAGAAGGAATGCTCTTTAGAATGGGTCTGTACATCCAATCTTATTTGATAAATTTTCTGGTGTTTCATTTGTGATCCTTGTTATGTTTCTTTGGCATCTAATAAAGAATGATAATTCCCTTGGTACTGTCTTAGGGAATTATGACAGAATTTAGGAAGAAGTTTCAGGGCAGTCTTTTAAGAAATGGAATCCACAGAGGAATAAATATGTCTTTAAACTTCTTCAGTGAAGTGATTCCCCATTCCACCCCCGTTTCCTAAAAACTGTTGCAAGTGCATCCCTAGCTTTAGTATTTAAAAGATACTCACTATGATAAGTTTGCATAAAGAAATATTTACTTTTAAATTCTTACAAATCTGTTTTTTTTAACAGGTCCCATTAAGTTCTGAAATAGTTTCCTTAATTCCTCCTGTGTGAGAAACCTGTGGCATGTTTTAATCACTTTAAACAATTTTTTTCCCTCCAGAAGAAATGATTTATTCCCTATTTCCTGGTTTATTTCAAAGCAGGTACAGCTCTTGGATCTGAGGGTTGCTAATAGGTTTTGAAGCTAACTGCAAAGCCATCAGCATTCTACTTCCTGCTATCTGCCAGCTGTTGAGGACTTTGTCTCCACAAACAAAGGAGTGCAGGTTGAACCCTCCTTTCCATCTCAATTATTGCAGAACAGGCTTCCCTCCCAAGTCCTCTGCATTTATCATCCCTCTTCCTTCTCTTTCTTTGTTCTATAGCATTTGAATTGTATAAAAACGAAATTATATTTGGACCAAGGCAAAGTGCTTTTTAATGAGACAGTTTATTTGTGCTTCCGTGATGTTTTTTCTCGTTATGTGTGAGCTCAAACAACAGAACACATTCCTATTGAAATTAAGGGTCATAATCCTGATATTGAAGTCTTCATTAGCTGCTTTGCATCCTCGGTAGCATATGTTGTAGTTTGATCTGCTCTGATGATGGAAATTTAAGGGTTTTGTTATCAGTTTATTTATTTTAAATTGCAAGCTGTAGCTTAATAGCTACATAACTGGCTCTTAATAGGTATCAGGAACAGAAATATAAATTTGAAGCAAAGCCTTTTTTTCCCCATTCTCTCCTACTAATGCTCTGATTTTCTATTAGAAGAATCAGAAAGCAGTCCAATGGCTTTTGTTGACTGGAACCCATTTTATAGTTTCCAGTAACTGTAGCTGTCTCTGTCCTGCTGTGGTAGGGAGATGCATATTGATATTGAAAACCTAACTTGGTGAACAAGGACAAATAATTATTATGCCATTTGCTTGTTTACATTGTATTATATAATTTTTACAGTTTTTTGTGTTGTTTTATTTAATCCTATGATAGCAGTCCTGTGAATTTGCTCTGTCATTTGCTAATATTCCTATTTTCCCTGTGAGAAACTGAGGCTTAGGGAGGCGAACTGACCAACTTGTGGTCATAAGGCCAATAATAGGGAGAGTAGAATAGAGAACCAAGGTCTCAACTTCTTAGATGCTGTATCTATAGATTTGACTTCCCTTCTTGGGTCTAAACTGAAATCCATTTATCTAAGTCTATTAGTAAGGTAGTCTTTGATTTTCTGAAGTATTTAGTCTTCTTATTCATTAAATGAGAATTGGGCAAGGATGAGCTTTGTGGATCATTTTACTTTAAATATAGTTAAATCTGTGTGTTTTTCCATGCTTTAGGGAAACTTTTGCTTGTTAGAAATCCAGTGGAGATCCTAGGAACTCTAAAGCCTCTTCACTTATTTTTCATGCCCAAAACAAAAAGATTCTGTTTTTTGTTTGCTTTTTGAGTTGTGGTCTGTTGCCTAGGCTGTAATGCAGTGCTATGACCATGGTTCACTGCAGCCTTGAGCTCCTGGGCATAAGCCACACTCCTGCCTTAGCCCCCTGAGTAGCTGGGACTACAGGTATGTGCCACCATGCCCAGCCAAGTTTTTTATTTTTTAAAAGACTGGGGTCCCCCTATGTTGCCCAGGGTGCTCTCAAATTCCTGGGCTCACCCAATCCTCCCACCTTAGCCTTCCAAATCAAGTTAGTGGGACTACAGACATGAGCCTCTCCTCCCAGCCAAAAAGATGCTTTCAAAAAGAAGTACATTCAACTACCAAATTTTCAGACCAAAGCAGAAACAAGTATATAGCTTCCCTCTTTTTCAGTCTTCCCATTTCAAAATGTAAATATATACAAAAGAAAAAATGAAGGGCAAAAACTCTGGAAGTAGGCTTTGCAAAAATATCTCTCAAGTTAATTTGACCTTTTGCTCACAAATACTCATGGCTGAAATGGCTGCAGTGTGCAACAGACCTGGGCTAAGTATATACATTCTTAGAAAAATGCCAGGGATGTTCCTAAATATTTTCTTCAATTATCTATGGAACTCCTTGGACCATGTTTTAGAAAATGATTTTAATTTTCTTTGCAGGATTATCATAATTGAAAAGGTCACAGGAATCAGCTCCATTCCTAATGCATTTGTACTTGCCAAAGCTCAGTCATGGGGAATCTTTTTGGTTTTCATATTCAATACTTTTCTTTTTGCTTTGTTGTATGATAAGGGAGAAAAACAGGGTTGGCATGAAGGGGAAGTGAATCAGGTGCCAACTTTTTTTGTTGTTCCTCAGCTCTGATCTTTGCTTTCCCTGAGCCTTGTCATCTGTCAGGGAAAGGAAGAGTGCAACTACACTAAGGGTTTGAAAAATGAATCGATCATTCTATACTTTCAGAAAACATATTCAGTAATCTTTAAAGTACCATTCTCATGTAGGCGATAGCTTCAAGGTTCCAGCATAACATATGCATAGTGAAATGTTTTAATCTTTTATTTTATGCTTTTCAGCATTTTAGAAAGCATCTTTTGTGTTCATTTTCCATGGTGCTGTGACTTTTTTTTTTTTTTTTTGCTTAGTACAGCTAGTTGAGTGGTATAAATTTCTTAAGATAATAAAACCATGGCTTTCTTTTATTTCATTCTTAGATAGGATAGTTTTAAAACATTTAATATTATTAAATATCGCTAAGATAGAGTAAGTACAGTAGCCATTCACCTATACTGTACATTAATACTTAAGGGCTTTATTATCTGACATTTCATGACTTGGTTTAGTTCTGGAAAAAACCTGAGGAACTCATTAAGAAAGGGAGGGAGTGTCCAATAAAGTTTGTATTTGTTGCTGATACACAAATTCTTTTTTTTTTTTTTTTTTGAGACGGAGTCTCGCTTGGTGCCAGGCTGGAGTGCAGTGGTACAATCTCGGCTCACTGCCACCTCCGCCTCCAAGGCTCAAGCGATTTTCCTGCCTCAGCCTCCCAAGTATCTGAGGTTACAGGCATGTACCACCATTCCTGGCTGATTTTTTTTATTATTATTATTTTTAGTAGAGATGGAGTTTCACCATGTTGGCCAGGCTACTCTCATACTCCTGACCTCAGGTGATCCACCCGCCTCGGCCTCCCAAAGTACTGGGATTATAGGCATAAGCCACCATGCCCGGCCCACAAATTCTTAATTTCTACCTGCCTCTAACCAGCTGCTTCTCCCAGAAAAATTCAGTATTTTCAAAGCCAGAGCTTTTCCTAAAATAATAGGTAGAGACATCTTCAGTTTTTATGTGGGTAGTTACATTAGGCACCAAGAAGCAATAACAGTGGAAAACTGCAAACCGAATGCAAGTATGGGGCAGTTTCTTAATTTGGGGTCAGTGGAGCGCTTTGTGGAATCAAGTACAATCTTGTGATCTTGGGTGGCCTGCCTCACTGTGGTCAAACATAAAACAGGAATAAAAGTTTCTATTTCACAGGATTCTAAGAGGATTAAACAAGATAGTTTATGTGAAGACACTCATCAAGGTCCCTGTCTTCTGATAATTAAACGTGAATTCAGTGTGGATCCCTGTTTATGTTACTGGGATGTAAGCTGAAAGGAGTTAGGTAGGAGGCTGTTAGCAGTCACTTGGTATATTTCACTTGAACCTGTTCCAGTCGCAACACACCATGGTAGGTGTAAATATGGGCATTTCTCAACTGGTTTAGGTCATGTAGGAAATAGGTGCTATCATCAGATTAACCAAAAAAAAAAAAAAAAAAATGGAAAAACAAAACCTGTTAATATTCACAATTTTTAAGGATATGGAGAAATAAACAGTTCCATACTCTGGGAAGCCAGTCTGTGCATACCCTTCAACCTAGTAATTCTATTTTTGAAAACTCTTGGTGCTTTTTCATAAAGAAATATGATCTAGGATTTGTAAGAGTGAAAATGGAGTATCAATATATTTTAGTCACCATGGGAATGATGAATAAATGTTGGTATATCCAAAGTGTGGAATGCTAGTACTTAAAGTGGATGAGGTATGTTCCTTATCTGGGACTATCTATCTCTGAGATACATGGTTAATTGAAGGGAGAAGTTTATAAAACCTTATGATTCTACATATGCATGAGACTCCTACCCAAACACAAAGCTTGTATATGTGCATATGTAGCTAAATGCATAGAAAAAGATCTGAAACTGATAATAAAGATTGCTTTTGGGGAGGAAAGTGGATTAAAAGGAGTGATAAGGGAGTTTTTATATTTTTCTATATGGTTTGAATTTTTTACAGTGAGAATATTTTCAAATATTACTGTATAAGTAAAAAAAAGGAAATAAAACACTCAATTGCCTTGCAAAACAAGACAATAGCATCTAATAGATGGATACATGAACATATCCATTCACAAAGAAAGGCAACTGGTCTCTAAAAAATATGTGAATATGAACTACTGCTTACAGATAAATAATTCATTAGAAAAACCCATTGTGCCACAGCACTTCAGTTTTCAGTGATGCTTACCTTGAAATTTTAACAGTGTTTAAGACTGAAAAGAGAATAGAAAAATTCTACTGGGGATAGAATGGAAGGGTAGTAGTGGGGATTTGAAGCAAACTGAGAGTTGAAGGGTGCTGTTGGCTTGCTTCATTCATCATTCCTTTATTTATTTGATTCTTTCATTCAACATTTTCTGAGGAGGAAGTCTCTGGGGACACAGACCCAAATGAGATGCTATCTTTGTCCTCAAGGGCCTCATCTAGTATGTGTGGCAAACACATAGAAAGTAAATTACTTTTTATTGTTACAATCAGAGGAATTAAAGCATGAACCCAGCAAGGTCAAACCACTTAGAACAATGGAATTGATTTGAAAATGAGGTACTAGTCATGGAAATGGAAGGCTTTCTGAAAGAAGTTGCATTCAACTTGGATGTTGAAAGATAGAGAAGATGCATTTGGGCAGACAGCAAACTCATGGGTCTTGAGGTGTGAGAACTACGTGCAGCAGAAGAGTATGTCTGAGGAATTAAAAGCAGACCCAGATAGCTAGAAGCAAAATACAAGAAGTCCTCTGGGTTTTTTAGCAAAAGGAGCTCTAGTCTAACAATACCCTATGAACCCTGGAGCCAATTGAACGCTCTAGTGATAAACTGACCTTTATTTTTTAAAATTCAAACACTGGGAGGATCTCCATTGTGAGTTTTTGCTTTTTGCTTCCATTTATTGAACCTTCCTGTGAGAACTAACCTGTTTATGAAACATACTACATCCTCTTTAATCAAAGCAAGCATGACAGCTTTCTTTCTGTTGTGATGTTTTTCAAGCTTCCCTTTATAAAATTGACATCACAGTGGACCACACTTGCCATTGAGATCATGTAACTGTAGACTGTCAATGATGTTGCTGTGTATGTTCACATTGAGGTTAAGTCTGAGTCTGTATACAATGTTTCCTTCTTGAGTTTCTCAAACGTCTGAGAAGGAAAACAATACTTAAAAGCATAGATATGGCCGGGCACGGTGGCTCACGCCTGTAATCCTAGCACTTTGGGGGCTGAGGCCAGCAGATCACGAGGTCAGGAGTTCGAGACCAGCCTGGCCATCACGGTGAAACCCTGCCTCTACTAAAAAATACAGAAATTAGCTGGGCTTGGTTATGGGTGCCTGTAATCCCAGCTACTCAGGAGGTTGAGGCAGAAGAATCATTTGAACCCAGGAGGCGGAGGTTGCAGTGAGCCGAGACCACGCCATTGCACTCGAGCCTGGGTGAGAGAGTGAGACTCTGTCTCAAAAAAAAAAAAAACAACAAACAAAAGCATAGATATTTAAAAATACATAGAATCTACTTAACAGAGAAGGATTTTGACCATGGTTGAAAGATGCAATATGCCATGTTTTAGTTGTTTTTGGGGAGAGGAAGATGGGAAAGGACCTTTGAAATGATGTTTGAGTTTGGATGTGATTTTTGAATCTCTCTCTTATTCCATGTAACGTTGAGAAGTTACACCTTGTTCGAAACTGCTCCTGATGCACTTGGGTCACCTACGTAGCCCCAGGATAAATTTGTACTTGGGAAAGTAGGTATATTAAAAGTAAAAATATTAACTAACTACAGTTATCCTCGAATGTGATACTAAACCATCATTATTAAACAACATCTCAAAGAAGGATTAAAGTCTACCAGTCAGTGTCCTATCACTAATACTTCTGTGTTTCTCCTGAGACACATAATGAAGCAAGCTCTGAAGGTGACATCCAAACAAAGGCTGGGGAATGTAAACTCAGTTTGGATCTTTGAGATTAAGAAGAGCTATCTCTTCTTCACAGCCCTATAGGTCAATGGGAAAATCTTCAAAATCAATTCTTTCAGCAGCCAGGAACATCTGAAAGGAAATCAAAACTTGCTTATTATGCTGACATGGTTTAACACCAGCTAAGACTTAGAAATGAATTTTAAAATCTAAGCTCTGGCAACAATACATTTAGCAAAATCTCCTGCTCGAGATATAGCAATCATAAACTGTCATATTCCTTACATATAAGCCAACAATGGTGTTATATATTCGGTATCAGAATAATGAAATAAAGACTATATGTGTATGTGCATGTATTGTGTATGGATATATTGAATGCAATTCAGAGAAAACTCACAGGTATTAATTATTCATTAATTGTGTTAATATGTGTAAGTAGTTATTCATTATGTTGACATATGTTTAATTCAAATGAAATCCGTTAGTGTTAACTATTCATTAATACTACAGATATATACATGTAAGGATAATTTCACTTTCCAAGGCATTAATTATTATTATTTTTTGTTGTCCCTGTGCTATGTACACAGCTTTAATTGTCTGGTCTGATTTAAAGGATTTGTGTAATGTGTCATCATTGGAATCCTACTTTTATGCTAGGCACTATCATAGGCACTGGAAGCATGCAAGTGAACTGGACAGACAAGGTCCCAATGATCTCAGAGCATGTATTCTAGTATGGGGAGTATATTGATAATAAGTGACTTGTCTGTTAATCTGTTCTCATGCTGCTAATAAAGATGTACCTGAGACGTAATTTGTAAAGGAAGGAGGTTTAATGGATTCACAGTTCCACGTGGTTGGGGAGGCCTCACACTCATGGCAGAAGATAAAGGAGCAAAGGCACATCTTACATGGCGGCAGGCAAGATGTAAGTACAGGGGGCATGTACAGGGGGACTCCCCTTCATAAAACCATCAGATCCTGTGGGACTTACTCACTATCACAAGAACAGCATGGGAAAGACCTGCCCCCATGATTCAATTACCTGCCACCGGGTCCCTCCCATGACACATGGGAATTATGGGAGCTACAATTCAAGATGAGTTTTGAGTGGGGACACAGCCAAACTATATCAGCTTATTTTTCAAAAGGACTTAAGAGAAAAGATGATTTCAAAAAGTGATAAGGATTATGAAGAAATAATGAAAGAAAATAGGTAGAGTGGTAAGGGTGCAGAGGGGTGGGCAGGAGGAGAGCGGGGAGGGAAGGTGCTTTAGGTAGCATGGTGGAGGAGGCCCTCTCTGAGGAGTTTGTTGGAGTGGACACCTGAAGGAGAAGGAGCCCAACACTGGGCACATCTGGCACATCTTGGGGAGGAGCCCTCTAAGGCTGAAAAGAGCCTGTCTGAAGGTCCTATGGTGGCAAAGGGCTGGAAGGCACGGGATGGCTGTTACAGCTGTTTGGCAGTTAATGGACAAAGCTGGGTACTGGATAAAATCATGGATTGCCAGGCATCAGTCAGATCATTAAATACCTTTTGAGCCATACAAGTTCTTAAGATTTTACTCTCTAAGTGCAGTCAGGAGTCATTGGGGATTTAATAGTTTTTTATTATAAAAATGTTATAAGATATGAAAATAGAAAAGTATAGTGACTCCCAATGTACCCATTGCCGAGTTTCAATAATTATCAGCTCATGGTCTATCTTATTTTACCTATCCCTTCTCTCCAGCTGCACCCCTTCCCAGTCACCACCACTGCACAGTGTTATTTGAAGGAGGCATGCTGTCATTTGTCACCATAGATCTCTAGAACATCAGAACTCTTTTAAAAACTATAGCCATAGTATCATTATCACTTCTAAAAGTTGACAGTATTTCCTTAGTGTCATCACATATCCAGTCTCATTTGGAGTTGTACGCAGGAGAGTGATATTACTACATTTGCAGCTTTAAAATGAGCTCTCTGTTGTATATGACATGGCTTTAGAGGGGCAGGAGTGGAAGCCAGGAGATCACTCAGGTCTCCTTGTCTGTGTTTAGCAAACAGAATGGTCAGAACAAGGGTGCTTATACTGGAGATGGAGATGGAGATAAGATTTTAGCTTTGGGATATGCCTGGAGGCAGAACTGACTTGCTGATCACTACTGAGTCTGGCCCAGGAAACCCAGCGAATGTGGGACGCTAATAATTGAGATGGAGAAGACTTGAGGAGGAAGTCTTGAGGGTTGGAAGGGAAAACTAAGGATTCCATTTAATTTCACCTCTGAAAATGGAAAATCCTTAAAATCAGCCTTCAATAGAAAAAGAGGAGACAAATGATAACATGCATCTGTACTTACCAAGACTTCCCTTCAGTCCTGCTCAATGATATATGTTAAGGGGGATAAGATAATGGAAGAAATTGCTCCTGTTCTTAAAAAATCTCCTAGGTTTACTTGAGATCTATTTAGATCCACTCAAGAGAAGCCTTTCACTGAGATTGCTTTTAAAGATGAGTAAATCTGAAAAGTCTGGCTGTCCAAAAACACCTCCATCACCCTACCATGTGTAGAGTGACCTTATTTTTCCCAACTTGAAATATGATGCAGGACTTGAAAAATGAGAGTGTTCTTACAGGGACAGTGTGCATGAACAAATGACATCAGGGCTGGCTTGAAAAATAATGTGGCACATACCATTTCTACTACAAGTTCCTATTCAAGAATGAACTGAAGAGCCTTGTCTTTGAGTTGGTGTGACATCTGTTATTGGCATGTATAAGTTAATGGATGATTGTTGCTCATGGTTATCTGCTCCAGAAAAATGCCCCCTTCCCTCCTTATTTTATGCTCCCTGTCTCCTGGAAGCCTCAGCCCTATGGTTAAGGCCTTCAGTTGATTAAATCAGGTCCACCCAGGATAATCTCCCTAACTTAAAGTCAAATGATTAGAGACTTGAATTACATCTGTAAAATCCTTTCACAGGAATACCTAGATTAGTATGTAACTGAATAAGTGGGAACTATAGCCTAGCCAATTTTACACATCAATGTGCTCATCTATTTAATAGGGATAATAATAATACTTTACTGATAAGCTTGTTTGGGGGAATTAAAGGAGTCAAGGCACGTAAAGCACTTGACACATAATATGTGCTCAATAAGGATTAGTTATTCTATAAGGCAGGAAAGCATTAAATGGCTGCCTTGTGGCGAAGATCTGTCAAAACTAGATGGTGTCTTGTTCAGTGATAAAAGCTAGACACAAAAGAGTGCCACATATGTAAGATGTGGAAACTGTCAAAGTTCACCAGTGGTGCTAGAAGTCAGGTTGTTGGTTACCCTTGAGGGTACCTGGAAGGCTGCGGCAGGTAGACTCTGAGGTGTTGGTAATACTGTATTTCTGGATCTGGGCGTTGGTTACATGAAAGTGTTCAGACTGTAAAATAATTAATTGAATTTATATGTATATGTGTGTCAGTTATACTTAAAAACTGAAGTACTGGATGATAGATACCAACTTCTATTGGATATGTGTGCGCTTCTGTGTATGTGTATGTGTACATATACACACATATATACACACATATATATCTGCAAAGAAGGAGAATAATATATCTGCAAAGAAGGAGAAAAATTTTTCCTCCCATTTCACAAATATGAGCATGGCTCAGAGGCAAGATGGCAGAGGAGCTTTATTGGCGTATTTGACCAAACCTCATAAGATTATTTTATTTCCGAGTTGTTGCCACTACCATGTCTGCTCACATTAGAATGGTTATTGAAATATTTTAAGGCCAGGAGTGGTGGCTCACGCCTGTAATCACTTTGGGAGGTCAAGGAGGGCAGATCACTTGAGGCCAAAAGTTCAAGACCAGCCTGGCCAACATGGCGAAACTTCGTATCTACTAAAAATACAAAAATTAGCCAGACGTGGTGGTTTATGGCTGTAATCCCAGCTACTTAGGAGGCTCAGGCAGGAGAATTGCTTGAACCCAGGATGGGGAGGTCATAGTCAGCCAAGATCATGCCACTGCAATCCATCCTGAGCAGACAGAGTGAGATTCAATCTCAAAAACACAAATAAACAAAAATAATACTATTTTGAGAATTCTTTGGACAAAAAGGCATTCTACTCATAAGGCTATTAACTCAGAGACCAGAGCAACTGAGTTTTCCCCAATGTCCTGAACTTTTCTTTTCAAGACCAGTGAATTGAATCCATTTCAAAACTGAGATGCAGTGAGCTTACATGTTCATTATCTGTTTGCCTATGCTATCTGCGATTTTTAAAAATAAGGAGTCTCGGAAAGTGATTTTTTTTCTGGAAAATCTTTACACCAGAGCAATATGATCAGATAATGTTATTTTTAAAGTGTAGATAAGAAATTATAATGTCATCTTACAACTTAGGTGAGCATTTATAGTAGTTCCAGGTATTCACTTGGATACCAAATCTCTTTTTAGGATATGAAATAAAATGTTGCATTTTCTCTTATTATTTGACTGTGAATGATGTGATTTTATATTTAGATTAGTGCTGTCCCTTAAAACTTTCTGCATTGAAAGACATGCTCTTTTATCTGGTCTGTTCATTATGGCAGCCAGTGGCCGCGTGTGGCTCTTGTGAACTAGAAATGTGGTGGTGTGAACTGAGGAACCAAAATTTTAACGTTATTCAATTTTAATATATTTAAATTTAGCTACATGTGGCTAGTGGCCACGGTATTGAACAACGAGATTTGAAATCTTAAGTAAAATATGGTATTTGGCATAGAGGTGAGTGGCCGATTACACTTAATTCTTGTTATCTTTTTTAGAGATAGGGTCTTGTGCTGTTGGCCAGGCTGGAGTGCAGTGGCACAATCATAGCTCACTGCAGCCTCAAAGTCTTGGGCTCAAGCTGTCCTCCTGCCACAGCCTCTTGAGAAGCTGGGATTATAGGCGTGCATCACCATGCCTGGCTAACTTTAAAAAAGTCCTTTTAGAGATATGGACTTGCTTTATTTCCCAGGCCAGTCTTCAATGCCTGGCCATGATCCTCTCACCTTGGCCTACCAAAGTGCTGGGATTATACGTAAGTGTGAGCCACAGCACTCAGTCTCTTAATTATTTTCTTAGAAACTCTCAAAAGTTCATCTACATAATGTTTTTTCTCAGCCCAGTTACTCTGGATTTTCCCTGATAGGAAAGTCCCCTTCTAAAGACAGAAGGTTCTGAATTATATGGTAAAAATATCTACTTTTATACTTTTACTGTGTACACCTGTTCCTTAATTTCCTTAATCCCTGGGCACTGTTGTTCTTCTCCCATCTTGGGTAATGGCTTGCTTTCTTTTCTTTCTTTCTTTTCTTTTCTTTTTCTTTTTTTTTTTTTCTTTTTGATGATGTCTCACTCACTTTGTTGCTCAGGCTGGAGTACAGTGGCAGGAGCTCAGCTCACTGCAACCTCCGCCTCCCTGGTTCAAGTGATTCTCCTGCCTCAGCCTCCCAAGTAGCTGGGATTGCAGATGCTCACCACCACACCTGGCTAATTTTTGTACTTTTGGTAGAGGCAGGGTTTCACCATGTTGCCCAGGCTGGTCTCAAACTCCTTGCCTCAAGTAATCTGCCCACCTTAGCCTCCCAAAGTACTGCGATTACAGGCATGAGCCACTGCAAGTGGCCAGGTAATGACTTTCTTGAGGGCACTGTCCCTGAGTTTCTGCAACATAGTAAGAAGTCAGTAAGCAGTTCGTACATATGCTGGGTTATTAATATGTGGGTCAGGAGGCAGTGGTGTGTCACTCAAGAGTGTGAGGTTCCATTCTGACATTTCTCGAATCTCACCTCTGCCACTTAGTGGCTCAGCAACTTCCTTGCCCTTTACTGATGTTTCTTCATCTCTAAAATCAGTAATGTTCTACGTATTTTATAGAACTATTGTGGGGATTACATAAGAATAGGAAAATTTATGGGATGCTCATGTAGGGAACCAGTCCCCTTCATTCTGCAGACAAAATGACTTAAGCTTAGAGACCAGGAGTGGCTCTTCTCAAATCAAAGAACTGGTTGGTATCTAATATTGTTTTATTCAAGGGTCTCGTAAGAATATTTTTAAAACACGCTATAAATTGGCCTTTGTACCTAAAAGTCGTAGCATTATTTAGTCCTCTAATTTCCTTGTGAGGTATTTGTCATTTCTCCCATTTTATACATGTAGAAACTTAGGCTTAGAAAAGCTGAGAAGCGGTAGGGCTGGGATTTGAACCTGGACAATCTCCATCCAGAGCCATGGATGTGTGTTTTATTTTTTTAAATTTTATCTTTTTAGTAGATATAATTCACATACCAAAAAAATTCACCTTTTAACAGTATGCAATTCAGTGGCTTTTTTAGTGTATTCCCAAGGTCATACAATCATAACTACTCCTGTCTATTAATAGTTCCAGAACATTTTCGTCTTCCCAAAAGAAAGCCCTGTGCTGGTTAAGAAGTCACCCTCATTCTCCTATGCTTAATGTCCCTGGCAACCACTAATTTTCTTTGCTCTGTGTCTGTGGATTTGTCTATTCTGGACATTTTACATAAATGGGATCATACAGTATGTCAGAGCCAGTGGTTTCATGCCTTACTTTATACTCCTTCCAATAATGAGATAAAGGTCTGCCGTACAGTGGGAGTTCAAAAATTAAAAGCTTGTATTATTGTTGTTGTTGCCATTATGAAGGACAGTCTGGAGTGATAGGGTCATCTGTTTTTATGTTTATTGTGAGGCAAGAGGCTTGGAGGAAAAAGTTAAGTGGTAGTAAAAGAAAAAGGAAACCTAATAGGTCTCCCTCTTGCAACTATCTCCAGCTCCCCTGCAGTTCTTAAAAAATGTCCAGTAATTGCTTTTTAAAATGGTTCACTTTTTGATAAAATCCATCAAGAAAAGGAAGCAGAAATGAAAAACAATAATTAACCCCAAATCAGCTCTGTATGAGTGTCAGTACAGCATTCCAGAAGTTCTTGGAGTTGGAAGCCATGTGGGGAATCAGTCACTTTCATTCTACAGATGAGATGACATAAGCTTAGAGACCGTAAATGGCTCTTCCCAAATCAGAGCACTGACTGATACCTAATACTTGTTTTTATCCAATGGCCTTGTAAAAATATTTTTAAACAGTGATCCATGATTTACCTAATTGGAGGTAAATGTGGTATAGATTAAATCAGTGTTCGTTGATTGTTCATTTCAGCCGTGTTCTTCCTTCTTCCAGGAAATCACTGAACAGAAGTAGGTGAAAAAAATACAGGTGTCACAAAATTTGAAGACAGCCCTCAAATTCCAAGGGAAATGTAAATAATGAAAACATAACACACTTGAATCAAGCTATTTAGCTGGCCAGATTCAGGAAGCTTTCATTTCTTCACTTCCTCTGACTTGGGTAATGAAAATATTTTCAGAGGTGGGATGGTGGTCCTTCGGGAATCCCACCTCACTTGTAGACAGAGTTAAGGTATTAGAGTTCTGAAATGCATGCCATAAAATCTAATAATGTATGAAACAGGCAAAGATGTTGATTTTATTAAGAATCTTGGTAAAAGTCATTTTCCAATGCAGTTCTGTGAAACTGGTGGGGAGAGTTTAGTGATTCCTTTGAATCACCGGTGGTCACAGCTCATTGCCCCAGCCCATTTTTCTAACAGGTGTTAGGTTATGTGGTTTAGGCCAGGAAGAAAGCTTACTTTGGCTTTGTTCCATTATACAAATGGGGAGAATTTTGATTTGCTGCATACCTCTGAGCCCTTGTAGATTTTCCCATCATCCTAACTGCTAGTTTATTGAGATTAAGTGCTTTCTTATGTCAGTGCATGGAAATGACTTTTGATTTTCCTTTAAATTAAATTTGATTCATTTACTACGTTAGGTAGATAGATGTTCTAGCCAGAGGAGAAGATAATGGCTCACATTCACATAGAGAAGTGGCGTGACAATAGAGACAAGATGGGATATCAGTGTCCACAGATAGATGCGTGCTCCAAAACCAGCACTTCTCAAGGCCATAGGGCTGTATGATTATTTGCTTCTCATTCTTATCCCTAGACACATCCATGTGACCCCATAAGTCCCCTTCCTGATTCTCCCTCCTTCCTCTATATCTAGTCTCGAGAGACAACCAACTGTTGTTTTCCCTCCATGCTTCCTTTCAGCCTGGACACGTTCCCAGTTTTTCATTTTTCCAAAGTGCTTTAATCCTGCAATCATTGTGTGCAGCAACAGTAAAGGCTTAGGGTAAAGGAGAGGGATTACAGAACATGTTAGTATAGTGCAGGCAGGCAGTGTTTTTTTTTTTTTTTTTTTTTTGAGACGGAGTTTCACTCTTGTTGCCCAGGCTGGAGTGCAATGGTGCGATCTCAGCTCACCGCAACCTCCGCCTCCCGGGTTCAAGCGGTTCTCCTGCCTCAGCCTCCCGAATAGCTGGGATTACAGGCATGCGCCACTATGCCTGGCTAATTTTGTATTTTTAGTAGAGACAGGGTTTCTCCCTGCTGGTCAGGCTGGTCTTGAACTCTCTACCTCAGGTGGGCTGCCTGCCTCAGCCTCCCAAAGTGCTGGGATTATAGGTGTGAGCCACTGCGCCCAGCCAACAGTGCTTTTTAATTGAACAGAAGACAGCTCTGTTGTACAAGTCCTCTGGTCCTTCTTCACCACTGGGACCTTCTTCCCCAAATGGATTCCCCTGAGACCATTTGTTAACATCTCCTCACCCTTTCTCTCCCTGTGGGGCTGTCCCATTGCTGCTCTGCTAAATAGCTTAGTCCCATGATTCGTATTATGTTTTATAAACAGAGCGCCCAGCCTCACTGGGTCCCTTCAGCACAGGCACCCACAGAAATGTTGAAATGACTGTTTTCCCTTTGGTATGGTCACATTCCTGGTCAGGACTTGGTCCTCTGCAGTTCTGTAGATCTGCTGAGGGAAGTGCAAAAGTGGAGAGAGAATGCTGTATTCTGTCTCAGCCCCAAATAAGCTGTCCTGAGGTCATCTATTTGCTCCCCTGTCCGTCTGTTATCTTCAGTTACAATGCAGTTTTGATGATCCCAAAGTCGCTGTTTTAAGAGGGCAAGTTTTGCATTAAATGCTTATTTACTGTTGCTCTGGTATTTAACAGAACAGCCTGTTGAGAAGTAAGCGTCTACTCAAATCTCCCTTCTGATTTTAAACTTCAGCCATCAGGAGCCACACAACCTACTCACACCATTCTGCGTGCAGACTGTCTTGTATCTGCCCTGTCTTTTCCCTCTTCCTGGGAGGTTCTCTCAACTCTCTCCCATCCCTAATACCCAGACATTTATACCTAGATAATACCTCCTAGTCCTTTAGCCCTGTTTCTAAACTTTCTCCTGTTCTCCAGGTACAGATACTCTGTCTTCTTTCCTCCAGCACTTGGTGTATCATTGATCTCACAACTCTCAAATTTTCTGTTCCATTGGCAGGACAGTAAGAGTTTGCCTGCAAAATGAGGATATCAAAAGAATATTGAGTTCAGTTGGTCAGCATGTAGTTAACCACGTCACTGGATAAAGTATCTAATCAGGTATCTAGGGATACAAAGATGAGTGGAGACTCAGGCCTGCCACAGAGGCATGGCATATATGGTCTGTGAACTATTAAAGTTGGCATGTGATAATTTCTGTAAGAGAGACGAACACAAAATGCTATGAAGGACTTAGTAATGACGAAATTCTACCTAGCTTGGGGGGAAGACTTCTTAGCAAGCATTACTCCAGTACTGATTTAAAATCGGAAAATCCTGGCTGGGCGTGGTGGCTCATTCCTGTAATCCCAGCACTTTGGGAGGCCTAGGCAAACAGATCCCTTGAGGTCAGGAGTTCGAGACCAGTCTGGCCAAAATGGTGAAACCCCGTCTCTACTAAAAATACAAAAATTAGCCAGGCATGGTGGTGCATGCCTGTAATCCCAGCTATTCAAGAGGCTGAGGCAAGAGAATTGCTTGAACCTGGGAGCCGGAGTTTTCAGCCAAGACCACACACTGCACTCCAGCTTGGGTGACAGAGCAAGACCCTGTCAAATAAAATAAAATAAAATAAAATAAAATAAAATAAAATAAAAATCCTGGTGAGAGATAAAAAGGAGAATAAGGCACATCCCTGCCCTCATGGAGATTATGGTTTGGGTGGACATATAATTTGTTGTCCAAAAGAGGATGCTTTAGAGAGGGATAATCAGTACGTCAGGCAGCTCCGGTGAACTGGGCCTTCATGGGTACCCTCATGGATGGCTTAGGAGGGATATGAGCATAAGGAGAAACTTTGTGAGGGGAACATTTCGAAGATTCCTTGAAGAACAAGTGAAAGACATACAGGAGCAGATTATATGTCTTGAAAGGAAGCATCTCCCTTCTTGAATTCTTTTCACAACTCAAGTTAATTATCTTCTGTTTCTCTTTTACTGTAAAAATCTATCTACTGCCTTTTATTTGCCATCATTTTGCATCAGGATCAGGTTGGGACAGTTTTCACAAGAGGGATAGTGGGTAGTGGGTCTTTAGAGTACGGACTCTGGAACCAGGAAGAATGGATTCTCCTCTGTGAACCTCAGTGCTGTCTTCTGGAAGATAGCGGAAGGGGGATAAAATCGGTACTCCTCCACAGGGAGGTTTGCTCGTTTTTGTTTGTTTTTTACGAAATAAATTTGTTGAGAGGCTTTGGTGTGGAGACTGATAGGAACTCAATAAAAGTTTGCTATTATTGTTAATGTTTAAGTTATATATAGTTCACACTATATGGAGGGGAGGAGGAAACATACAAGTTTGTTTCAAAGCTACTAGAGTTCAGTTGCTTTAACCTGAGGATCAAGCACCACGACCAAGAATTGAGAGAGAACAGGACGCAGCACGGGCACAGAATTAACTTGACTCCGCTTTGAGAATGAGGAGATGAGACTTGTGGGCCAGAACCAAGTCAGCCATGGAGTGACTGTGACCATTGTGCTAAGGGTTACTGAAGGGGAGAAAAACCCAGGGTCCTATTGTAGGTGGTGAAATCCAAAGGTTCAGAGAATAACCAGTGGTGCTAAGAAAGCAATTAGCACCTGTATGTAGGAATGAAGACTTGGCAGGGGGCTTTGGAAGAAGCCCATGGCAGCCTATAATTATGAAAATAAAAGTCTAATGGTATAAAAACTAGCAACACTTAAAAATCACTGAGTAATGAAAAGAAGGCTCAGCTTGTTTTCAGTAGGGTTTCTCAACAAGCTTGTTACTTGGGAATATTGAAGGGAAGGTGGGTGTGTGCAGTTTTTAGATTAGTAAATAAAATAAGTAAATAAAAGCTCTCGGATTACCACCTTAGGAAAGAAGTATATTGTAAAACAAAGCATGGATCGCTTACGTGTTGCAAAGATGATGTATGATTCAGCGGTTCCAAGAATGGATCTGGTGCCCAGATGGACCTGAATTTGAACACGACTTCTGCCTTTTGCTAGCTATGTGACCTTGTCCTATTGACTTAAGCTCCCTGTACCTGGGTCCTCCCCTGCAAAATACATTATATGAATACCTCCTCAAAGGGGTATTGTAATAAATAAAGCACAGAGCATGACACCACTGAGTGCCTAGTAAAAGTTAGGAGCCCTCCAGGGACTCTGCAATGTCATTCTGCCTGAGGGGAGCCTCTATCCCTGGAAGAAAGTCTTCCTTCATCTCTGATCCAGTTTTCCCAAATGTTGGAGGAGACTATTGTAGATGGAAAAATACGTGTAAATGCATACGTATGGGTATGTGTTTTAATAGTCAAGGAGTAATTGTAATGTAATTCAGGAAAAACTAGTCCTAGCAAACTCTTTATCCTAAAGTTATTACTGTTAGGCTGGTGCAAAAGTAATTGAGGTTTTTGCCATTACTTTTTGTTTTTGAGATGGAGTCTCGCTCTTTCACCCAGGCTGGAGTGCAGTGGTACGATCTTGTCTCACTGCAACCTCTGCCTCCCGAGTTCAAGCAGTTCTCCTGCCTCAGCCTCCTGAGTAGCTGGGATTACAGGCGTGTGCCACCACACCATAGCAGGTCCTATTTTCTTGTCCTCCTTTAGTCAAACCATCAGCATAGTGTCTGCTACTGAAGTTATATTTAAAGGTGGTAGGAAATGTTATTTAAAATAATATTTTAACCCAGCTAATTTTTGTATTTTTAGTAGAGACGGGGTTTCATCATGTTGGCCAGGCTGGTCTCGAACTCCTGACCTCGTGATCCACCCGCCTCAACCTCCGAAAGTGCTGGGATTACAGGCGTGAGCCACCCTGCCTGGCCTTTGCCATTACTTTTAATGGCAAGAACCACAATTAATTTTGCACCAACCTAATGCTTAGTGTGAGGCTATTGTAAAAAGGTGAAAAGAGCATTGAGTGAAAGTTGGTACCTGTAATACACAGAAGTGGCAGAAACCATACCAGAGAGCAGGTGAATGACTGAAGTTGAAGAACAGGGAGGGGAGGGTAGAAGAATATAATTTCTTCTCGAGAGCTTATACTTTTTCTGCCCTAGTAAGAGGGACTAGGACTTGAATCCTGGCTCAGAATGAATGAATGAATGAATGAATGAATGCATGAATAAATAAATAAGAGAGAATGATTTCCTGTGTTGTTAGATGGAATTTCAAAGAGTTGATTTGAATACATTCCCAAGTTGAGCTCCCTTGATTGTCTCCTGGATGGAAATGCTTAACTAGCAGGTTCGTTTGTCCATGCCCAATAATTTTTGAGCACTTACTGCCTACCAGTATCTGTTCCACGTACTGGGGAGGTGATAATAGGAAAGATAGATAAGGCCGTGCTCCTAATGGAATGCGAATTTCTGTGTGTGTGCATACCCACATTTATATAGGGATAGTTGATAAGAAATCATGCTGAAAAAACAACTAATTTCACTCTACTAGGCCTAATTAAAAAAAAAATTAAATAGGACAGCGATAGAGAATTGGGAAAAAATGGTTGCTACAGATAGGATAGTCTCTGAGGAGATCAATTTTAGGCAGAATTCTGAAGAAGGAGAAGGAGCCAGTCATTAAAAGATCTATGGGAAGGGTATTCCAGGCTGAGGGTCCATGAAATGCTAAAAGTGTGGAATGACTGGAATGACTATGAGCTGGGATTACAGGTGTGCGCCGTGTTTCAGGTTTAGTAATGAGAATGGTACAAACAGAAGTTGCAGAGATAAGTAGGCAGCCACCGCATGAAGGAGCCTTGTGGGAAATGACCAGAAGTTTGCATTTTATTCTTAGTACATATTGAAGCCACTGGAGTACTTTTAGCTGAAGAGTAATGTGATACGATCTGATATTTTCACAGATGTCTATAGTTGCTGACTGGAGAATGGGCTGTAGGAGGATGGATAGAGGCAGGCATCTCTGTTAAGGGAACCCTTGTAGTAGCTTAAGCAGGTGGTACTGGGGAGACACTGGCCTTCCTGTTGTACTGAACTGCTGTTCTCCTGGTGAAGTTGTCTACTATTATGAGTTGTTCTGCTTGTCTAAAACAAAAGGAAAAAAACGTTCTGAAAACAGAACTATCTGTTGATTATAACATATGCCATGTTAGTTGATGAAAAAGGAAGAAAACTAGACATAGCAGTTACTCAGAACTACTTTTAGGAGATATTTTGCTTTCCATTTAGCATTTGGGACCAGCTGAATACACAGTTACATGATTCTTGTGAGCTGTAGGGCACATTAAGAATAATGAGACTAGCTAAATGCTTTAGGCATTATAAAGCCATCATATACCAAATGTGTTATTGTTAATTCATGTTGCTAGCCCACCCTTTTAATAGCCGCCAGGAGCCATAATGACACATGCTGTGAATATATATTAAAACAATCCCCACACGTTGCTCTAGTGTATTGGGTAATTAGATATTTCTCTGTATGCAGAAAGGCTTGGATGCAGCTAGATGGAAATGGCATCGACTGTGGCTTTTCTTTTCTAATACTGCTGTGAAGAAATGAATGTCGGCTCTAAATGTATAATCTGTGCTTCCTCAGTCTGTGATCCATCCTGGAAAACAAGATTTTTGGTGCCATGATCCCTGAATTTTTGTTGCCACCATGCATGAATTTGAGCAGGTCCTATTTTCTTGTCCTCCTTTAGCCAAACCATCAACACAGTGTCTGCTACTGAAGTTATATTTAAAGGTGGTAGGAAATGTTATTTAAAATAAAATTTGTGCTTAATTTTTTCTGCTGAATATTAAAAAATACTGTATACCATAATAAATAATTTGAATTCATCTTAGAAATTATATAAATCATTTAAAATAAAAGTTGAAACATAGTATGAATGCTATTATGAATGCTATTATGTCAGTTGATTTATTTTTTTTAATAATTAATATCTCTTGGGCATTATTTCCATAATTTGAGGAATATAACTTTAATAATAACCCTTTGGGCTTGCCTAAATTTAACTTAGGTGGGGACAGGCAGGCCTTGAAAATGAGTGAAGGGAGGTAGATAGGAAATATATTCAGGCCAGAGCATTTATACCCAGTTTTATCAGGTCTGATTTTTGACACCTGAATTTTTACATAAAATGTTCCCAAAACCAAACATTTTTAAGTTACATTTCTAAATTATTCAGGCCCATTTAGGACTAGAGGCCTCCACTTTGTCTCTGATATGGATCTACCTTATTATTGTTTTTCATCTAATTACCTATTGATAGAAATTTAGATCTAAAATTCATGTTTAGCCTCTATCCTGACTTGTAATTCTTTGCCACTTTCTTGCCAAAATAAGCTTTTGTATCAGGGGGACTGATGTCCATGAGCCACTCCAAAGGATTTTCCTCGGCTGCAAGTACAGAGAAACAAAAATATGAGCAGTAATTGCAAGTTGACTGAAATATTTACAACTCACGTAAGGCAGATCCAGGTTGAGTAGCGTCTGAATCTTATGCAATTTTTATCCTCTTTAGGATAAAGCCTACACAATTATAACCACACATTTAGATACAAGATCTTAGAAGGGGTGTTAGCCTAAGAAGCCCTAAAGCTTTTACTTCATTAGCTTCTGGGTGAGGACAAGAAGAAATGGAGTGAGGAGAACAAAGCTTTGAGGAGAAACAGATAGTTTATTTTCCCAAGATTAATGAAGGGGGACAGGGAAGTATCACTGACATCATTAACATTTCAACAAAAGTAAACATATTCTGTCAGATGAACTTACAGCCCTCTGTCTGTTTAATTATATATTTTAAATTGATGTTTCTCTAAAATTCTGACTATGTTCAAAGTTCGTTACTCAATAATAAGTTTACATTTTAATCAGGAGGATGTCAGACCCAATAACTCAATTCATTTTGAGAATACAAACTACCTTTTGTTTAACATAAATATGTTGACTTTGGGTAGAATTTTCTCAGTTACTGGAGACTCCCAACTTTTATTATTTATAATACTTGTTACACAGATGAAATAGATATTGAACAAAGTATAGGGCTATTACAAAGCAAAGATTTCACAGCATTAGCTTTCCAAGAGTCCAGTGGCCTAGGAACGTTAGTATTTCATGTTGAATGTCCACAGAAGGATTACGAGGGGCAGAAACCCAGAATTTGCCAGAAAAATCTTCAGGAGCAATGAAAACCCAAAATAAGCAAAGCCAGATGCAGTAGGAAATTAGATAATTTGTGAACAAAATGAGAGTAATGTGGGTAGATAGACCCTGGGTAAATAAACAATATTAACTTCTAAATTATTTGATTCAGCCTTGGTTAAAATGGTAGTAAAATTCAGTGATTTCCAGTTTCACCAGTGCTTCATGAGAGCCTTTGAAGAAGTTCTAGGAAAGAATATTGGAAGAATACAAAGCATTGACTGGGTGGCCCTTACCTTTGTTTAGAAGCAGGATAAGAAAGGTTAATTTATATATGTATGTATATATGTATGTATGTATGTATGTATGTAGGCAGTATAGAGTTAAGAGCTCAGACCCTGGATTCAAACCTCATTTATGTCACTTACTTAGCTGTCAGATGCAGGGTAAGTTACATATCCTTGGGCTAATAATAATAGTAACTAAGGCTGATTTCTAAGCTCTTAGAAAAGTACCATATATGGGTTTGTTGATATCACAGTCATCATGACTGTAATTAGTATTGAGCACATATTCACCATCTTGTCATTGCAAAATTGTTAGTCTTCTGTTAAGAACTTTTCTGTAAGATCGAAAGGTTTGTTTTAATTATGATTTTCAAGAATCTTTGCCTTGAAAGTTTAAAGGCCATATGTGTTTGTTATTAAAGATAACATTTGTTAGAATGCTTTCAAAGAAAAAATTGTTCATTTAAAGCTGTAAACTATGTTTGTCATGGCAAGTTGAACTTTCTTATCAACTGTTTTATAATTGACACATTGCTTATGACCTAGCTGTACAATCCTGTTATAATTCTCTTAGCAGTATATAAGAATTAAGCATTTTCTTTCTAAGGTAGCAACATTACTTGAAAGCTTTGTTTCCTACATAAAATATATTTAACTACAATTTTAAGTATTCCTAAAGGATTTAAAATGTAGTATCTCATTCTTTCACAAGCCATAGTTTAATTTCTTATTCAGTGGTTCTTAAACTTTTCGATCTCAGAATCCCTTTATACTCCTAAAAAAGATTGACGACCGAAAGAAGTTTTGTTTATGTTGTTAAATCTATTGATATTTGCCATATTAGAAATTAAAATTTTTTTAAAATAATACTTTAAAACAATAATAAACATTTTGCACATTAAGATAACATTTTTAAACAAGAATTAACAATTTTTCAAAACCAAAAATTGAGAATGGCATTGCTTTATAGTTTTGCAAATCTCTTTAATGTCTGACTTAATATGTTAATTAAATACAGTTGTTAAAAGTGCTGCTAAGAAAAATTCCATGATCCCATGAGAGATATAAAAGGATACATAACATATTGCAGTTGATTGCAGAGTAATTCCTTGAGGAAGTGACATATAAATTGAGATCTGAACCATGGGCAGGAGGGAGCCAGGCAAAGAGAAAAGTGCTAAAGCAGACCTTAGGAATGGGAGAAATTTGATGCATTTGGATAATGGAGGGAAGGCCAGTGTGGTTTGAATATGTTGAGTGAGGGGAAGACAGGCTCCTGATGAAGCCAGAGAGAAGCTGGGACCAGAGTTATGCAAAGCTTTAGGGTCCATGTGGACTAGCGTAGGTTTTATTCTACAAGGAAGGGGGACCACTGATTGGATTTAGAAAGGGGGTGTTAGGGTGATATGACCCAATTTGCACTTCAATAAAATATCACTGGCTGCTTATGGAGAATAGACTGAAGTAGTGGGAGAATGGATATAGGAAAACAGTTTAAGAAACCAGTGTAGCAGAATATGCAAGAGATGATACATATTTAGGAAGCAGCACAAAGTGGAACTGGTGATTGATGGGATATGGGCGATGAGCTCAAGGAAAGTGACTCATGTTTTGTCTTTTCTTCGACTCATCTGTCTTCATCTAACACACATGTTTTTGTTCTTAAATCTAGTAAAAAAACATCAAATTAGGCCATGAAGCAGAAATCCTATGTTTGAGCTATGGGCTTGGATTTGTTGTCATTACCTGAGTAGAAATTTAGGAAGCTTGTAATTGTGTATTCTTTCAGAATCATCGCATTTTAACATTCTGTATCATTTTACAGATGTCACAAAATTGGACTTTTAAAAGAAAATTATTCAACATGCTAATGCTTTAATATAGCCATTACTTGAACTAGTATTTGTGTAGCTGGTGAAACTATCACACTTCTCCTCCTTTTGCTCATTTTTATATTCTCGGAGCTGGGTAGTTGGATAAAATGGAATCTGTCCATCATAACAGTAGCCATCCTGAGTATCCAGATGTCAGGGAGTTTCTGCCAGGAAGGGAAGACAGCTGTTTGGAATGGGAAGGGAGTAGAGGATACTGCAAAACATGTCAAGAGTTTTATCAGGGGAGTGAGATGACAGTTGGTAGCAGGAAAGGGTAAGCAGACACTGGAACATGTCTGGAAAAATCAATTTTGTTTGTGGCTTAGGTGATAGCCTAAGACATTTAAAAATGCTCTGTTATGGAACCCTGCATTTGTCTGGATTATCTATCCAACCAGCCTTGTTTAAGTGCGAGCTATAGGATTAGCAGATAGTAAACATACTCTAAGCAGTCAGCTTAGAGTAGAGTATTTCAGCTCAGTATTAGGTAGACAGTAAAATGAATCATTTTCTAAATGGTTTGTGAGCATTTTTGCCTATAACTTTAATATATTTGGGACATTCAAATATTCTCTCTTACCCCAGTGAAGAAATAGAACATGACCTGTCACTGTTAAAAATAACTTCAGACAGGTAATGAAATAAAACGTCTTCTGGGTTTTAGCTTTTTCACTGAATTGGTATTTTAGTTTTAGCTCTTATCTGTATTAGTATTTGACGCTTATCTCGGAAACAAACAAACAGATCTGACTCTTAGAATTGCATGCAGCTGTCCTAGACTGTCTTTAGATCAGTCTTCTAAGATTATCCCAGCAAACTTCTTCAAATTGTCACAGTTTCTATATAAATTCTCTGTTTTTGAAATGTATTAAAACCTAATGTAGTATGCAGTCTTGTGGGCAACTGGCCAGCACTGCTTCTCTTTCATGGTCAAAGCTTTTGGCTGGCATTCTGAAATACAGTTTCAGTGTTGATCCCCCTTTGATCACTGTGGACCAGAGTGAAAAATACTTTCTTATTGCCATCTTGACCTACAAAGATGTGCTTGATATGGGGTGTGTTCATTTTACTGTAATTACATGTGCCAAATACTTGGAGTGTATGTCTTTATTTATCATGGTAACTGACTAGGCCTTTAAAAAGTCATTTACTTTTGGAAAATAGATTCAAAATTAATCCAAAAATTATTCTTCTTAAGTGTAAAGTCTTTAAGTGTTCTCTCATAGATTATTGGAAATTTCGTGTTACCAAGCCCAGGCTCTGTACATGTTTTGTGTACGGAAGGGAAGAGTAATTATGTAGAATAAGTGTTAACTATTATTTGCTCTTCATTCTGAATGTTGTCAACCAAGGTGATTGCTAAAGCTATTCATTTTAATTAAGTAGCCTATTGCAGGCATTTATTAGACAGACTCATTGATATTTCAACAGAGGCATAGGTAGATATTTCTTCTATCCACATTTGATGCTTCTGTGCCATTTTATTTTATTTTATTTTATTTTTTGAGATGGAGTACCACTCTGTCACCCAGGCTGGACTGCAGTGGCGCGATCTTGGCTCACTGCAAACTCCGCCTCCCAGGTTCAAGTGATTCTCCTGCCTTAGCCTCCCTAGTAGCTGGGATTACAGGCGTGATCTCTGCTCACTGTGACCTCTGCCTCTCAGGTTCAAGTGATTCTCCTGCCTCAGCCTCCCTAGTAGCTGGGATTACAGGTGTGCACCACCATGCCTAGCTAGTTTTTGTATTTTTAGTTTCACCATATTGGCCAGGCTGGTCTCGAAGTCCTGACCTCATGATCCACTTGCCTTGGCCTCCCAACGTGCTGGGATTACAGCTGTGAGCCACCAGGCCCAGCCTATTTTTTTTAATTGAATGAATTACTTTTATCTTATTTTATTTTAGATTCCAGGGGTGTGCATCCAGGCTTGTTACACGGGTAAACTGAGTGTCGCTGAAGCTTGGTGGATGAATGATCCTGTCACCCAGGTAGTGAGTATCGTACATGATTGGCAGGCTTTGAATCCATGTGCCCCTCCTCATCTCCCTCCTCAAGCAGTCCTCAGTGTCTCTTGTTCCCATCTTTGTGTCTATATGTATTCAATGTTTAGCTCCCACTTATAAGTGAGAGGGTGTTGTATTTGGTTTCCTGTTCCTGTGTTAGTTTGCTTAGGATAATGGCCTCCAGCTGCATCCACGTTGCTGCAAAGGACATAATTTCATTCTTTTTTTTACAGCTGCATAGTATTCTGTGGTATATATGTACCACATTTTCTTTATCCAGTTCACTGTTGATGGGCATCTTGGTTGATTCCGTGTCTTTGCTATTGTGAATAGTACTGCAATGAACATAGGAGTGTACATGTCTTTTTGGCAGAAAGATTTATTTTCCTTTGGTTATATACCCAGTAGTGGGATTGCTGGTTTAAATGGTAATTCTGTTATTAAGATCTTTGAGAAATTTCCACACTGCTTTCCACAGTGAGTGAACTAATTTACATTCCTACCAGCAGTATGTAAGTGTTCCCTTTACTCTGTCGCCTCACCAGCATGGTGTGGCTTTTAGAGGTTTTGACAGTTCAGGGAGGCTCTTCAGAATTCTAAAATTCTGATAAGCACGGCCTAAATATTTATGTGTAGTCTAAGAACTCAAGCATAGAATACTATGCTTTTTTAGTTTTAGTTTTTTTTAAAAAGCTTTCCTTTGTAAAATCAAATTAAGAAAGGCAGCCTGGTGAAGTAAAAGGATAGCTGTGTTGAAATTTAAATGACAGCAAGTTTAGGATCTGTATTTAGAAACTATTTCATCTTTAGTATAATGAGGTGATTAGACTAATACAATTTGTTGCTTGTTTGTAAGTTTTTTAGTTTGGCAGTACAATTGCTTTTTCAAAAAAATGAAAAATATGAAACTCTCAAATAAGAAAGAGGATGAAATCTTGGACCTTCTGTTTGTAGTGAGGGTAGGGCCTGGAATCGTATCTACTTAGCTTCCCATTGCGCTAGTCACGACCACCCTCTGAACCTCTTATTACATGAGATTATTCTGCATGACACCTATGTTCCACACACCACGGTTGCAGGATCTGTAGGCTACCTGAACCATCCCATTTTTCACATATAAAAATCTTCAGTAAGTATGTTAAATGCTTTCCATTTATGACTTAGAGATAGGAGATGTAGATAGGCATGCTTTCTAAGGATATCATTTTCAAATTGACATGTCCTTGTTCCTCTTATGCTCCTGATACTCTGAATAGTTTTCATCTGCTAATTAGGTGATCACAATCAGGTAATGGAATATTGAAGGAATGTATTTGCAATCTGTGAAAATAATTCACTGATGATGTCTACAATAAAAATTCTGGTTTCCATCTGTTTAATTATGGGGCATATATTTAGGAGATGTTATGGTAAAGTGTGGAGAAGGCCAAAAATATTTGAGAGGCCATGCCCTTGGAGGAAAAATAGTCTTATTGGAAGGATAGTGGGAAAAATCTGTTGTTGGGATTCATTGGAAAACTGCTCCTTCCCCATCCTGTATGGTTGTGGTGGAAATGGCCAGTGTAGTGGCCTGTGGGAGCTTGACTTGGGTCTGTCCAATGTCTGAATCACAGGAATATGCCCCAGCGATTGTTCCAGGAAGCTGAAGCATCTCCCATGTAGCTGTCAGTAAGATTGCTTCGGTGAAATCTGATCTATGTAGAGAGACGACTTGACACAAAAAAGCTGTGGGTTTGGGATTTCAGAGTCTGCTCATGGAAGAAGAATATGAGGCCAAAAGCTGATCAGAGACAAACAGAATTGGGAGACGGAAAGAAGCAGATGGGGGGAGAGAGAGCAAGAAAGGGTATGTGCCTTGATCCAGATTTGTCTCATGTTCTCTCTATCATTGGAATACCTAGTTATATAAGCCAATTAATTCTCTTTCTAGTTGAGGCTAGTTTGATTTGTGTTCTTGTCATCGTCAGCCAAGGAATCTTGAATAATCAACGCAATAAACCAATGAAGCTACCATAAAGTACTAGGTACTTTGAGAGGGACACAGATCCCTCTCTTGCTTTTCTTTCAGGTGGCATGAAAGCATCTCAGTATTAAACATTCACTGGGCACTAGGCTGATGGCTTCTGGAGTTAGCAAAATCCCTGAGATAGACAGCTGCTCCACTTGGAACATCCTCAGGAACAAACCCGGATTTGCTGGTTTCTTAGAAAATCATTAGCGCCCAGGATTGCTCCGCCATGTCCTTTTTCTTTGTCTATTCTGAATTCTCACATCTTCCATTTCATCTTGTTTTTCTCATATCCTGTCCCAGGCCCAGTATTATTTCCTGTCCTCTGTCCCAGTGATATTTCATATGCCTTGCAAACCATATTTATTTTCCCAAACTAAATAATATTCCTCTCCCCATAGATTTTTTCTTATCTTACTAATTCATTAGATTGTTATTTTAGTGCTTAAACAACACTTAGTTGTCTTCAGAGATATTTCTGTTTACTTATATGTCTCCCGTTATGTGAAAGAGATATGTGTTTTGGAGAAAATACCTTATATTATCCCAAAATAGATATTAGTATTATTTCAAGAGGTGTGTTCTATCTGAAGCTCTATTACAGACAAGGGAGTCTTCTGGTGCTTTGAGGTCTGCTGTCATGTACATTAGCTAAACTTTTTAAATCCAACAAATACCCTAACGTTTTTATACTAAGTTGTTTTTAATTCTTTCTACCAAAGCATACCACTTGGCGTCCTGGCTGCATGTCCCTATGTTGGGAGTGCCTCAGAGGCTTATTTTCTGAAAATAAGGGTGTGACTGGAGCCAGTCCTTGTTTTAAACAGGCTCCATACCTTAAATTGGTTTTCACTGGGAGCCTTAAAATTCATATTGATGAGTGAAAGCTAGAAATACAATGCAAGTTTGAGGAGAAGTGTTTTCTGCCAAGTGACTGCAAGGAGCCAGCAGCTTAAAACAAGTAGGTAGGAAAGAATGTGAGGTCCGATGCTGGGCGTGAGCAGACTTGGCCACAGTCAATTAGGAAGAATTTAACCTAGTGTACTATTATCTCAAATCAGAAATGTGATCGATGCATGAGAACATGCTATCCAAATAAGTTTACGTGTGTATATGCATGTAAATGTACTTTAATATGTATATATTGGCCTCATCATATGAAAAGCGAACATTAAAAAGATGTCATGACAATAACTTTAGAAACAGAAGCCTGGAGAACCAGCTAAGGCAACTTGTAGGCTCATCTTTGGGAGAGTGGTTTTCCCCAGTCAGAATGCCTTACCCCATTGATCTCACATCCTTATTTCATTTCAACCATACTCTCCTTCCCCAACAAAACCTCAGCACTTAATGATACCATCATAATTCTTTGATTTATTCACAGTACATGCACAAGAGTCTCAGAATATCGATACCAGTCCTACTACAAATAATTTAATTACCATGAGCAGTTTAGAGTTTTCCTTTAAATTGTTATGTATCTTAAATAAAATCGCTAGAAATAGCACCTCTGTGAGTGCTTATGATAGCAACTGGATATGAAATTAGGTTTATTTTACTTTCAATTTATAGAGATTGCTTTTTTAGATTTAATTTTGCATTATAATTATGTAGAATATTTATGATTTCAGAATCAATCTATAAAACCAGTATGTTCAAAGTAGTATAACTTCTATATCTCCCTTATACTCTGTTTCTTCCTCCCCCAAATTTTTAATACTTACTCTGTTTATTAAATACAAATACAATATATACATAAGGTTGCATATATGTGTTTGTATGTGGATATACATACATGTATGTATATAAATACATTTATATTTGTGTTCCATCCTTTCTTTGAAAAGTTATATATACTCTATACATTTTTCTTCAACTTTCTTTCGTTCTTTAGAAAAATAGCCTGGAGAGCATTTAGTTGCACTTTCTAGAATGATTTCTTTTCTTCTTTTTCCTCTTCCTCCTCTTCTTTTTTTTTTTTTTTTTTTACGGTTTTATAGTACTCCATCATGGGGGATGTACCATGTTTTTTTCTCACTCCATCCCCTATTTATAAACATTTTTATTTTCAATCTCTTGTTATTTTAAATAATGCTGCAGTGAATTGCTTTGTGCAAACATATATTTTATCTTTGCTAGTGTGTCTTTTGGATAGACTCCCAGAAGTGCAATTCTGTGTCAAAGGATAAATACATATGTAATTTTGCTAGGTATTGATGAACACTTATCCATAGGGTTTGCATATGTCTCTTTGTATTTATACCACAACTATATAAGAATTCCTAGTTCCCTAAGTCTGGCCAACATACTATATTGTTGAACTTTAAGACTTTCCTGTCAGATAGGTGAGGAATGTTATATTAGTATTGTTTTCGATTGCATTTGTCATATTAACAGCACAGTCCAGTGTATTTTCTTATGTTTAAGGCCCATTTGCATTTATTTATGAGCTAATCAGTTCATATTTCTCACTCATTTTTCAGTGTGATTTTGGGCTGTTTTTTTCCTGATTTTGCAGCCCTGGTGTATATTGGGGATTTTTATCTCTAGTGAAGCTTACCAATGTGTTCTCCCAATTTGTTTCTGGAATCTTTTATGTAATCACTGGTATCCATGTTTTTCCTTATTACTTTGGGATTTTAAATAATTGTTAGAAAAGTTTTCCCCATTCCTAGGTTATTGAGATGACATATTACCATGTTTTTTTCTAGTCCTTAATTTTAGTTTTCATAGTTAAATAGTTGATCCATTTGGAATTTATCCTGGTTTAAAGTCTAAGGAATGGATCTGATTTTACCTTTCTTCATGTGACTATCCACTTATCCCAACAGTTCATATCAAAACTCCATCTTCTCCCCAGTGATTTAAGGATAGCATATTTATCATATACCAAATTCTCCATTCACTTGGGTTTATCTTTTACCTCTTTTTGGAAAGAGTGAAGAAACTTTTTTTTGGTTTTTGTTTTTGTGTTTTTTGGATTGATACTTAATTTTTTATTTTAAGTTCTGGGATACATGCGCAGAACGTGCAGGTTTGTTACATAGGTATACGTGTGCCATGGTGGTTTGCTGCACCTATTGACCCATCCTCTAGGTTCCCTCCCCACACACCCTCCACCCCCAACAGGCCCTGTTGTGTGTTGTTCCCCTCCCTGTGTCCTTGTGTTCTCATTGTTCAACTCCCCCTTATGAGTGAGAACATGCGGTATTTGGTGTTCTGTTCCTGTGTTAGTTTGCTGAGGATGATGGCTTCCAGCTTCATCCATGTCCCTGCAAATGACATGATCTCATTCCTTTTTATGGCTGTGTACTATTCCATGGTGTATATGTACCACATTTTCTTGATCCAGTTCATCATTGATGGGCATTTAGATTGGTTCCATGTCTTTTTCAAAAGCCCTATTGAATGGTTTTTCACTCACTTTCCTTGTTGGCTGAAACTGGGTCACACAACTTTCCTAAACAAACAAATCCTTTGCAGAGGGAATGAGATTTTTACTATTGGCTCAACAGAGTTCTTGGCTCTGGAAGATGGGTGGATTGTCTGGACCAAATCAGGAGTAGGAATGTAAGAAAGATGGTGAGATGGTGAGAGGAAGAGATTGAGAGGAGTATCACATAGTGAATGACACATTTGTATGTCTTTCTGGACCATAAGCTTCTTAAGGTCACAGGGTTCTAACAGATCATCATGTCATCATGTCATCATCTCCCTAGCCACTGTTACAGTGCCTAGACGTAATATAGCTGTGCACATACTTGCCGAAGAGCACTGAGTTGGAATACTACTAAATGTGGCTTTATACTAAACTAAATAAACCAAGTAGTTTGGTTTGTTGTGTTTCACCATATAGTTACAGTATAGCTGAAATAACATATTAAAAATATGTTAATCACTAGGTTCATAAGGCCTGAATACATTGGGTAAATGTTTTGGCATTTGTTTTTTAGGTTCTATTTTGAAATTTGAATGATGTATTTAGAGTACCCTTATTCTGGGACTTCCGGTATATTTGATAAATATTCTTTATGTCTGAGTCGAAGTGGACAGAAAGCAAGTAGACTATAAATGTCCTTAAAGGCAAAACCAGTGTGTTCTCTGTCACCCCAATGCCACCTAGTTCTGTACCTGAAATATTGTGGATGTTCTCTTGATATTTATCAAATGAATGAGTGAATGAATGATATCTCCATTTTACAGGTAGTCATGGAAACTTAGAGCTAAATGGCTCTCTGATGTCATTCACCTACAAAAAAGGTCTAAAATTTTTGCCCACACAGAAATCGATTGCCTGTCCTGGTGATTATTTTCTTTCATATTCTCAGAGCTATACTTTTATAGTCTGCAAACACAGAATTATACTATTGAGAAACCAAGCTTTTGTAGAAAATAATAACCAATGCTTTGAAATGAGGATTATTTCTTAGCAAATACTGAAAATACATATGTTGGATATGAAAGAATGAGTTGGTTCCTAACATGGGACTAATGCAGAAAAGGGGCTAAATGCTAAGTGTAAATTTAAAATTACTCACCATATTGGCCTTTGCCTTAACTTCTTTTCTCATAATGTGGGCATTTAGGATTTTCAACTTCTCAGCCATCCTAGAAAAGTTTGACTTTTATATGATGCTTAAATGTCAATATCTAATTTCAGAAAATGAATTTACAATTTGGGGGGAGGTGATTTCAGAGTACACTTTGCCTACCTCTGATTTGGCAAAGGATCAAGAAAATTTGTCGAGTTCTGAAAGCCTGCATCTTTTAATAAGCTTCTTCAATAAAAATGTGATTAAAATGTTTCATAAGGTTAAAGTGTTGCCTGTGGCAGTGGAAATTTCCTCAGCTTAACACGTCATCAGTATGACATATCACGCTTGCCTTTGTCAGCAGTTCTTGTACACAGAAAAAGTGTAAACACATTTAAAATGACAGATTTAAATGTATCCCAATAGTAGAGGAACCACTGGTAATAGGTCATAAGTAAAGTGTTTCTAATAAAAGCATTGCTGTCAAGTACTAAGTGAATCAGGTTGGTTGCCTCATTGTTTGTTGGATATCTATACTCTTGTCTCATGCAGTTTGCTCTTACCAGCTCCTCACCTTCCTGAGCTGTAAAATTTAATCTAGTAAGAGATTACATTCCAAATTGCATGAAGAAAATTTCAAATTTATCTGCAGAAATGATGCAGCCTCTCTTCTAAGAATACATTACCCCTACCATGTCCTTACCAACCAGTATCTTGAGTTTTCATGTTTTGTAAGCCTATAGATTTTTCACACATTCTCATGACAATGCCCTAAAACATATCAGAATGACCTTTTTATAGAAACAATGAGTGGAACTCACATACGAATTCTATAGGTTTCTGACTTTTTAAAAAGCAAATCATAGCATTTTTATTGAGTGTCACGGTAGTCACATACGTTGTTCTCATCACCGCCATATTAAATAGTATGATTTGTCGGCGGGGGGACTGTGGGGTGGTGATTCTAAATTCGCTTTATACTCTTAGTGCAGCTGGATCTAAGAAAAACATTTTAAAGTTTATCAGAAACTCAGTATAATTCAGAACAAACAGGATTAGGTTTGGAAAAAAAATACAGATATAGTAAGAAAAGTGACCCATATAGAAGCCTTTCGAGGTCTGTTGGAAGGCCATTATTGAAAGGAAGGAAAGGTGTAGGTTGTCAGTGGTGGCTGATTGCTGAATGACTGGACACGATTGTTGAGATGGCTGTCTTATATTTTGTATATCAAAATAAAACTTTCTAGAAATTTTCTTAACTAAAAGTAAATATTCTAATTTCTAAATTTTTATATTGACTTTTTCCCCTCTTTTTTTCTGGATGTTTATTGGTACAGAGACACACACACACACACGCACACTGACACACTCCCTACTTATTTAACACATTTGAAATAGCACTTTGCTGGATGAGGAAGTACATATGGTCTTCCTAGGAGTGTTCTGAGACTTTTTTCAAATGGTTTTTCCTTTATCCCATATCTCTAAAGATCACTTTCATCCCACTTAGTTGTGTATGTATGTTTTCACACACATATATCCTTTTGAGGTGGGTCTAGTGGGAGGTATCTATTTTTACTCTTTACCGAGGTAAGGGTTTCCATGAAACAATGCAAATATATGTGAAATTAAACTAGAATAGTAATTGCAACTGGAGCGAACTAAAAAGTACAGTGGACACCAAATTAAATTAATAAAAGTACGTGGTGTGGGGATTTTTAAAGGGCAGCCTCTTTTATTATTACACACACACACATTCAGCAATGTACTCTATTGAAATAGCCTGTCCACTTAGAAATGCTTACCGAGTTGGCATTTTCTTTAAACAGGATAATTTAATGGTAGAACCGTCCACCTCTTTTGCATTCTTTAAATAATTAAGCTAATCATACAAGGGGTCCTGCATTCCGTGATTGATAAATTCGTTTTGGTGCAGCCCTTGCCTCTTTCATGCCTTAGAGAGCTTAGCTGTGATGCATTAGGTTTAATTCTTATAGTCTTGTGTTTTTTTTCTGGCATGTTAAGTCAAAACAAAAGAAAAAAATTGTGCTTTTGGCAATAAATCGTGGCCTGCTGGGAAAGTCAACATCTACCCAGATTTGCCAGGTGGCTATTCAGAAACTCTCATAACCCTGAAGTCTGAAAGAGCTCCTTTACATCTGAAGCTCAGATACACAGAATAACTTACATAGGGTGTGTTGGACTATGGTTTTCTTATCATAAGTACTGGATCTTAGAAGAGCAAAGGGAGAAATATGGTGCCCTCTTGATTTTAATAGCAGCAAGAACAAGAAAATCAAGGGAGAAATTACTGGAAGATCATCTACCTGGGCTCATTTTTAAGTGTTATAATTATTATTATTATTATTATTATTTATTTTTTTTTTTTTTTGAGACGGAGTCTCGCTGTGTCGCCCAGGCTGGAGTGCAGTGGCTCAATCTCGGCTCACTGCAAGCTCCGCCTCCCGGGTTCACGCCATTCTCCTGCCTCAGCCTTCCCAGTAGCTGGGACTATAGGTGCCTGCAACCACGCCCGGCTAATTTTTTTATTTTTTTATTTTTTTTTATTTTTGTATTTTTAGTAGAGACGGGGTTTCACCGTGTTAGCCAGGATGGTCTCAATCACCTGACCTCATGATCTGCCCCCCTCGGCCTCCCAAAATGCTGGGATTACAGGCGTGAGCCACCGCGCCCAGCCTTAAGTGTTATTTTTAAGACATAAAGTAAGTTTTAAAAACACAATTTCACCAAAAATGCATAAATATGACCATGAAATTCAAGAATACACATACGTATTCATATATGTAAATGTATGTATGTGTATTTCTGAACTTTGCGTCATTTTGTTCCCATGTTTTCACTCGGTACTATCCCATTCCCGTACACATGACCCACCTCATCCACCATGCTCTATCCTCCCTCTTCCTGGAGTGCTCCCAGAATCCTCCTCAGGCAACAACTTCCTTTTGAACTCCCCAACTCCTTTGCTCAAATACTGCTTTTTAGGTGGCTCTATCCTTTGGCTCATCATTTCTGGTGATGAACAACCTTTATCTTTCCACCCCAGTGTTAGATAAAAGTTATTATCTTATACTTGTGCCAAGATGCAGAATTTGGGACGTTCTGACCTATGATTATACTTGTGTATTTGTCAACCTGCTAATATGTTAATACATACGTGTATTTATATATACATATCTGGAGAGATTTTTCAGTCATTGTTTTACAAAAATGGAATATTACTCATTCTTTTATCTTTCAATAATTCTTTGAGGAAATCCCTTCAAGGCTACTGTATAAATCTAATTCATTATGTCCAGTGGCGGTAACATAATTTTAAAACATTTTCTGCTGGTGGGATCCAGCCTTTGTGTGGTTTTGTTTTGTCTTATCACTGTACAAAAAGCTCATATAATTTTTTTTTTTTTTTTGAGGCAGGGTCTCATTGTCACCCAAGCTGGAGAGCAGTGGCGCGATATTGGCTCGCTGTAACCTCTGCCTCCCAGGCTCAAGCTATCTTCCCACCTCAGCCTCCTGAGTAGCTGACACTACTGGTGCATGCCACCATGCCTGGCCAGATTTTTTTGTTTTTTTTGGTAGAAATGGGGTCTCACTAATAACCTACTTTTAATGGGATAGATTGTCAGCCATGAAAGTACTAGATTTAAGAAAATGTACTTTTTAAATATTGATAGGTATTGTTACATTACATTTCATAAAGCCTTAAAAGTGATATTTTAATCTACCATGTATCAGAATATCCATTTATCTAAATCCAGAGCAGGTATTTCCCCTTATTTTCATTTGTATTAGTGCATTAGGTCTAAATGACATCTCATTGTTTTCTCTAACATTTTCTGACTTCTATTAAATTTGAGCATCTTTTCATTTTTATTGGCTTTTTATATTGTCCCACCTTAAAAATACCTTTTCAGGCTGGGAAGGGTGGCTCACCCCTGTAATCCCAGCACTTTGGGAGGCCGAGGCAGGAAGATTGCTTGAGCCCGGGAGTTCAAGACCAGTCCGGGCAACATGGTGAAACTCCATCTCTACTAAAAAAACAAAACAAAAAAAAAAAAACCAGAATATTAGCTGGGCATGGTGATGCGTGCTTGTAATCCCAGCTACTCAGAAGGCTGAGGTGGGAGGATCGCTTGAGCCCAGGGGGTGGAGGCTGAGGTGAGCTGANATCACGCTACTGTACTCCAGCCTGGGTGACAGACTGAGACCTTGTCTCAAATAAAATAATAAAATAAATAAAATACCTCTCCATATATTTGCCCATTTTTTAATTTCTCATTTTCACGGGTACATAGTAGGTATATATATTAATGGAGTACATGAGCTATTTTGATACAGGCATGCAATGAGTAATAATCCCACCAATGTAAATGCAGTATCCATCTCCCTAAGCATTTTTCCTTTGTGTTAGAAGCAATCCAATTATACTCTTTTATTTTAAAATGTACAATTAAATTATTTACTATAATCACCTTGTTGTGCTATCAAACACTAGCTCTTATTCTTCATTCTTTCTATTTTTTATACTCACTAACTATTCACCCCCCTCCCCATGACCCTTCCCAGCCTCTGTTAACCATCCTTCTACTCTGTCTTCACAAGTTCAATTGTTCTGATTTTTAGCTCCCACTAATAAGTGAGAACATGCGAAGTTTGTCTTCCTGTTCCTGTCTTTGCCCCCATTTTTTTCTTTTAGTTTTTCTTTGTCCCCTTCTTGTCTATTTGTGAAATTGTGTTGCCTTTTGTGGATATTAACTATCATCTCTCTTGCATTTTTTTCTAAATCAAATATTTTAAGAATGATTTGCTGTTCATACCAGTGTGTACATATATGTTTTTGTGTTCTTAAAGATCAGTTCCAATGGGCTGACATAGGTTGACCAGGTAATAGTTATTATATAGTTGCACAGAGCAGTGCATCTGGAGACACAGACACATCACTAAAATCTTTTTTGTCAAAACTATGAATTGCAAAAAGGAGCTTTCAGTGATAAAAACTCTTGGTGTGACCTAGGGGAAAAGGGTCATCTCAGGTCCTCTAAATATTTTTGAAAGAGACAGTCCTTATTTCCTGGGAATGAATACTGGTGACTTACATGCCTTTGTTGAGGGATATTTATTATCATACAAATATTTTTTGAAGGAGAGGTGTTCACTGATGATGAACCGTGTCATTACACTATTCCTGAACTTTTACAATTACTTTTTAAATCTTGCTTTTGAAGGTATAGGTTTCTTAATTATTTGGTGGTTGTCATTTTTTTTTAACTTTGTGTTTTGAAATAATTCAACATTCACAGGAGTTGCAAAAATGCAAAGACTCACACACACTTCATGCAAACTCTCTATAGTTAGCATCTTGCTTAACTGTAGTAACTATAGTCTCATGTAAGAACTAGAAAATTAACATTGGTACAATCCACAGAGTTTAGTCAGATTTTACCAATTTTACAGACACGTGTGTGTGTATGTCTATGTACTTCTATTGGGGTTTTTTTTTTAACTGTAATGTGTCAAACAAATTATTCTGTCACTGAAATCCTAAGCTCCACACTCATAAATAAAAGTAGATAAAGCTGAGGTCATAGACAAAGTAGGGCATGGGAGTAGCTTTCTGACTGATGCTATGGAGTGCCATTCTGCCTATAACCTTGAAAAAATATCTACAAATGTGCCTCAGGTTGTCATGGCTCCACTTAGACCTGCACGAAGACAGAGCATACATAAAACCCCCTTTTGATCTTACAAAGTTGATGATTCTTGGCCTTATGATGGGAAACAGAGCTCAGTACTTTTAGGCTGGCTGGTAGGGACCTTCTCTTACTTAAGGATAAATAAATAATGAGTATTTGTGAAGATATGTTCTCCTGACTACAGTGACACCTGCTGAGATTGTTTGGATTGTAACTTTATAGCATCCTTTTCCAGAATTAGTTACACATCCACAATCAGGCAACCATAACTACTCTACCAATAATGTCTCATGTACAACTGTGAACAAGTAAATTAATGCCAACTAGTGCCTGACCACACACCGTGACAAAGGATGTGTGCTTGGGCAGCAGTACCCCCTTTCTCTTTATGAATTGTCTTAGGAGCTCTCTAGGAGAACTTGAAAGGAGTCAGGAAAATGTGGAGGAAGCATTGCTTTGCCCCTGCAGGAAATGCAGCTTCAAAATACTTCCATGTTAATAGCATCCATTGACTTCAGACTGAGAATCAGAAACGAGTGCTACTAGGTCATTGGTCCAACTTCCTCATTTTTCTTGTAAGTAAATGTGGTCCAGAAAAGTGAAGTGATATGCTTTAAAGGCACAATGATAATTAGTGACGAAGTCTTGACTAAAATTCCAGCTATCTTCCTCTGAAAAGATGCTCTTTCCACTGTAACATTATAGCACTTTGTTCATTTTTATGGATTGAATGAATGGGTTAAAAAGTCAAAACAGTCTACAGAATTTCCAAGATTATTTTTCTCCTCTTTGTTCCTGGAGTATCCTAAGAAGACATATGTGGGCAATCCTGGGACAGGCAGCCATCTCTTGCTATGGAGAACTTACTGGTAAGAGTGGTTTTGGTGGCTGTAATGCTTATGCTGAGCTAATGTAACAAAATTCAATCAAGAATTTCTAAAGCATTCTATTTTTTTTTTTTTCTCCCTGAGACTCCAAAAGAAGTTTAACTGGGGTCTAGTTAGGATGTTTGAGGAAAATTTGGGTAGTCTTAGATCCAATATATTTTAGATGAACTCAGCTATTTATTAGTATTGACTGTTTAAAAAAAGTTATGAGATAGGTTAAATATACACAGAAGTGGACTAATCAGTATAATAAATCCCATGTAGGCCATGAACTTCAGTACTGCAATAGGTGGTTAATTATTGGTTTTAAAATAAATATGTATGAATGATTCTGTTTCTTTCTAGATGGCCCTTCCATTTTGCAGAGAGAAAGGGTTTTTTGGGGGGTAGGGTGGTTGTTAAATGATTCTTTTCTTCTGATTATCTACCCAGTGTAGCATCTCTCTTCCTCTGAATGGCCCTGGACTTTAAGATATTCTACTTGGGAGGCTGAAGTGGGAGGATCACTTGAGCCTAGGAGTTCAAGGCCAGCCTGGGCAGTATAGTGAGACCCCATCTCTTAAAAAATAGATAGTATTGTGGTTTGTATTGGCACTCAGAAATACAAACCCACAATGTAGAATTTAGAATGATGATTGAAATCTACCATAGACGATCATTTGGTATATAAGATACCATTGGGAGCCACGTTTCCCACCGTGAGACTGGCCTCTGTTGGTAAAATCAGCAGTGGAACATACGTGTTGTTATACATAGTGGTGGTTAAATGGCTAAACCAAACATAAAACCCAGGCTAGAGGGAGCAGTAAAGACCAAAACTTAGATATTATGGTCTCTTTAAATTGGACTGAGTACTTTCCACCCACGTTGTTCTATTTTAAGTTGGGTAAGTGGTTGTCTTCCCAGCTGAACTTTAGTAAGTTCTGTTGGAGACAGGGACCATTTTATTTTTGTTGCTTGTCTGTCCTTAATGCCTGGCAATAAATGTTGATGTTTGTTGAATGGATGAATGGACAGAAGGATGGGTGGTTGAACAAAGGAGTAAAGAAAGACATCTTGGGAAATAAAACTGAATCAGTAGCCTCAACATTGTAGATGCCAGTGTGTGGTGTCAGGGTGTTTCAAAGGCTGGCCCATTTTTAACCGAATATCATCAAGAGCAGTGTAGCATTAAAATAAATCATTCTATTATTGCCTCAGGTCACATTTTTGGAACCTAATTAAAAGTTCAATGACAGCCTTTTTTTTTTTTCCCCCAAAAGCAACAAAGGGATTCTGATTCCAGAAGAAAGACACTGGTGCTTCAGTTTAATGCTGTCCCTAGAGTTCAAAGCATGGATGCCCTGTAGAGGAAAGACCTTGTTAGAAGAGGATCCTTTTCATATTTTAATGATTTAATTAATTTTTCCCATTTTATACAAAATTACATTCTCTAAAAGTAATTTTGGTCATGTATAGGAAAATGCCAGGGATATGTCCTAGAGAAGGGGGAGGTCAAAAGTAGATTGTGACCCACTAGAAATTGTAGTGGTCTGCTGAGTATTATCCACAAGAGCAAATCCAACATGGTAGAGCAGAATTCGTAGAATTCATTTAGCTCATTAGATGGCTGTCAAACATCAGGCCCTAAAATGTGGAAAGGGGATGCAGAGAAGGGAAATTGATTATCCCAGTCCTGTTGGTAACAGAACTCTCATTAGCACGTCAGGGAGCACCCACAATCCAGTGTCTCTGCCTTTATAGCCTGGACCCAGTACTGTCCTCTGGATGGAGACACCCTGTTCCTAATCCCATCCCTAGTGTCCAAGTCTTACCTTGTCTATGTTGATTGGTTATCCCGTGGTGTGTTCTCTAGGTCACTCACTTTCTTGATCACCCTCTTCTGAATCACACAGTGGGTTAGTAAAGGCCTTAAAAATGTTATAAGGTACAACAAATGCAGAATAAAAACCCTAGTACAACAAAAGAATATTAGTGTCTGTCATCTCAGTTAAGGCAATGGAGTTATATTGTATACTGGTATATTTCACATTTTTAGTCCCCTATGTTTGACACCCCCAGTTTGAAACACAAGAGTAATTCTCTCTACTCTCTCCTTAACACAGAAGAATTGTAGGTTACCTACTCAGAGTTCTCATAGGTTTCTTCTTTATCCTTGAGTGCTTTTGAGTTTATGTTTAAATAAAAATCTTTCTAATAGTCTTATCATTGACCTTGAATGTTCTGGAAATTTAAATATCTCAGGATAAAAACATAACAGAAATATTAAACTCAAAGGAATCCTGAAGCCAGTCTTAGGAGAAACTACAGAATTGTAGGCCTTTTCTGTCTTATTCTCCTGACATTAATTCTCTCGCTATTACCCCTCTTCATTTTCCCACCACCCACACAAAGCTGGGAAGACATGACATTTGGAACATTCCCCTTTGAGGACCCACAGTTAAATGACAATGAAGTGAGCTGGCAGTCTCTCAACTCCTGTGATTCCAAAGGCTCCCAATCCAGAATGTTTCTAACTGATGGTCATGAGTCACTGATGGATTTTGAATTCAATTTAGCCTGTCTCACCAAACTTAAAAAAGAAAAACAAAATTTTATATAATAGATGATGTCAGAGAGCATCACATATAGTATGACAGTTTCATGACATCAGCTGTCTATATGTTCTAGATTATGATGTAACATGTTCTCAGGCTGCTCTACTAGTTCATTGTTCCTCCCAGTGGAATGGGGAATCACAGGAATAAAAGACCAACTTTTGTCCCAAGGTAATTTTTAGTACCTGGCTTTCCTTGGCTGGCTACTAAATCCACTGTATTTGCTCTTCTTTTGCACAGAAATAATGAAGCACCAAGCCTTTTCCACTTCTAACAATAGCGTGATTCCTCTGACAACTCCTTTAGAAAACAATGCCTTAACCTGACTACAGAAAGGAGTAAATATTTTAGACTGCTACATTCCCCATTACCTGAGAGGAAATATGTTAATGATCCTGTGCTCCACTTAGTTTAAATTTTGTTCTCTGCAGTAATACTGTTGTAGATTATTAATAAGCCTTCATTCCTTGTGAGACAATTCGTTACCTTTACACTGGTGCAAATGCATTTTTCAGTGATTCTCTGGAATTATTCCATTCAAATATGAAGAATTTGCCAAAAAGATAGAAAGAGAGATTGAGAAATTGAAACTTGGCTAGGTAGAAAATGGTACCAGAGCTGCACCGCCTCCCTTGGGCTTTTCTCATAACCATAAGTTGACGGTGATGGTATTTTGCACGTGGGACTTGAGCATACCAAAGGGAAGAACATCCTCAGTCCTAATGAATGTGCTGAGCCTATTATGTGTTCAGGCAGTCTCCCTGGAATACCAGTAAAAGAAAATTAAACAACTCACGACAGCTATCTTGCATATCTCACCTGGGAAGGTATGCATGCAGTAGGACAGGCACTGCTTAACATTAATCAGCCTCCTGAAGTCATTACATTCATGAGGAAATGTAATTCACATGTGATTACTTTTTAATTTACTCTGTAATCACATTCCAAGTGAACGGGCCAAGCTTAAAATGAAATTTAAAAGTCAAATACTGCTTTGTATTAGGAATTCACAATTTTTATATGCACTTAGGTTAGTAAAGATTTTACAATAACCATTTGTGACTGAGCATATGATAATTTTTTGATGAAAGTTAGTGCCATACCTAAGATAAGATGTATTTGATTTCTCTCCAAGTGCTGAACTGGACCTGGAGAGTCTCAGAACTCTACTCTGTAGTGAAATTCCTGCCTCATCTAAACTTTATTTGAAAAGAAAAAAAAGTCATCCAAACGTTCCTCAATCCCAGATCTGAAGTTGCGATGAACTAATGTATTTTTAATTCCTGCTGTGCCTGTGAGGCATATGCATTTGTTTTATCCATCATCAGAAGGTGTATACAGAACCTCATAATAACTGATTTCAGCTCATCAATGGGGAATGCCAGGGCCTGCAGTAAGAATCTTCCTCCAACAATGTGGTCTTTCAAGTTTGTGAAGTTACAAAGCTGCTGTGTTGGTTTCATGGGAGCCTTGAAACTAAAGGTTCAAAAGGCCAGAACCAGCTAGTTATGGATAGTAGTGGGTAGGTTTGTGCTGTGCTTTATAAGCCAGAACTAAGGGCATTGGAGAGAAATGTACAAAGGTTTTTCAGATTTCCAGTCAATACAAAGAAGAAATGTTTTTCATTTGACCCCCTCTACCACTACATTGAACAACCTCGGAAGTACTAAGATACCCTTTCCAGAAAATATTCAAAAGCTGGATTCCATTTTCCAGGGATGTTGTATAGTGTTACCAAACATAGGTTATTAGCTTTGAAATTTCAAGATATTTGTAATACCTTTATGCTAACTTTACTAATATTTACTTTAGCTCAACTCATTTTGTTTTCACTTCACAACTGCTTTGGCATTGTTTTAATCCAGTACTGTTAAAATAAATATAATGCAAGGCACATGAGATTTTTGAGTTGCCATATTACAGAAGCAGGAGAAATTAATTTTACATTTTATTTAACCCACTGTATCCTATTATTTCAACATGCAAATCAATAAGAAATTTTAAATGAGATTTCTTTTTTTTTAATGCTATGAAATCTTGTGTGTATTTTACACTTATAGCACATCTCAGTTTGGACTAGTCACAGTTTACATTGACAAGAGCCACATGTGGCTAGGGACTACTATGGGCAGAATAGTTCCAAGCTGTGGCATTTATGAAATCATGACTGACATGATGGTTATATATTTTTAAATGCATGTTAAGTATGCTGCTTTTCGAATTTTAAAGTTTGAATTAGTAAATGGAATATGTACCACACTATGGGGAACACCGACTTGAAAAGCAGTTCTTTTATCTGTCTACGTATATATGTATCTATCTATTTGGGGTGCAGTAATCTACATGTTGGATGGAGTTTATATGCATGGGGTGTCTGCATGGCTGTATGTACTTACCTGTGGTCCCCAGTACATGATCCATACGGCTTTTTGCCCACACAAAAGCATAGCAAAGTATAAGAAATGAGACTAATATAATCCTGCTTGATTTTTTTTTTTACAAATAAAACATTTACTATCATAGTATGTATATATTGTATATATGTATGATATCATCTATGTAATGGATATGTGTGTGCATGTATATATGTGTAATATATGTTATATATGTATGTCTGTATATATGTTTATATGTATGTATGTATGTTACACATCCTAGGCCATTGCTGCTTCCGTCTGCACTTAGGGCGGGTGTGTGGTCCCTAACCCACTTTGGTAGGTGGAATAATGATCCCCCAAAGAGGTATTAATTCTAATCCCCAACACCTGTGAATGTTACCTTACATGACCAAATGGGCTTTGCAGATGTGATTAGGTTAAAAATTTTGGGATAGGGGGATTATCTGGTATTATTCAGGTAGGTCCAATGTATTCACAAGGGTCCTTATAAATGAAAGAGGGAGGCAAGCGAGTCAGAGTGAGAGAAGGTGTGATGAGGGATGCAGAGGTCTGAGTGTTGTGGTGTGAGCAGGACTTGACCTGATGTTGCTGGCTTTGAAGATGTGGGAAGGCACCATGAGGTGAGGAATGTGGGCTTCCTCTAGAAGCTGGACAAAGTAAGGGAATGGATTCTGAACTAGAGCCCCCAGAAGGAACACAGCCCTGCTTACTTTTTGGTTTTACCCCAGTGACAGCCATTTCAGACTTCTGACTTCCAAAACGATAGGATAAATATGTGTTGTTTCAAGCCCTAAGTATGTGGTAATTTGTGACAGCGGCAATAATAAACTAATATGTCCATCCTCAGTAACTGGTTGATTAAAACTGTATCACTTTCAAGTTTTTTTCGTTTAAACAAATTTCAATAGCTTTAGGGGTACAAGTAGGTTTTGGTTATGTGATGAATTGTATAGCAGTCAAGCCTGAAATTTTAGGGCATGCATCACCTGAGTTGTGCACATGGTACCCAATATGTAGTTTTTTAAAATCCCCCACGCCCCTCCCACCCTCCCTTCTGAGTCTCCAGTGTCCATTATAACATTCTGTATGCCTTTGCATATCCATAGCTTAGCTCCTCTGTGTATGTGAGAACACGTGGTATTTGGTTTTTCTTTCCTGAGTTACGTCACTTAGAATAATGGCCTCCAGTTCCATGAAAGTTGCTGCAAAAGACATTATTTTTTTCTTGTTTATGGTTGAGTAGTATTCCATGGTATACATATATATATGTGTGTATATATATCATGTTTATATGTATATTAATATATATAATTATATATACATATATATAATTATATATAAATATAAATATAATTATATAAATATAAATATATATATATATCACATTTTCCTTATCCGCTTATTGGTTTATGGTCACTTAGGTTGGTTCCACGTCTTTTCAATTGTGAACTGTGTTGCAATAAATATATGTGTGCAGGTGTCTTTTTTGATCTCATGACTTACTTTCCTTTCGGTAGAAACCCAGTATTGGGATCGCAAGATAGAATGGTAGGTCAACTTTTAGATCTTTGAGAAATCACGATATTATTTTCCATAAAGGTTGTACTAATTTCATTTCCACCAGAAGTGTATAAATGTTCCCTTTTTTACCACATCCATGTCAACATCTATTGTTTCTGGACTTTTTAATAATGACCATTCTGGAGGGGGTAAAATGGTGTCTTACTGTGGTTTTTTTTGGTTGTTTGTTTTTGTTTTTTTGAGACAAAGTCTCATTCTTGTCCCCCAGGCTGGAGTGGAATGGCGCGATCTTGGCTAACTGCAACGTCCGCCTTCTGGGTTCAAGTGATTCTCCTGCCTCAGCCCCCTGAGTAGCTGGGATTACAGCTCCCTGCCGCTATGCCTGGCTAATGTTTGTATTTTTAGTTGTTACAGCGTTTCTCCATGTTGGCCAGGCTGGTCTAGAACTCCTGACTTCAGGTGATCCACCCTCCTCGGCCTCCTAAGGTGCTGGGATTACAGGTGTGAGCCACCGCACCCAGCCCTCACTGTGGTTTTAATTTGCATTTCCCTGATGATGAGTGATGTTGAGCATTTTTTTCATGTTTGGTGGCCACTTGTATATCTTCTTTTGAGAAATGTCTGTTCATGTCCTTTGCCCATTTTTTAATGGGATTATTTGTTTTTTATCCTTGCTGATTTGTTTGAGTTCCTAGCAGATTCTGGATATTAGTCCTTTGTCAGATGCATAGTTTGCAAATATTTTCACCCATTCTGTGGGCTTTTTACTGTGATGATTGTTTCTTTTGCTGTGCAGAAGCTTTTTAGTTTAATTAGGTATCATTTATTCATTTTTGTTTTTGTTTCATTTGCTTTGGAGTCTTAGTCATAGATTGTTTGCCTAGGCCAATATCCAGAAGAGTTTTTCCTAGGTTTTCTTCTAAGATTTTTATGGTTTCATGTCTTAGATTTAGGTCTTTAATCCCTCTTGAGTTGATTTTTGTATATGATGAGAGATAAGGATCCCGTTTAATTCTTCTACATGGGGCTATCCAGGTTTCCCAGTACCATTTATTAAATAGAGTGTCCTTTCCCCAGTTTATGTTTTTTAATGCTTTGTTTCAGATCACTTGGTCCTAAGTATTTAGCTTTATTTCTAGGTTCCCTATTCTGTTCCATTGGCCTATAAATCTACTTTTATACTAGTACCATGCTGTCTTGGTTACTATTGCTTTGTAGTATAATTTGAAGTCAGGCAATGTGTTGCCTCTAGATTTGTTCCGTTTAGGATTTCTTTGGCTATTTGGGCTCTTTTTGGTTCCATATGCGAACTTTAGGATTGAGTTTTCTATTTCTGTGAAAAAAATGGTTTTTTGATAGGAATTGCATTGACTCTGTAGATTGCTTTGGATAATCAGATTATGATCATTTTCATGATATTCTTCCAATCCATGATCATTGGATGTCTTCACATTTGTGTCGTCTATGATACTTTCAAGTTCTTTAGATTGGAAAGCGAGCCCATTTTTTAACACCCATATCAAACACCTCTTTTCCTGGGATGTTTTCCTGAACCACTTTGGCTGAGGTGTGAGGACTCTCTCCTTCCTTTCCTGCCCCCATGTTCTCATTACTGGCCCCTGACATTGGACATATCACACTGTGCTACAGTCATATATGTGAAAGCCTGTGTCCCCCACTAAACTGTTTGCAGGGTCAGGATGTGGCATCTCCACAGCCAGCACTTGATTGGCCCCAGAAATATTTGAATGCTTGAGCAAGTGCCTCAAGACTTGGATCTTACCTTTCTATAAAATGACTTGTCAAGGCCATGGTTATAGGTATGCATATTTCTTCTTTTCTGCCTCATCTATGTCCCTGTGTTTGAGAGTTGTCCATTTTCTTTTTGAAATGGTCTGAGGCCTTTCTTCTGGAAGCTCTTTAGCCAACTAAATGATATTTTTATTTAGTTTTCTTTTAGAAATTCATTATCACTTTGCAGAATATACTGGGAAATTGATGTAGAGTCTCATTGTCTCCTCCTCTGTTAGCCTGGAAAGACAAATGCCCAGACCTTTGCAGCCTGAACACTGGCTCTTACATGCATTGAAACCTAAGGGTGCTGAGACCAGCTCTGTCCCTCGGCATGTCTTCTGATGCAGGTCCATTCTCAGCAGCAGTGTTGCTGCAACTGGTCAGTGATTATACTCACATCCGCATTTAGGCTTGGGCACGATTACAGTAGTTCTCGTAAAGTGACTAAGTGCATTCTAAGTGTTCATATTTCTGAAGTGTATTTTGTTAATTATCCTTCTCATGGTTGAGGATTTTAAATTTTGAGAAATCTCCATTTTTCTGAGTGCAGTCTGGTGTTTACAATTCTACCTTTTAAGCAAAATGTCATCCCTTTAGTTTTCGGTCATCTTACCCCAGTGTCATTTAGAATGAATGATTTTAAGAACACAGAGAGAATATTCTTTCACTGGCAGTGGAAGTGGCAGACCAATCACTTCAGTAGAAACTTGTGTCATTCAAAATTATGAAGTTCATATAACCTATAAACAATTATTTGAAAAAGCTCTTAATGTGGATCGTGGTTACGAAAAGTCAAAACCAAACATGAGTCACGCAGCCTGTAGTTATCAGTTCTGCTTTCACGGATGGTGGTGGAATCATTTTAGAGGGTAGAAAGTTAGGACTCAGAGTGTGGGGTGAAATAAAGATACATATCCAGAAGTTCAGATCCTGGGCAGGTAAGCAGCATGTAGGGTAAAGGTGTCAAATATGAGATGCAGGCAACTCTGCTAATTGAACTTGGAAATCCCATTTACTTCTGAATGCCCTGTAGAGAGCATGGCTCAACTCAATCTCTGTGTTGATTGTTCATAGATCAGATGCTTACCTCTGGTTACGTGTCCACCCATACAGGAGAGGTAGAGTCACAGAACGGAAACTCCTCCACAGCCATTTGGGAGGTAGGGAGATGAGTCTCTGTTGGCTTTCATGAAAGGCATCTGCCATACCCCATGTCTCCAGCCACAGCATTCATGCTGAGTCCTAAACCTACATCTGCATTTGTCTCCTTGCTTTAGGGCTTTCAGCAGCCCTCAGTTTACCTTTTTCAAAGGCCATTGAACTTTTGCCTGTCTATCCTTTAACTTTTTTTTTTTTTTTTTTGAGACATAGTGTTGCTCTGTTGCCCAGGCTGGAGTGCAGTGACGTGAACTCAGCTCACTGCAACCTCCGCCTCCCGGGCTCGAGCGATTCTCTTGCCTCCGCCTCCTGAGTAGCTGGGATTACAGGCACCCACCACCATGCTTTGGTAATTTTTATATTTTTGGTAGAGACAGGGTTTCGCCATGTTTGCTAGGCTGGTCTCGAACTCCTGGTCTCAAGTAATCCACCCGCCTCAGTCTCCAATCCTCAGTGCTGGGATTACAGGTGTGAGCCACCACACCCAGCCTTTTACCTTTATTTTTTTGATTGTAGGTGTTTTGGTTTGTTTTCTGTTTGGTTTGTATTATCTGAACTTTTCATTTTCTGTAATTGGCTTTGTTAGTCTTTTCTTTTGGGTTTCTCCCACTGTAAAAATGTTTAAAAATGACTTTTTAAAAGTATTTTAAATCATTTTGCTGTTTTCAATGCTTTATGTTTTAAATGAAACATTTTTATTTTTAAAATTTTTAATCTTTAATCTGTCTCCAATTTATTTGGGATAAGGTGTGAGGTAGGGTTCACATTCTTTTCAATGTCCTCACTTTCCCAAAATAACATTTGTTGATTAATTCATCTGGCCTCATGAATTTGCAATGTCATATAAAAAAATACTACTTTTCTGTGTGTTTGAGTCTGTTTCTGGAGGAGAGGATCATGCTTTGGTCACTATGCCCTTCTAATCACTACGGCTTTATGATGTGGTTTTGTATGTGAGCAATGTACACTGCCATTATGTTCGTATGGTATGTTCATTTCAGTTCAGTGGACTTGAAATACTGCTTTTTATCTTGCTAGTTAGAGAGATTTTTGAGTAGTTCACTAGGTGACAACCTGCCGTTTTCTAAGTACGAGACTAGTCAACAGTTGGTTATTAAAGCAGAAAATACTGCTATTTTTATTTCAAATGTATCCCTTTTTCTATAGCTTTTAATAAAACATGTGTTTAAGCATTATTTTTGTATAAATTCTGTTCTTAATTTTTTATCACTTTGGGTTGTTGGCATTGGTACCAAAGCTGTATAGTATACACCACTGTGCTGTTTTCTTGATCATTGCTGGCTGACTCTTTGGAGAAAGGAACCATTGTTTTTTTATTTTATTTTATTTTTTTAATTGTGGGATACTGCCTCACTTAAATTAGAAGGAAGTATCAGGAAGACTTTATCTCCTGGAAGCAAAGCAGATGTTCAATAAAATTTTCTTAGCTTCCCAGGGCCTCCCAGTCACAGGAAAAAGACACAACTTCAAAATCTCCCTTAGTTTTTTTTTGAGATGGAGTCTCACTCTGTTGCTCAGGCTGGAGTGCAAGGGTGCAATCTCGGCTCACTGCAACCTCCACCTCCCGGATTCAAGGGATTCTCATGCCTCAGTTCCCCAAGTAGCTGGGACTACACGTGTGCACTACCATGCCCAGCTAATTTTTGTATTTTTTTTAAATTTTATTATTATTATACTTTAAGTTTTAGGGTACATGTGCACAATGTGCAGGTTAGTTACATATGTATACATGTGCCATGCTGGTGTGCTGCACCCATTAACTCGTCATTTAGCATTAGGTATATCTCCTAATGCTATCCCTCCCTGCTCCCCCACCCCACAACAGTCCCCAGTGATGTTGTATTTTTAGTAGAGACACGGTTTCACCATGTTGGCCAGGCTGGTCTCAAACTCCTGACCTCAGGTGATCTGCCTGCTTTGGACTCCTAAAGTGCTGGGATTACAGGTGTGAGCCACCGTGCCCAGCCCTCCCTTAGAATTTTTACTATAACTATCTTTTGGCCAGCTTTTAGGGGTATGTGTACATCACCTTTGTTCTTTTCCACCTTTTTTCTTTTAGTTTTTCTTTTTTTTTTTTCTGGTCTCATCTCACTCCCACTCTCTGGCCATTAGCCATTTCACTGCGTCATTTCTGAGAAAACTGTCTCAGCCATCTCAGAAAAGCAGTTCTGACTGTTATGAAGCAAACAAAAATAACAGAGCAAGAAGTGAATGTGGGACGTTATTTTGGTTCTGTGATGTCATCAGTCAATCACAATTCAACTTTCCAAATGTTGTTTGCAGGTCTGTTTAAGATTGTGGTATTTTAACTGGTTGGCTTCTGTATGATGTTTGAGAATGATTAATTCTCAAAATAGTTTTTCCCTACTGAAAAGTAGCTGACTTAAAAGAAACATGTTTCAAAGCTGAATGGAAGTCATCATTAACTGGCCTAAATGCAGGTCAGATGGGTTCCTAAGGGAAAGAGCATCCTTTGGTCCTTCTTCTCTCTTTGAAACTTGAAGAGGTAACTGTTCAATGCATACATGGCTTCCACCTCTAATTAGTAGTTTTGCTGAACAAGTGCTGGATTATCAAGAACCTAACCAACCAACTCCGAAGAATACAGAATGTTTTAGAATTTAACTTTCATCAGAACAACTTTTTCAGTCCTTAGCAAAGTAGTTAACTCTTTTGAAATGAAAAAACGTGGGTAAATGTCAGAGAGCTGAAAAACGATTCATGTCATTACTAAAACATTCACATTCAAATAATACCAATGCCGACCAAATTCTAGTGAATTCTGTAATGATCGCATTATCAGGTAAAATGTGGAGGCTGGTGTTTACAAGCCATGTCTTGCAATAAATATAGCAAATGCAGGGAACCAGAAAAGTCATTCTTCTGTGGTCATTTGTAATCTACTTATAAGAAGGAAGGAAGAATGGGGGTAGGGCGGAGTTGTAGCATTCAGCAGAATTGCCCTAAAGTATCTAAAGTATGAAACTAAAAGCCTGAATGATTGATTGTGGGAAGATTTCAGTAAATGATACTCAAATTAAAACATTAGGTGAGTGACTTTAAGAAAATTACATTGCCACATGCAATTTATTCACTGAAAAGGAACTTTTAAAATAGGATGAATAATACAAAAAAATCCGGAGATCTAGTTAGAGAATACAAGCTTTTCTTTTCTTTCTCCTCTTTCCCCCCCACCCCCAGCTTCTAAATTGAACACCTGTCAGATTTTTTTTTCCCTTTCATTTATTTGACTTGTCAGAGAAAAAAGGTCAGACTGATCACCAGCTCTACTTTTTAACAGACAGAAGCCTGTAATTGAGAGTAATTCCTCTGCAATTTTGTAGGCAGGGGCTGTCTCATGCTTGCTTTCAAAAGCTAGGTGAGGAGAGAAATGCTGGTGTTCTCTAAGTGAATCAACTTTATTCACCGGGCTGCAGATCATTTCTGATTTTTACTGAAGTGCAGAAAGCTACAGTGCTCATATTAGTGTCCTTCTTTTAGATGAATAGAAGTGTAATCTATTTTTAACTTCTACTGGGGTGCCCTGCGGCTAAAAAAAAAATTGCTTTGTGAGAGGCAGCTCAGAAATGTCTCATTTTGAAATTCTGCATTCTTAAGAATACAAGGTGGCTTACTATTTTTTCTTTCTTTGAGAAGTTTCCATCCTTGCTCAAGATTTCACTTGAGATGGAAATTGTGCATGTTTGTCTTTAATAGAAATAGATTCAATGTTTGTCATCATGGTGTGATATATATTATGATGCAATGTAAAGAAGTTTGGAAAAGCTGAATTAATTTCTTTATAAAAATAGTTACTGTCAAAATTTGAAGGATGAAATGAAGGCACTCCTTAACTCATATGAAACTTCACAAAATCTGTGTCCAAAGCTTTCACTACTCATTAATGGTTTCTTGTTTGAGGCAAGACCCAGAGAAAAAGGAATCATTCAGCGGAAAGCATACACACATTGAATCCAATTTAAACTCTTGGTTGTGTATAATTTTACAAAATACAGTCACTTTTTCAACTAAAAAATAAAGCCAAAATATCATAATATGTGATAGAAGCATGTCAGCATCTACGGTGTGATCTATTTATTTTACCAAGTACAAAAGTGAGGTGGAATAACAGAAAGCTGGGACATAAGTTGAAAATGTCTAATTTTGAAGGAACTGAATTCTGTTTGCCTTTAATGTAATAATGGTAAAAAAAAAAAAAAAAAAAAGAAAGAAACTGTCAAGATCCCTGAGTTCATAGACACCTGTTAGAGTCTGACATTCAATGGATTGTACTATGTTGAAATCAGAAAACAGTGCTGACAAAAGGTGTAGATGGTCCAAGTCATATCATTAGTTATGGAAAATGTGCTTGGAATCTATGATGCTCTGTGTAATACAGGTGCATCATTTTGAAAATGTATGGGGTAATTTCAGAGGTCACTTTGATAAACCTTGCCTTTTTCATTATTGTCATCTAATAACCATTCATCCTAGAACCATAATATATAAAAATCCCCACATAAATAGGTAGAATTGTAATTTTTTAAAAGCACAATTTTAACCATAAAACAGAGGAGTGATTACCAGCTATGATCAGTAAGGCTGAATTATATCATACTTAGAAGAGAGAGATGCAAATGAATGAATTAAATTAGGAGCACAATTCTCTTCTTAAATCAGCATCTTTGACTGTCAGAACCTGGACTAGAGTGCATTATTCTTAATAGACTGTGATTTGTATTGAAATAGGACAATAAATCTGTTTATTGAAATTTATTTGCTGCTTGTTGTTCAGTTTTTCTGGCTTTGTGCAGGAGCAGGGTGAATGTAATAGGCAGGGCTGGTGATTCAGCAGAATGCCATTTTTGTAAGTGATCACCCACTCTCTAGATTGAAGACTCATTAACACAAAGATAGGATCAAATATTCTGCATTCACTGCTTTACATTGCGTGTTTCACAGGAAACCCGTGAAGGCTTCCGAGGGCACCAGCAATGGAACAATCCAAGAGTTTCCCTCCATGGCCTAATTTAAAAACTGCATTTATACTTCGGTCCTCAGAGGACAACTTCTCTTCTAAACTTCAGCCTCATCCACTTCAATTCTGTATTACGTGTGGTAACTTCATTTGTCTTTTTTCTCACTTTTATTTTGTGAAGCCAATTTAATGACAGGCTTGTGATGTGTTGATTGCAGTTTGACATTAGGGGGTTTCACATTTTGCACGCTGACTCCAGTGAGAGGCTTGTATTTTGTGTTCCCTGGCCATCATGGGTAAACACACAGAAGAAGAATGAAAATGAATCACAATGTATACCATTTGATCCCCCACAGGACCCTCTGAAAGAAAGGTTGCTTTGACCTTGTCTTGGTTTGCATATTTTAAGTAAGCTCTAATCACGAGCTATTTCAGTTTTGATAAAATAGGCCTCAACACTCTACGGGCATGAACTGGTAAAATACAAAATAATCACAAAGCTTTAATAAGAAATACACATCAGTGGGAGCTAGAGTAGAAAGCTCCCATTTGAATTTAAATATCTTATGCCTCCTAATTTGAGGGAGTGTAGAACATAGGAAGAAAATGAAAAGATGGTGGTATTTGTTAAAAAAAAAAACAAATACAATAAAAACATCCATCTACAAAGTTTGCGGGCATGGCACTTTCCATCCTTTTTACAGCTCTTCTGCTCTAATTTCTCTTTCCCAACCTTAGCTTTATCAATCTAACACTGTCTTTCCTTGTTACTAGAGCTAATGAGGCCCGTCTATACTCACAGAGGATTAATCAGTGATTATAAACCATTTAGGAGATGCAGGGTGTTCTGTACGCAGCCCACCTCCGTTATGACTGTGTAACATTCTTGGTTTGACCTACATACACAGTAGTGATGACATTGCCCTGCCACTGTCAAGTTGCTCTTGGCTTCAAGTTAAACCTTCCTGTTTTCTTGGATTTTCGAAAATGCTGAGCCTTTTTGAAAAACAGTTGACTAACTCACACAAATTCAGTCAACCTTTGACAAGGGCACAAAAGTGACTACATGGAGAAAGGATAACTTTTCAACAAATGGTGGTAGAACAGTTGAACATCCACTGTAAAAATATGAACTTAAGCAAAGACCTTGCATATGTCACAAAAAAACTCAAATGAATAATAGACCTAAATGTGAAATGCAAAAGTATAAAATCTAGAAAAAAATCTGGGATCTTGTATTTGGTAATGTGTTAGTAGGTATATACACCACCAAAAACATAATGCATGAAAAAAATCGTAAGTTACACTTAATTAAAATGAAAACTTAAGCTATGCAAAAGACACTATGAAGAAAAAAGCCAAGCCAGAGTCTGGGAGAACACAAAATACAAATCTGATAAAGGACTTGTATCCATAATATAGAAAGAACCCTTACAACTCAACAGTAAGAAAACAAAACAAGCTAATTTTAAAAATGATCAAAAGATCTGAATACATAGCTCACTAAAGATGTGCAGATGGAAAACGTACATATGAAAAGATGTTCAACGTCACATGTTGGTAGAGAGTTGCAAATTAGTACAAGATGATACTATCACACAGCCACTGGTGTGTGACAATACCATTAATAGGGAGGATGTAGAGCAAATACCAAATACCAAAAACTGACAATACCATTAATAGGGAGGATGTAGAGCAACAAGGACTCTCATACATTGCTTATGAGAATGTAAAATAGCACAGGCGCTTTGAAAGACAGTTTTGCAGTTTCCTACAAAGTTAAACATAGTTTTACCATACAATCCAGCAGTCATATACCTAGGTATTTACCCAACTGATATGAAAACTTATGAAATTAGAAAACCCTGCACTGGAATGTTTGTCTCAGCTTTATTCATAATTCCCCAAACTGGAAACAACCAAAATGTCCTTCAATAAGTGAATGAATAAACAAGCTCTGTTACATCTGTAGAATGGAACATTACTCAGCAATAAAAAGGAATGAACTATACATAGAAACATGGATGAATAGTAAATGTATATTGCTAAGGAAAGAAGCTAGTCTGAAAAGGCTATCTACTGCATGATGCAACTTTATTAACTTTCTGGTAAAGACAAAACCATGGAGATGGTAAACAAATCATTGTTACTGAAGGTTCTGGGGTGAGGTTTAATAGGTGAAACATGCGATTTTTTTTTTTCCCCACACCATGAAACTATTCAATTTGACGCTGTAAATGGTGGATACCTGACATTCTGCATTTACTAAAACCAGGGTACATTTCTGCTTCACGAATAAACCGTGGGAGCAACAAATACACCTAACACCCAGATCTTTGTTTCTAATTCCATTTCCCAATAAAAGAAACCAAGGTTCTTTGGAGAAATGGCAAATTCTGGGACTTCAGCAAGAAATATACATGATGAGCCTGGAGCACGTTATAGTGCCAAGAAGTAAGACAGTGCTCAGAAAACACAACAAAATAAATCACAATAATGGGAGTGTGTTAAAGGGACATAGGAGCCAACTCAAGGAGTTCCCAAGCGCCAAAGATGGGTCGCTTCGAACAGCAGAATAAACACTATTGAATTATAACCCAAAATATAAAAAAAGATTTGAATAAATAGGGATGGAAATAAATGATTGAATAAACAAATAAATGAGGTAGAATTGAAAAATCTGTTTAGCAGAATTCCGGATAGTTCTCATAAATACTGCAAGGAGCTGGAGCCTAGCTCTCACATCTTAAATGTCGGCCACACGTGGTTTCTTGTCCAAAGTGTACAGCTTAAAAAGGAGGAAAAAAGAGTAACTTCAGAATGCAAAAATTGAATAAACAATACTTCAACCAGTGATCAAGGTTAACATCATCGGTGATAAGTCATGTTGATAATATGGACGTTGCTATGATGTGATGAGTATGGCACTTTATCTTTGTGGTGTTCCTCCCAAAAAACCATAGACATAGTGCAATCATGAGAAAGACATCAGACAAACCTTAACTGAGGGACTTCAGCAACATACTTGCCTCAGTACTATTAAGGTCATAAGAAACAGTAAAGGTCTCATAAACTGTCACAACTAAGAAAAGTCTTAAGCAACATAAGTTATGTTAATATGGTATCTTGGATGGGGTCCTGGAGTAGAAAAAGCATATTAGATTGAAAACTAAGGAAATCCCAATAAAATAGAGGCTTTTGTTAATAGTAATGTCTCAGAGGCCAGGCATGGTAGCTCACACCAAGAGTCTGAGACCAGTCTGGGAAGCATAGTAAGAGTTGGTCTCTACCAAAAAATAAAAAACAAATTAGGTGTGATAATGCCCGGTAATCCGAGTTACTCAGGAGGCTGAGGCAGGAGAATCACTTGAGCCCAGGAGTTTGAGGCTGCAGTGAGCTCTGATCACGTCACTGTACTCCAGCTTGAGTGGCAAAGACCCTGACTCAAAAAAAAAAACGAAAAATAAATTAATATAAATAATAATTTATGAATGCTAGTTCAGTGATTGTAACAACTCTATCATATATGGAAGTTGCTAATAATAGTGGAAACTAGGTGTGGCATATATGGGAACTCTGAACTCTTTATAATTTTTCTGTAGATTTAAAACTAGTCTAAAATTAAAAAGTAAAAACGTTAACGCTGTTGACTGTCATCAGGATCTGGGCCACAGTAGGAAATATTTTTTCTTAGTAAAAGTTACTGGCCCTAATAGAGATTGGACACAGTTGGTCTTGGTTTTAAAGGGATTCTGGGGAGGCAAGAGGGTGTCGGCATCACTTAATCAGTTTCCTTGATTGACTTGGCATTGTCAAGTTTTGAAAAGAGTGTGACATGGCACACTTGAGCCTGTGGTGTGATTTTTTGAAGTACCCAGAATGTCTGTGGAACCTCTGGTCAAGTCTGTGGAGCTTCTAAGTGTGTCTGATTGAGGGACACTGTCAGTCAAACTTGTTAGTCACGGTGTTGACTTCAAATTGAACAAAACACTTTCAAAACAATCCTCCATCATACCACTTTTATTTTTTTGTTTGTTTGTTTATTTGTTTCTTTGTTTGAGACAGAGTCTCACTCTGTTGCCCAGATTTGAGTGCACTGGTGTGATTTCAGCTCACTGCAACCTCTGCCTCCTGGGTTCAAGTGATTCTCCTGCCTAAGCCTCCCAAGTAGCTGGGATTACAGGCATGCACCACCACACCTAGCTAATTTTTGTATTTTTAGTAGAGATGGATTTTCACCATGTCGGCTAGGATGTTCTCAAACTCCTGACCTCAAGTGATGTGCACGCCTCGGCCTCCCAAAGTGCTGGGATTGCAGGTGTGAGCCACCGTGCCTGGCCAGCTCCTCTGACCACTTTTTCAAGATATTTTACCTGTTTGAATTGAAGGTGATACTTTATTCAGAAGATGTCAGAGAGAAAGAACTACATATCCTTTTTATTCTTTCAGGAAATGGGCAGAGGGGGAGTTGTCATGGACAGAATATCTTTTAAAGGAGTGGAACCCTCCATTGTTTTTTCTTTTTTTTCTTTTTTTTTTTTTAACCCTCCATTATTTTTTGACTTTGTTTTTCTGCTTTTTACACACTGCCCCCGACTGGCAGCATTTATAGAGAATAAAAGGAGGAACTAACAACTCATTTGGACAAGTATTGATTGATTGATTGATTGATCAAGACAGGGTCTCACTCTGTCACCCAGGCTGCAGTGCAGTGGTGCCATCATAGCTCACTGCAGTGTCAAGCTCCCAGGCTCAAGTGATCCTCCTACCTCAGCCTCCCAAGTAGCTGGGACTACAGGTTTGTGCTGCTGTGCCTGACTTTTTTGTTGTTATATTTTTTTGTAGAGACAGGAACTTGCCATGTTGCCCAGGCTGGTCTCAAAACTCTGGGGCTCAAGCTGTCTGCCTGCCTCAGCCTCCCAAAGTGCTAGGATTACAGGTGTCAGCCACTGTGCCCACTGGGCCTCTGAGCAAAATTTAAAATGAAAGGAAACTAACCAAGATTTTGCCTAGTGACTAGATGCAACCTAATATGAAGGAGAGCGTCTGCTGCCATGTTTTGTGCTACTTAAAGATGCTAATAGGCAGTGCTCTCACCAAATCATGGAATCATTGATATTTGGTTTATTGTGAGAACAGTTGATGCTGCCTTGTTGAGGTAGGAGGCCTGTAGGATTTGTTTTCAGGTCATGGTCCCACTAATAGAAGCAGGATTTAGTCAATCCCGTTTTCAGATGCAGTGAAGAAGCCAGCCAAAACTACCAGGTGGGGAGGAAAGCAACCTCTAGTTGCCTTCATTGCTCATTAGCATAAAGACACTCCCATTGGCGCCAGGACAGTTTACAAGTGCCATGGCAACAGCCTAGAAGTTATCTCATATCGTTCTGAAAACCCTCTGCCCCTTTTTCAGAAAGTTCTGCATAACCTGCCTCTTACTTAGCATATAATTAAAAGTCCCCACCAGGGATTTTGTGATCCCATTTATCTAGGCTGTTGCATATTTCGGATTTGTTTTTCAGAGCATCATGCATAAGGTGATTGCTATGATGTATCACAGGTAGAGATATATATAGGAGGGTGTACCTCCATTTCTTTTGGAGTCAGACATGTAACAACTTAATAAATGCTAAAATATGAAGGATATAACTGTCAGAATGAGATAATGTGACAATATCTTGAAGGCTATAAAGAGCTATGGAAATGAAAATTAAAGTCAATAAATGCAAAAGAAATGCATTGAGCTTTTCACTTTGTGAGACCAGATCACAAATCTGTATGAAGATTTTCAATTTTAATTATTACCAAGAGGCTTTGTGCTTATTAAACATGTCTTTACTAACAACCTAAACTCTACTCTGGTCTTCTGTTGATGCCAGTGGTAATAGGGGGTGCTTCTGACATTAGACCAGGCCATGAATCCTAGCCTATAGCTATATATCCTTGGGAAATTCCTTTACCTTTTTGAACCTAGATGTTCCCATCTGTAAAATGAGGATAATCTGTAATCTGGGGTCAGGCACTGTGGCTCACACCTGTAATCCCAGCACTTTGGGAGGCCGAGGTGGGCAGATCACTTGAGGTCAGGAGTTCGAGACCAGCCTGGCCAACATGGTGGAACACCGTATCTACTAAAAACATAAAAACTAGCCAGATGTGGTGGTGGGCACCTGTAATCCCAGCTACTTGGGAGGCTGAGGTGGGAGAATCGCTTGAACCCAGGAGGCAGAGGTTGTAGTGAGCCAAGATTGTACCACTGCACTCCAGCCTGGTGACAGAGTGAGACTCAGTCTCAAAAAAAAAAAAAAAAAAATTAAAAAAATTTGTAATCTGTGTAATGATTGTAGAGAGTAATAGTAATATTCCTGGTGCAACTTTATTTTGTTACTTCTCATAGCTGGTTGGTAAATGGTACCATCAATGTGGCAGTTTAACTCATGGTACTTTAAAGAGACTGTAATTTTTCCTACTCACCTTCATTTTAAAATAGAAAATTTAAAAATATCCAGATTATCAAATATAAGTAAATGCTTACTTAGTTTGTTTAAAATATGTGCAGTGTTTTAAATTTTGTGAGTACTGTACAAGTTAAATAAGATCAAAGTACTTGATTCTTTAATCTTGCAATCCAGTAATTTAGAGATGGTGAAAATTCTGTTTGGTTCTTCCAGATACAGATTAAAATTCCAAAATTTAAATATGGCATTTTATTTAGATTCTGAAAGATAAATGCTTATCTGTGAAAAAGCATCAACGTCAAATTATAAAGGAAGACCTCCATACGTTTTTACAACATATGCCCTGTTTTTCTAACAGAGAATTAAAATATAAAATGTACATTTTATATTCTGAATGCCTAAGACAAACAAAGAGCTAAAATATTTTTTAAAATGAAGCTGTTAGAAACAGTACTTCAGGATATTTCTTGAAGACTAGAAAAATAGTCTTTGGCAGATCCAGTCTCTGCTCGATTTTGTCTCCATGAAAATTCCTTCAGCTTTCTTTTCATTTCTTTCAGGGACTGGGATTGGGATGAGGGTGAAGTGTGGAACAGCAGGTGGCCCTTAATTCTGACAAACCCAAACCATCCTGTTATGTTTTAATGATGCTGTTGCAGGTGTGAAGTTTTTCTCTTTCTCCTTTTTATAACTTCAGCATAAGCACAAGTTGGGTTATTTTTGTTGCAACAGCACGGTATATTTTTTCTACTTTTCATTTAAAACTTGACTCACTTTGCTGCCCGTGATCTTCCTAGTTAAAAATCACTTCAGCATTATCTCATAAATTTTCCATTGACGAGCTTGTGTGCTTTTTGTCAAGTCTTTGTATAAGCTGTTTTGGTGGCCTAAACACCACTGCTCTCCATGCTCTCCAGAGGCTGCTTGTCCCAGTTTGTGTGGTTACAGCTGTGTAATTTCCATTGGCCATATTTACATTACATAAATATATTACATATAGTCCCCGTGGAGGATTGCCTCCAAGGTTGGGCTCTAATTCCTCAGAGAATTTAGAATTGTCATTCAGATTCCATCTTGAATCTATTTGACCTCACATATGAGGAGAGAGCAATACTGGGGAATTAATGGTAGCTGTTTCCTTTCATGTAGCATGCAGAACGAAGAGAACCCGTTTAGAGAGACCAAGATGTCAGGAAGAAATGAAAGATGGCCTAGCTTTTCCTTAGTGTTCTAGACCAGGGTTCTAGCTGGGGCCAGATGCCTGTTTTCATGACCTTGGATTTCTTAAACCTGAAGGAACCTATTTTTTTTTTTACACACTTACAACCTACAGAAACATGTATTATAACCTAATATTTGAGGTCCTGTAGCTAGGTAGTTGAATTTCTTATAAGTTTTCCTGTCTTGGCAGAAAGACCCTGTTCTTAAAAAAAAATGGCACATCCTCCAAAAATCCCATGTTGATTTAATTTGGCATATTCTCACAAAGGGAAGGTCACGGAACAAGTTCCATTTCCATTTTAATGGTTTAATTTCATTATACTAAGCAGACAACTGGAAACAGAAGGAAACCATTAACAATATTGTGATGTCACACAGGACAGATATTTCAAAATGGTTTTGCTTTATAGAAGTATGCATAGTGTGAAAAGATTACACCACTGTGATATAGGGGAAAGGGCACAGGCCTTTCAAATCCCTGCCCTGCCGTCTCTTAACTCTGGGACCGTGAGTGGGCTGTGTGGCATCTATGAACTTTGGTTTTCTCTTCTGCATAAAAGAGAATAATGATACCTACTAGAGAATTGTTGCGGTGATTTACTGAGACTGAAATGCGCCTAATGGAATGCGGCCACGTGGTAGGTAGCAATAAATACCATTCTTTTCTCACTTCTTTTGCTGCCCATGAAAAGCTAATTCTGAGGAATCTTTAATCCTTTTTACTATCTTTTTACAAACCTACTGTATGTTAAGAGTCTTATAGTGTAATTAAGGGGCCCCTCAGTATTTCTTGAAGTATATTTTATAGGGCTCTGAATATGAGATGGTAATACGTATTTTATATAAAGAACAAAGGGAAAATCGTCCCCAAGCTAAAACGCTTTAGGAGAATACAGAGGGCAATATCAGATTTCTTTACTGCAGAACTTCTCAGGGTCTTTAATATGCTCATACCATGGTATATTTCTAGGAATACAGTTTAGTTTTCAGAATTTCCCTACCTTATTTGATCTGTGAAAGTCTTTCTTCAATATATATCACATGGGATCAGATTGCTGAGGAAGAGCTAATGGACGAAAAACAACGTAGTTTAAATAGTGAGTAAAGTGTTAGTATTATTTAAATCTTAGAGTTGATGAAGTGAATCTGACTTGACATATCTGTGCTTTTTCTTTCTCCCTCCCCCCACCGCCACCAACAGAGTCTTGCTGTGTCGTCCAGGCTGGAGTGCAGTGGTATGATCTTGGCTCACTGCAACCTCTGCCTCCAGGGTTCAAGTGATTCTGCTGCCTCAGTCTCCTGAGTAGCTGGGACTACAGGTGTGCGCCACAACACCCAGGTAATTTTTGTATTTTTATTACAGAAAGGGTTCACCATGTTGGCCAGGCTGGTCTCGAACTCCCGACCTGAGGTGATCCGCCCGCCTCAGCCTCCCAAAGTGCTGGGATTACAGGTGTGAGCCATTGTGTCTGCCTTATCTGCGCTTCTTTATAATAATGATAGTTTTCCCTTGCTAACCCATTTGGGAAGTTAACATTTGTGAAATAAAAAGATGGGGCTTGGCCATAGGTCATGTGCACTGAAGAAGCCCATGGGGATTGGAAGTTGACTTGGCTCTCTGGCACTAAATAGCCAGCTATCCTCCTCAGTTCTTCTGAATACCTCCTGAACAGAAATTTCTTCTTTCAGTGTTTTATATAATAGCTAATCAGGACACTTCATATTAACGTTAAATTCTAGTGCTGCCAGGTATGAAACCAATCTTGTCTCACTTTCCCGTAGCTAGGACTCTCAGCATTGAGTCACACTATTAACTTTCTTTTGTGATTGTAATCCTATGTGGCATACCAGCAACTCAAAATACTTTGGGACTTGAAGTACATTATCTCCTCTCAGATTCACAGCACTGACCCAGTCCAGCCTATACCAAAATGTGATTGTGACAAAGCAAAGGAAATGACAGTATTTTAGTGGGAATCCTTTTCAGAGAAAAAGAAGTCTTGATGGAGTGAGAACTCTTTAGCTGAACCTGAAAGGTAGATGATCATATCACTAGGTTTGGCATAATTATATCTCAGCTGACATTGCTAAATGCACAGTAAAAGTAATACCATAGGAGGTGATTCAAAAATCACTAATCTCAGAGTGCAAAACAATGGTGCTAAAGCTGCCACTTTCAATAAACACCTTTCTCCATGGTGTATTACAAAATGGAATTTGTCTGTTTCCCCATCCCAGTAAGCCTCTTCTGTTTTGACCTACTTCTATGCGAAGGGACTATAGTTAGAATCATTCCTTTTACCTCACTTGTTTTTTATTTTTAATTGGAAACTTTAGTGTTAGGGAGAAACTGATCATAAGACGAGTTACCAATACCTTTGTGAATGCCTTTAGTTTTTTTCATAGCCAGTTGTGCTAGTACTTTTGCCTGGCAGTTTCATTTTTTCTGGATTAAGTAACTGACTATCAAATTCTAGGTCAAGTTCAACTTCTTCTAGCTTTTTTTTTTTTTTAACCTTGGCTTATTGTATTATTTCCCTGACCCTCTCTCTCCTTCCCCTCCTTATTATTTATTTTAATGGCAGGTATTTATTTTTATGGGCAGCATTTGTTGTTCCTGGGAAGCATGTGTGTAATTTGTGGTTTTGTACATAAATTCACAAAGGTCTTTGCTAACTGCTTGGGCATGCTCTTTCGCACAGATTTTTCATCATTTTCACCCTGGGAGCATCCAGTCTCCCTATGAGCATTTTTTTTTCTCCCACAATTTTATGTTGTATTTTTTCTTCCTGTTTCTGGTCTTCCTCTTTGGATTTCTGGCCTTTCTCCTTGCTTTGCCCTCCTTGGTTTCTTTCCATGATCCTTTTCCCTGAGTTAGAGGAATTGGAGAAAACATTAAGTAGCCAAAAGGGTTTCATATTTCCAAGCAACGGATTTTATGGCTCGATAGCCAAAGGCTAGAGCAGGACTTCCATCGGCTCATGATTGACGCAGCTCTTTTCATTAAACCAGCTTCCTCCTCGTGCTAAATCTCTCTGGTAACATTTGCCAATACTCAGCTTTGTAAGATGGAAAGCTCCTAGGAAGGCCTGACTCTCCAAGTCTTTGGGACATTTCAGCCCTCGATGAGCTTTTTTACTTACCTGACTTGTGTTTTTCCACTTTGTTCCATCTCTACCCCACCTACCTAGGTGTTTGTCCGTTTCCATATGGCAGTTGCCAGGTGTTTGTTTATATATCACACAGCCTTAAAGTTTGAGAAGTATGCCTGTACTACACATGCTTAAAGCTATTTTGATTGCCCTTATGAAATGCAGGTAAACTATGCTAGAGAGTATTTCTATATTCTTTACTAATTAATATCTGATAGAGTTGCTCTAATATAGTAGCTACTAGTATGTGGCTTTTGTTGTTGTTGTTGTTGTTTTGAGATGGAGTCTCACTCTGTCACCCAGGCTGGAGTGCAGTGGTACGAGCTCAGCTCTCTGCAACCTTTGCCTCCTGGGTTCAAGCAATTCTCCTGCCTCAGCCTCCTGAGTAGCTGGGATTACAGGCACATACCAACATGCCCGGCTAATTTTTGTATTTTTAGTAGAGACGGGGTTTCGCCATGTTGGCCAGGCTGGTCTCTAACTCCTGACTCAGGTGATCCACCTTCCTTGGCCTCCCAAAGTGCTGACATTACAGGCGTGAGCCACCACACCTGGCCACATGTGGCTATTTAAATTTAACTTTGAGTTTAATTAACTCAATGATATTTAAAACTCGTCTTTCAGCTACATTAGCCCCGTTTCAAATGCTCAGTAAATATATGTGGTTAGTGGCCACCATATTGGACAGAACAGATCTGGAACAGTTCTATTATCACAGGAAGTTCTATTAGAGTGTGCTACTTCAGACTGAGTCATGGTTTCTATGGGTTGTACTAGGGTAGTTAACAGTAATGAAACCCACTGTCTTCTGCTTATATCAAGTATGCTGTTAATAGCATTGAGTTTTAAAATGCTTCAGCTTCTAACTTGGTGAACGATTTGTTGGTGATATCCTAATTTTTAGAGGAGGTAGAGGTGTTCTTGTTGCCCTTCTGAAAAACTGTGCATTTCTCATTTTATTGTCCATTGTAGAATATGTGTATAAATGTGCACAGCTTTTATCTTCTATCTTACCTCTCCTTTCTGAAGTATGCATTGTAACTTTGCTCGTATTGCCATTTAGACTTCCCAAAGAGTCATTATGTTGAGTAAAAATAATTTAGTCTTTTCTTTTTGTTTGGCTTAACTTTTCTTCCCTCCTACCCTATATCTTTTGTCTTCCAAGATATTATAACTAGGAAGAGTTAGCATATATAATTATGCTATTATCTCAGACCCTGAGATACCCTGTAGGACAGATTCACAACAGAGTCATCATTTCCAGGCTAATAGCAGGGGGTTCACCCTATTCAGCATTCCACATTTTCCTCTGTAGGCACTCACATTAGTTTTATATTTTAGGTAGCAATATGTGTAGTTTAGCTTTGTGCAAACATATTAGGAGTAGACATTCAGTGTACTGTGTCCTGGTTATCTAGATTCTAAAGCTTCATTTTATAAAAATCCAGCTCTGTGGGGAAAGAGGGGTGTTTTATTAACATGCGGCATTAACACTGCTGGGCTCTGTGGATAGGTTGACATAGTGTCATCGTCACAGAAGATAAAATTCGAAGGAGCATTTGTGGAGAGCATGCAGTGGATATTAGAACAATATCTCAGGATTTTATGGTGGTTTAATCATTATCCACCCCTATCCTTTCGTTCACACAGTCAACCTATATTTTTTAAAATTCACTACGTGCCAGGCACTGTGTTAACTGCTGTAGTGACTCAAATGTATGATTGCATTTATATGAGATATCCAGAATAAGTAAATCCATAGAGACAGAAAGCACGTTGGTCATTTCTAGGGGCTGGGGAAAAAGAAAATAAGAAATAACTGCTGAGTGGGCATGGCGTTTTATTTTAGGATGATGAAAATGCTTTGGAACTAGATAGACATAATTGTGCAATATTATGAATTGATATTAATAAATGCCACTGAGTGGTTTATTTTAAATGGTTAATTTTATATTATGTGAAATTTATCTGAGCTTGAAAAAAAAAAGCATGGACCTTGAAAGCAAATAGATTTATAATCAGGTTCCAACTTGACTTCTCATTAGCCATGTGATTTTGGCCAAATTATATTTTCTCTCTGAACTTCTGTTTTGTAACACTAGTATAAAAATAATAGACTTTTTTTCCAGTTAGAAAGGCCAACAGTGTTAATTAGTTTTCAGGGAAATATAAGATGCATATAAACATAAACAAAATATAAAACAAAACAATCAAAATCTTACAGTCCAGGAGCATATCAAGACAGAGCATTTTTTGCAGACACAAGAGTACTATCAAAGGGAAAAATGATACCTGGAAAGTAAAAGGCCAAGGGGCTTGGGTGGGTCCCTTACCCAAGGACACTGCATTTTTGTGGTGTAGCCATAAGATTTTTTTTTCTTTTTAAAAAGCACTTCAGTCTTAAAAATATTAGAAACAGGCCAGGCACGGTGGCTCACGCCTGTAATCCCAGCACTTCGGGAGGCTGAGGCGGGCGGATCAGGAGGTCAAGAGATGGAGACCATCCTGGCCAACATGGTGAAACTGTCTCTACTAAAAATACAAAAATTAGCTGGGCGTGGTGGCAGATGCCTGCAATCCCAGCTACTCGGGAGGCTGAAGCAGGAGAATCACTTGAACCCAGGAGGCGGAGGTTGCAGTGAACCAAGATCGCGCCACTGCACTCCAGCCTAGCGACAGAGTGAGACTCGATCTCAAAAAAAAAAAAAAACATATATATATATATATATATATATATATATATTAGAAACATGGAGATAGTTTAGCACCACCATTGATCCTGAAAATATTTTAGCACCCACAGTGACTGCACTGAATTTAATGTCCTTTTCTCGATTTTCTCTGCTGAGGGAGAAAGAGGGAAAACCCAGAGAAAGGGCTCCTCCTGACCCCACAGAGTCCACTGAGAACTGAGACCAGTTGAGCAGACAGCGTGAGGAATTCTCCAAAATTCTGCAGCCCCGGAAACATCCACCATTTCATGCTTCGTTGATCTCCACTCCTGCCTAGGCCTCACCTTCCCACAGACCTCTCAGGACCTGGCAGGGAAACCCATTTGTCATCCTGTGTCCTGGATTTAAGGACAAGCTGTTGCAGAGAAAAGGTTGTACATTTAAGGATGGTGGCTGTTCATACTTTTTTTCTCTGAAATAAACTCCTAAGAGCAGTATGCCTTGGTTATAAGCCACTAAAAAATGGAAAGCTGCATCCATGGATGAACATTCACTTTACCCAGTCTAATTCATACCAGGGTGGCTGACTCAGAAAACTGCACTACCACAAGTATCATTAGAGATACTTGAGATTCACTGGTGAATAGAAGGCCAAGTGAGGTTGCCTTCTTCCCAGGTGTGCCTGATGGATGGAATCTGGACCCTAAGATACCAGTCTGGGAATGGTGGGTCCCTGCTGCATAATCCATCATGATCTTTCAACCTGAGAGGCTAGCTTTGGATGGGACAGTCTGTTTAAGGTTGTAGCTGATTTTAGTGTGGAAATGGACAGAAAGTAGTTGGTCCAATGCCGTGCTCATAGTAAGTCTTCAGCAAATTTCAGCTGCTGTAATCATGATTTATAATTGCTTTTCAGATACCATGATGAAATAAAATAATGGTATATACATACAGAATGGAGATAGGGGGAATGTGTTTTATTCGTTACCCATATCATACAGTAAGATGTAGGTGAAGCAAGCAGAATATGTGGTAGCAATCTTTATATCACTTCTACTGAAATGTTAGATACAGAGAAAATGTGTTGAATATATCCAGTTTTGTTTCTTTAATGGAGTAAATTGGATCATTTCTATTACTAGTAGACAGAAGACCTCTTTCCTGCAACAGCCTGGACAGTCCTGCTTGGAGGAGCCTCTGCCCATCTCACACCAACCTTGTCTCAGTATCCAGCCACCCTGGCTGCCTTTTAGTTCCTCACATATACTAAGTTTTTTCCACTACAGGGTCTCTGTTCCTGCTGTTCTTTCCGTTTTCCCAACATTTTTTCTGCCCCTATCCCACGTCTTTCTTTCTCTTATTCTAACAAAACACACTTCAGTCCTGGTGCAGTGGCTCACGCCTTTAATCCCAGCACTTTGGGAGGCCAAGGCAGGCGGATCACCTGAGGTTGGGAGTTCGAGACCAGCCTGACTAACATGGAGAAACTCCATGTCTACTAAAAAAAAAAAAAAAATACAAAATTAGCCAGGCGTGGTGGTGCATGCCTGTAATCCCAGCTACTCGGGGTGCTGAGGCAGGAGAATCACTCAAACCTGGGAGATGGAGGTTGCAGTGAGCTGAGATTGTGCCATTGCACTGCAGCCTGGGCAACAAGAATGAAAGTCCATCTCAAAGCAAACAAACAAACAAACAAACAAAAAACCCATACTTCTTCTAGGCCTATTTACTACCTGGCTCTCAACTCGTATTTTCACTCCCTTAACTAGCTCTCCTGACTTCCTGAGCTCAGTTTCATTCCTCTGTTACTTGTATTTGAAGAGCCATGCGCCTTTTGTTGTATTAAGAAACTTATGTGCTTGTTTGAATAATACCTGTCTCCCCTACTAATCTGGATATTCTGTAAAAACTGGGGCTGTTTGGATTTTTGTTCATGATTATGTTCTCAGCATTGGTTCACTACCTGATACGTGAAAGGCATTTAATAAATGTTTAATGATCTGAGGGGTCAAGAGGGATCACTGAGGCCAGTAGTATGATACAAATCTGGGCAACATAGTGAGATCCCATTTATAAAAAAAAAATAGCTGGGCAGGGTGGCACATGGTTATAATCCTAACTATTTGGGAGGCTGAGGCAAGAGGATTGCTTGAGCCCAGAAGTTCGAGGCTACAGTGAACTGTAATGATGCCTCTGCATTCCAGCCTGGGCTGTATACAGGACAGGATCCTGTCTCCAAAAAAACGAATGAATGAATGACTAAATGAATGCATGAATGTGGAATGAAGGAAGGAAAGTTAATTTAAAATTTAAAAAATTCCAAGAATAGAAGGCTGTGAATTTAAAAGCCACCAAATACTACATCGTGAAAAAAGAAAAGTGGCAATTTTACTCTGAAATTTTACATTTTCTTTGGAAAATGAGATGGAAACCATTCAGAAATTCAGCAATTCAGCATCCAGTTGGCACCCACAATTAGTCATCTTCTTTGAAGTGTCTGTTTTTAGAGAGGTTTGCTTTGATAGGAGTCACTAAATGGCAGGCTGATGGGAGTACCACATCATATGGCCAAAGAGAACATCACCCAAAGGCTCCAAGTACACATAAACCTTCCTCTCAATATGTAGTTGTCTGAATGTTTCTGTAGAAGGGAAGAGTCCTTTTATTTGCTGCAAATTGTAGCTTTGGAACCAATAGTAAAAAGTAATTTCCAGGAGTAACTATTTGTTTTACATTAGCTGAAGGAAAGAAGGTATTTAAAAAAAAATAGCATCCCTCAGAAATATTGCCCTAAATTAAAATTTCAAAAAGAAAAGCAAGATAAAGTTAAATTAAAAGATAGAAATATTTTGACTTTCTTGTGGTAATAGGAAATGGAGGGTCTTTGAAAAATGTTTAATTTTATCAGTTCCCAAAGTGTCTGTTGGGGATAGAAAGTTGGGCCTTTTCTTTTTCCTAGGCCTCCAGTTCTCCCCAATAAGTTGGCTCCTTGTTTTTGCTTGTCCAATTAACCTTTTCTGAAAACCAGGAATTTGAGATTGCATGCCTTGTTCTTAGGAGAGTTGCTCAATATTTTGACACTGGTCTTCCTGTTTGTGGGAGAAAAAATAGATAATTAAATAGGTTTATCTATTAAATTATATAGATTACCTGTTCATAAATAACTGCCAAAAACTAAATACTATTTGGAAGTAATAATTTTTCTGGGGTCAGATAGATATGGGAGAATGTTATTTTTTTCCCCAGTGTTTGATCTTGCTAGGATTTAGACAGAAAGGAGAAACCTGCTTTGATTTTCTTTCATTTTTAAAAGATATGAATATGGAAGATAATTCATGAGTTAACAAATAATCATTAAAAAAATTATTGAACAATAATTTGAAGTCTTCTCACATCATCTCTTGTCCTAAGTGCTGGGGTCACACTGGTGAGCAAAACATGGTCCATTTGGTAAGGTGGATGTACTTAGAATGATTTCTTCACATTTATACTCACGTGGGATGGATTATCAGTTGCAAGTGATAAGAATGCATGTCAAAGTAACTTCAGCCAACAGGAGGAGTTATTGGCTCAAATAGTGGGGATACCAAGCTTCATTCATGGTTGGATTTACAGAATCATATATTGTTGGGAATCTCTGGCTGTCTTTCACATCCACTTCCTTCTGTGATTCCTTTGTTCTCTGGAAGATTTCCTTTGTATGGTGATAAGGACAGTTGCCCAGCCACTTGCCAACCTGATTACCTCCATCCATCTTATTAACCTGCTGTCAAGAAAGCCACTCTCTTCCAGTGGTTTCAACAAAAGTCCTTGGACCAACTCGCACAGGAAAGATGAAGTCAGGGAATGGATTATTCAGTTTAGTTATATGCCTGTACCCAGAAGGCGCCTTCTCCAATCATGTGAACTGTGAGTAGGTGAAAAATGATTCTCCCAAAGGAAAATCAGGAGGAATGCTGGATCATCGAAAACAGCAGAGGTCCATTCCATGTGCTACATTGTCATTTCAGGCATGTGTAGTACTTCCTCTTTTTCTTGCCAATTGAAGCAGGTTTACAGATTAGTGCTGTAGGGTAGCTTTGCTTCCATTTTTATTCTACCTCCTCCCTCCCGGGAACTGTTTCATCCCCACTTTGTTGCATTCTTAAGTTGAAGTTTGGGTGGCCTCGGAGATCCAAGTTCTTCTAACAGCTGGAGATTTCTGCGGAATGTCACCAGGGAACCTGGTTTCTCTTCTCCAGGGGACTTTTTGTCTCCTGAAGATGTGGAAGAATCTTCCCTGTCACTGACCTTTTACTGACTTAGGATATTACTTTCCCAAAATATACTCAGGATTATTCTAACCTTTGAAAGGGGAACATGGGTTGTGATGTTTCTAAGGGCCTTAATAGTTTTCTGTTTCTCTATGGAGTTGCAAAGATTATTTCACTTTGACTTATATAATTTGTCAGTTTAAAACAACAATTATCACCAAAAGATGGTTTTTAATGTTTTCATTACGTTGCCTCCCTATGCAATGAAACAAAGAACACTGTATGTGACATTTATAAATTAGCCAACATGCTTTTGCTGTTCTTCCTGCCCTATGCAATGATGGATGTTTATTTCTACCTAGTTTGTGGAGCCCGGAATAACCACACTGTTTTCAGGGTATTACAGTACCCCTGAAAGCTGTGAGATCCTTCAGATATTCCTTTTGTTTCATTGGAATTTCTCTTCGTGTGTTTCTATTTAGAGCTGTGAAGTGGCAGGAACGGGGGCAGGAAACAAACGTGGATTGACGTATTGGCACGTTCTTTCATTATTTTGGCACACACAATTTTGAGCAGTCTTTCTAGCTGATAGCATGTGCTGACCCAAACTTACTTTCTTATTTGGTTGAAGAGAATCCTTTGACAATCTAGGTCATCCACGTACTTTTACCCCATATTCAAAGAATCCTCCAACTGTATTTCAAGTGCTCTGGAAGGGGCCTGAAGCCAAGCAGTGAATATAGCAGCACACATCCCGATATGTCAAGTTAGTGTTTCAGGTTTGATATCTGCTGGGGTTTGCAGCTCTTTCACCCAAGAACTTTAAAAGGATTCACCAGAGCAGAGGAGAGAAAGGAAGAATCTTCAGATGCTTGACTGCTGTGGCAGAAAGAGTATCAATCGTTACAAAAATAATCTTCAACCTTTTAGCTTCACTGTGTGGTGCCATTGACAAGTTACAGGAGATATACCATCGCCTGACATGAAAAAGCTGACTTGATGAAACGCAGGATAATGTCCCCTGTCTTACCTTTCAAAAACACGGTTCTTCCTTTTTCACTTTATCTTCTTTGAAAGTGAAGTCAATAATCTCAACCCATATGAATTACTGGGTTTTATTTTCTCCTCCCTTGATGCCCCCACCCTGTGCTGGCAGAGCCTCTGGCAGGCAGAGTGGACACCTGCTTCTCCAAGATCATTTGGAGAGGGGATTCTTCTTTGAGTCCTGGAGAGATATGCCCAAGAGTGGTCCTTCACCTTGGAGCTGGCAAGCTCAGATCATTAGCTTGATGGTTGGTATTGGCAGAGATCCATTAACAGGAACCTTGCATAATCAGAGGGCTCATGGACGCTGTTAATAGACAATGTACTTGAAAATGAAGGGTAAAATCTGCTCCATGTGTTAGATTAATTACATCGGCCTAACAATCATAGAGAAGCAGTAGAAGATATCTCTCTGGAGGGATGAAGTCTGTCGGTCTCTTGTTTCATTCATTCATCCAACAGGCAATTCTTTCAAGTGTTTATTGCCAGGCCTCCGTCTGTGTACTGACTAGGAGTTTTTGGAGTTTCTGCAACTATGAACATCAAAATCAGAAATAAATTCATAGTTAACTATAGCAACTTGATCAACTCAGGACAAGTTGATAACAAATTTGTTTATTATTTACTTACTTATTGAGACAGGGTCTCACTCTCTTACCCAGGCTGGAGTGCACTGGTGTGATCACGGCTCACTGAGTTCTCAACCTCTCAGGCTCAGCCCATCTTCCCCCTCCAAAAAGCTGGGACTACAGGCGCATACCACTACACCTGGCTAATTTTGCTTTTTGTCTGTAGAGGTGAGGTCTCACTGTGATGCCCAGGCTGGTTTCAAATTCCTGAGCTCAACTGATCTGCCTTAGCCTCCCAAAGTGCTGGGATTACAGGCATGAGCCACTACGCCCTGCCACAAATTTTAATTTTTTACAAATGTTATTATCTAAAGCTAGATTCTGAGCAATTCTCCACTTTCATGGCAGGATAGGCAACAGGACAAAAATGAATTTTCTGTGAAATTAATGAAGACTGTGCAGTTCATTCACAGATATCAGAACATAGTTGCCCTCTAATCATTCACTAAGCATCTTCCTTCACAATTATTGCAATGCCCAGTTATCCTCTAAGTCCTGTGTTTGTAATTCAGTTGGTTTATACTAGTTGCATTTCTATCATGCTACTTACTGAGTTTCCTCTATTGGTAATTAAGAGTCTAAACTGCAAAATGCAAATATGTGTGTGTGTGTACACATATGCATGTGTATATATGGATATATTTACATACATGCACAAACTTTGATTAGATAATTCCTACTAGAATAAGAGGTGTGTTTCAAGTAGTATGCAATGTATTATTTTAGTCAACAAATAGTTATCAAGCATCATACTTCTATTGTTCCAGAAGTGGGATATCTATGAGGCTTAAAGTGATGGTGACATTCACAAAACACTTGACTGTGTATGGCACTTTATTTCCACAAGTACCAAAAATAACACAAAACAGATTATAGGATAAGAGGTTAATGAGGCAGAACTCTTAGAAAGGGGGGAAAGACAGTCTTTGAGCAGAAATCTGATGAAAGTGAAGACTCCTTCATGTGAATAACTGGGTAGTGTCGAGGGGTGGGAGAGTTCCCATGCAAAGCATGGTGTGTGTTTGGCATATTTAGGGAGCAGAAAGTAGTCTCACAGGTGCATGACTAGAGCAACTGGACTGTCAGCCACATGGATAAGGTCAAGCTGCCCTATCTTGGGAGGCAAGTACAAATAGTTTCTGAAGGCCCTTGCTGCTTGCTCTTCCTATTCTCTCCTTCTCACCCTAGATATAATATTTGGTATTAAGGTGGCAGGGCACTCCCTTAAGCTCACCAAAGAAAATGGAAATCTAGTTAGGGAAAGAGAAAACAAAAATATGCTTTGCTTTTAGAAGAGAAACCCAGGACATGAAAGCAACACAGTTTTATGTGTCCATCTGTCTGTGACATTTTTAAACGTATAATGTGAAGGTCATAGGGTCCAAGTTCTGGAGATAGATTGCTGGGATTCATCTTTGCTGTCTCACTAATCTTTGTGTAGCCTTAAGCCTGAATTCCTTCATCTTTCCACTGGAGATAATAATAGTACCTTACTTTCAGGGTGAATCTGAGAATTAAGTGAGATAGTACATGGGTACTGCTTAGCACACTGCTTGACATGTTCTGAGCACTTAACACATATTGGATGTATGTTTATAATAAGGACAAATATTTGTCCCTGGAAGTTTGAAATAGCAGCCAAAGATGAGTATGCATTCAGTTCTTGTAGTGTTTATATAATGTCTTCAATTTGTACATAGGAATAGTTGGCCCATAATTCTGAACCCTTTGGATGCATAACTCCTCTTCCAAAACCTTCCTCAAAAATACATTTCCTGTTCCTAACACCCCTGGTTAATGCTTCTCTTCTACTTACCTCATGCTTTGACAACCCTATTTTTTTTCAAGCCCAAATTATGGAAAAACAGTCCTTACAGTAGAAACAAGCCAATGTTAGCCACTTTTTAATTGATTCTCATGATTTGCTTAAACATAATATTGGAGGTAGAAAAAAGAGCACAATATTACAGGAGCCTTTCCTTGATGAATGTGAGAAAAATTGGCCTTTTGTGTTTATAAAGTGAGTTTTTATGGAACAGTAGATAAAAAGAGCAAAGGAGGCATTTTTGTAAGTATAAAAAAATGCCATAGATGTCCGGTGAAAAAAACAGAAGTTGCTGTAAGGTATCACGATCCTATTTATGTTTCACACGTAAATATACACACACAGCCCTGAAATTGTTCACCGAGGACACCTCTCAGTAGTGGGACCTGTATTTTTCCCGTTATACTCTTCTGTATTGTTTGCTTCTACCAATGTCCTTTTTATGTTGGTATATATGAGCATATATATTTACTCCTTGAGAGAGTAAGGGGAAAAGGAATTTAAGGAGAGGAGAAGAGGCAGAGGGTGTACTTTTTCCCTTTGCTTATTTGAGCAAAGATAGGTATCTTTATAATCTCATTTGACATTCTTAGTCTTAGTCTTCATTTTGTATCCCTGACAGGCTACCATGTCTATTGCAAAATATTGTGGTCTTCCAAGCTATTCTAAATAATGCTCACCCATAACAAGTTGGAAATAACATCACTTATGACAATGAGCTGTACGGATTCCCCATTCTTGGAAGTGGCATGAATAGTATCTCCCACATGCATTAGTGACTCCCATGTACTCTTTGTTTCCATTCTTTAATTCCTAAAGTTCACCACTTTCCAAATGACAGTTGCGCTGAAGGCACTGGAGATTTAAGCCTACAAAACATTCTTCTGGTGGAAATAACAGACATGGAAACAACAGGGTGAATGCTTGGGCAGGCATTCATTCATTCACTGAATATTAATTGAGCATCTACTCTGCGTGTGGTGGACCTAGAGCCAGGGAGTAGCATCAGCAGCTTCCCTGGCACGGTGGGTTTTCTCTGCTAACACTGAGCTCACAGCCTGCTGTTCCTGTTTGTCATCATCCTCATCACTTCCTTTTGGCTCCCATCTGACTCACTGGACTCATTCAGGTTATTTGCCTGGCTTGTGAAAATGTCTGGGTTTCGGATCTGTGATCTAAACTGCCTAGGAAATTAAATTCAATCTGAATAAAACTTGTTTTTGCGTTGTGACTCTCTGTGGCATTTCACACAAGTCGGTTGTTTCTAACTGGGTTATCTGTCCTGGAAAATTGGAGTTTGGTATGCCAACAGGACAGAGCCATAGGGAAGAATGGAGATTTGGACTGGTACGTAGGTATAATTAGGCAAGGAAATAACTTGGCCAAGGTAAAATTCTGCTTTAAATGTACTCTCTTAGCTTTAGATTGAACTATCCCAAACTAGGAGTGAGGGTGGAGAAAACACTGGCAAAGCACTGGCAAGCCCAGTGGTAGGCAGATCAAGAGCACTGAGCACACCTGTAGGCCAAATAATTAACCTGACAGCTTTATAGGATTGCTCTCCTTCTCTCTCACCTCTTTTATTTTTTTTTTTTGACCAATTACTTTCAATAATGATGGCAAGTCAGCATCTCCCCCTGACTGCGTTAGAGATTGGAATGTCAAAAGGGCCTCTGTAATGTCTTCTGTGTCTTAATAAACTTGTCAGTTGAGGTTACATTATTTTCTAATATCCATCACGGAAACGTGGGATGGTGCAGCTGGGCAAAGATGTCAGGTCGTGGTGTGTGTTTTTAGATGGGTGTGATTTGACACATCCCAGCAGTGCCATGGCTGCATGGCAATACTTGAAAGAACAGCCTCTTCTTTTAATTAGGGCCCTGCTGCCATTTTGGTGGGATGTCATTCTGACACCTGTTTGTGCTGTGGGGGCTGCTGATAACCTCTCAACACCTTTGGCAGAAAGTTCTGCTGATGTGTTAGGTGTTTGGTTAATGTCCATCCTGCCAGGGATTCATTTCCCCTGACCTGAACTCTGCTGGCATTATTTTTTATTCAAAAAAGCTTCAGCAGTCTTCCACTAGCTACCTACTTAAGTTTATGATCTCCCACCAAACCTTTTTTAGGGAGAAATTCCAAAAAAAATGTTTTTGTTGGAATCCTGCTTTGAGCCAGGCATGCCCCTGAACACTGGACATTTGAGGGTGAGCAGAAGCCAGCACTGTCTCTGCCTTTAAGAAACTCATTTTCACGTGGAGGAGATGGTCAAAGAATGACAGAAGCACATCCTGTGCTCTGGAGCCAGTGCTCTGAAGATAAGGAAAGTGATTCTAAAGAGCAATAGATCAGTGTTTCCCAACTAGGAGTGATTTTGTCCTCTAGGGACTTCTGGCAACGTCTGGAGGCATTTCTGGTTGTCAGAACTGAGGGGTAGGTGCTACCAGCATCTAGTGAATGCTGCTAAACTTTCCATGATGCTCGGTGCAGACCCCACAACAAAGAATCACCCGGCCCCAAATGTGAACAGTGTTGAGGGTGAGAAACTCTGCTGTAAACCATAGAAATCTGGCCTGGCCAGGGATGCTGGAGAGGCTTCCTCCAGGGAGGTCTGAAGGGTGAGCAGGAGTCAGCAAGGTGGCAGAGATGGGTAGGGAACAGTTTTCTTGACAGGGGAACCACATGTACAAAGGAAAGCACAGGGGGCCTTGGAGGAACAGAAGGAGGCTTCTGTGGCAGTTAACAGGAAGAAAGGGGGCTGATGTGTACGTGGAGGGGTGGTGGTTGTGGACTACCCAGGGCCTTATATGTCCCAGGGGGTCATGCAGGCTTTTCACATTAGGTGAGATGTAAGGGGAGTTCAAGAACACGCGTGTGGGTAAAGGTAGTACCTACCTACCTTTGGAGGTGACATAGTAGCATGTATTGTAACAGAAAAGAGCACTCATTTTGGAGGCAGATACAACTGGGCTTGAATCTGTGCTCTGTTTCTTAGGACCTGGGTGAGTTTGGACACCTTACTTGACCTGTGCAGTTCTCAGTTTCCAGGTTAGGAACATCTTACGGGCCATAGGGCAGTGAAAGAGATAATGTGTGCACAATGTCTTTTGCAGAACTTCCCCTCATGTCTTCAGTCCAGCCTAGGCTAAAGTCGTCTTATCCAAAACCAAGAGCTCTGTGTGAGAAACTAGGACCTTTGTTAGAATTTTTTAAAGTTCTGGGTCTTGCCTCAAACAGGGGTGCTCTGTACTCTGGAAGAACTTGCTAGTTTTGTTGTAAGCCTGAGACCAATTCTCATAGGAAAGATTCTATCAGGTCTTGTGGTTGAAATGTTTACCTTAGTCAAAAATTCCAATTATAATCCAGGTCTCTCAATATCCAGGGAAGCCATAGGGGAATGATGTACTTGTGAACAGTGTTTTTAGAAGTTTATAGGTAGGAGTATAGCGTAGTGACTAAAAAATGTTGGCTCTGAAATCAGTCATGGGTTCCAATTTTAACTTCTCCTCATATTAATTGTGATTGCTAGCGAGTTTCTCATCTATAAAGAAGGTAAAAATGAAATGCATTTCATAAAGTTAGCATTAGAATAAGATGAAGTCTATATACAGGCACACAGTAGGGCATCTGATAATACAGAATATTTAACAAATAGCACTATCAGAAGAAAACCAGATGCCCCACTACTATGATCCCATGGTCAACCTGTTTTCTAAATATTTAGGGAAACTGAGGCTGGACTGCACGATCTCATTGGTTACATAAATGAGTCAATAAAGTAATCCAGAAATAAACAAGCACTTGAGAATTTGTAACCGACCCTTACTTCTGGCATTTGGCCTATATTCTACCTCTTCTGTAATAAAGGACTTAAATAGGCAGGTGACTATAGAAAATGTACAGGTTTATTGCAAGAGTAAAATTAAAAGATCTACATTGGAAGTTATTATAAAATGACACAACAAAATTTTAAAAAATATTGAAAATGGTCTCTCCTTTATTGGAAACCTAAAACGTAATGCCCTCAAGGAAGCTTTCCTATGTATAGTAATAGCACTAGAATGGCCTTTCAGGTCATTCTGCCCCTTCCTCTGTCTCCTCACAGAGCTGGACTTTTGAAATTTCTAGGGCTTTCCATACTTTTCTAACATTTCCCCATACATTTCTCCTGGTGATCTGTCCTGTACTGTGGCTTTGCTGTTGAAAATTCTTTCCAACGTCCGGTTTACCTTCTTCTTGCTGTTAGCATCAGTGTCGCCTTTAATCCAATCTCAGCAGAGAAGAGTGATCTACTTGTGCCCATTGAAGGGGTGACTTTATCCACCTGTGATAATGCAGTGAGCTCCTGGAGGAAGCAGGCACCATCGAGCCTGATGCACATTGATTTTCCCAGGTGCCCCTCTTTGTGTGTCTCCATATGCTGATTGTGACTTTCAGCCCTGTTTTCCTTTCATGTAGTAGACATAGAGGCACACACCTGCTTGTTTATTTCTGCTGCTTCTGTTGGTTCTGGGTTTTTTTTTCCCCCAAATGCAGGTCCCTCCTGAGTTACCTACCTCGAAACACTCTCCATGTGCAGCATACCTTCTGTTCCTGGCAAGCGTCCTATCCCCTAAGCACACTCCTTTGTTTTTCTTCCAGGAGGAATCATGCCCTTGAAAGTGTCTTCTTTCTTGATGACTAAGTCACACCAACTCTAGCAGAGCAGGACTGAGCTCAGGCCTTAAGGGTAGACTTGGCATTTGTGAATTACACTATTAATAATTGTGCACATGAAATACCCGGAGATTCCTAAGCACTGGCACAAATCAGGCCCTACCCTCATCACAGTTGTGGAAATTAAACATTTATTCAGGATTGGCCATGACTATGGCAGGCAGGCAGACGTTGTGCCGTTTTGCTTTTACAAGCTTCGTGATGCCCATGGGAAGGGTTTGGTTGTTTCAACTGCCACAGGCTTTTCAGCCATAGGGACAACGCAGTTGGCAATGCTACCGATTTGCCACCTTTTAATAGCCTGATAATTAAACATGATGGGCAGATAAAAATAGAGAGACCAAACATAGCCACACAAGTCAGTTCTTCTGTTATTGTCATACTCGTTAGGAGGTATATGGCTGAAGGACAGAAGCCAAGTCAGATTTTAAGTGGCCAGAAACTCCGTCATATCTTTTTGCTATTACAAGAATTTTACAAAAGAAATACACTGTTTCTTGTGTAAGAATATGGATTGCATAATCGTCTTTTTTTTTTGCTTTGTCTGGGATAAAGTTAAAAATTTCTTAATGAAAATTATCAGGATCATATTGTCTGTTGTTCCTACTTCAGGAGAAATTTGAATTTGTATTTTAATTAACCTCTCTCTCTCTCTCTCTCTCTGTCACACTCACACACATGCTCTCATTCTCACTCTCATTCAGCTCTGTTTTACAAGTAACAATGTGTTATTGGTTTGGAATTGATTTGGGTGTCATATGTTGTCATTTGATAAAAAACAGTTTAGCTAAGCTGCTTGACATTACAACAGCTGGTAATGTCACTTTTGTTAATGTCTTTAACCACATTTTTAACAAAACAGCAGATGCTCACCACAAAAAGCCATTTTCTTTCTCTACTCGATTGTGTAAAATCAGCTCAACTAAGGGCTCCAGCTTGAGAAGTCCTGTGAGTGGATGGCTTGACCTCAGAAGAAGATAGGTTTTGAGGTTCTTGATTCCTTGGCAACATTAGAACAACAACAAAAAAGATAGTTGTAAAAACAATGCAAAATAGGTTTCTTCTGTAGGAAGAATGCTCTAAAAATATGGAAAATGTGGTGGCTCATGAGGAAGCCAGGAAGTCCTGGCCTTATGACCATGAAGCAGCAAGTTCAAATGAGCAGTCATGGCCATGGTGTGGGAGAACTGCGTTCCATCTAGCGGTTGGAGGATGTCATCATCACTTCGGAATCTCTAATTTTTAGGGGAAAACATACTACCTTTTCCTCTTCCCTCTCTTCCTCCCTTTCTTAACCAAGGCATTTTCCACCTTGTAAACATACACACACAGACACACAGACACACAGACACACACACACACACACATAAGCACAGAATGGGATTAGTTTTCTGAAACATTTGAGTCATGCAGCACAGACTTTAAAAATTTGCCCCGAAAGATTTCCGTCAATATGTTTCTCTGTATAGCAGACATCTTAGTTTTAAGTCTTATCCTATGTCCGTAATTTTTACTGCCTTGTTTGTATTTGGAACAAGGCAGTGTAGTATCATGCAAATTATGACTCTCGTTTGCTCATTTGTGCACGCATTGAGCGGAGTGTTTCTGGAGCCGCTGTTGAGTGTGAGGCAATGTGTCCTCATGGTTATGAGCATGTTCCCTGGAGTTAGAGGGCAGTTATTTGGTGTCTCCACCATTTATTAACCTAGTGACTTGGGGCATGACACTTGGCTCATTTGTCCTTCAGTTTCCTCAGCTTTGAACTGGGGATAATTCTAGCATCTACCATGTAGATTTTTTGGATGGATAAAATTATTTAATCTGTGTAAAATTAATAGATGTATAAAAGCAATGCCTGGTGTGTGGAAAGTGCTAAAAAGCATTGAGTGTTACTATTACTGTACTAAAAAGGTAGATTGCTAAGAAGGTGTGTGCTTTTTAACGTATTGTGGTAGACTCTTCAACTTCCTTTCTACCCCCTTATAATTTAATTTAAACCATACGAAAATTGGCTTGTGAGGATATGTATGGGGGAGAGAATCTTACCCTTTCTATATAAAAAACACACATCGGCTGGGCATTATGGCCCACACCTATAATTCCAGCACTTTGGGAGACCAAGGTGGGTGGATCCTTTGAGCCTAGGAGTTTGAGACCAGCCTGGGTAACATGGCAAAACCCTGTCTCTGCTAAAAATACAAAAATTAGCTGGGTGTGGTGGCAGGCACCTGTAGTCTCAGCTAGTTGGAGGGCTGAGGCAGGAGGATCATCTGAGCCCAGGAGGTTGAGGCTGCAGAGAGCCATGATCGGGTTACTGCACTCCCGCCTGGGCAACAAAGTGAGACCCTCTTTCAAACCCCCTCCCCTCAAACATATACAGTATATCTGTGGAATTAAATGGTGGGGGATGATTAGAAAAAAAAGTCTAAAGAGGCTCCTTGGGGGGTAATAATGAAAAAGGTTAGCAAACATTAGTATAAAATCAGAATTAATGCCCTCTAGCTAGAGACCTCCAGGAACACACTTGGAGGTGAAGTTGGGTTCTTTGCTCATTGCAGTGAGGGAGAACACATACCACAGAGAACCATAGCATATCTCAGTAAGAGGGTGTTAGAACGAATTTGGAGTTCATTTGGGTGATTTGGGGGAGAGTCTAAGGAAGGGAGGGAGATTCATTCTGCATAGGGTGCTGTCACAAAGTGGGGATAATTTTATGATTGGATATCTCACATCTCTAAAGGGAAGACAGTCTAAAGTGAGGCTAAACCTGTTTTTCATAATGAAGTAGCAGTCACTCTTAGTAGCTAATGGACGGGGATGTTTGGTATCTCAGGAGTTGTGCAGTGACCTTTTCTTTGTCTGCGCTTAGAGAAAGTATGAGGCCGGGCGCGGTGGCTTACGCCTGTAATCCCAGCACTTTGCAAGGCAGAGGCGGGCGGATCATCTGAGGTCAGGAGTTTGAGACCAGCCTGGCCAACATGGTGAAACCCCATCTCTACTAAAAATACAAAAATTAGCTAGGCCTGGTGGCAGGTGCCTGTAATCCTAGTTACTCAGGAGGCTGAGGCAGGAGAATTGTTTGAACCCTGGAAGCGGAGGTTGCAGTGCACAGAGATTGCGCCATTGCACTCCAGACTGGGCAGAGATTCTGTCTCAAAAAAAAAAAAGAGAGAGAAATTATGAAATAGTCTTGTTTTGTCTTACTTTATCATGGTCTCAGAGTGGGTTTTCTTGAGCTGTTTATGTTCTGTGACATTGTTTATGCCCAGCAGGATAATAATGTGGCCTGGCTATGAGTGCCAGGTTAGTTTCTAACAGTGAGGCCCAGCTATATGTGTTGAGTAGTTTCCAGATGTCAAGGGTTTGCTTTTTTCTTCTTTTGTTCCTTATCAGAATACTTCCATCTGTCTTGCCAAAGATTCAAAGATGAGCTGGTAGGAACCAATTTGGACCACATAGTGGTAAGGAGAACTTTGCTCATGCTTCTAAGGAAGAACAACTAGTCTCTTTCAGGAACCGAACAAGGAAGCAAAGAGCACCAATTGCTACATGCAGCCATCTCATCACCATTCAGGGAACTAGCCTGAAGACAAAGTCTTCACAAGGTCACTAAAGCAAAAAGCTCAGAAGATCTGGGGTCACCCATAACATTGTGAGGTCACTGAATCTGCCCGATCTCTACACTTCCTATTTTGTGAAATAGTTTCCAGTTCCTGTGGCTGCAAACATCCTGAGACTCCTTTGCAACATAATTCCAGGAATAATTTTTGAAAATATATGGGAGAAGATGATGGACTTATTCACTGTGCACTTTCCTCCCAAGTCCTCTTACAGGGTAATTTGCTTTTTAGGTATCATTCTCCAGGCTAAACAGCTCAGTGAAAGTTTGCTTCTTCTACTCTGCCTTTTCCTCAGAGCTTTCACCTCGAAGCTCACTGCTGCCTGTATTTAGCTAGTCCCACACCAGACTGCTTGGGATGCTAATACAAGAGCTATTATTATTATTTTTTTTCAGAATATCATAGAATATTCAAACTAGAAGGGACATAAGAGGTCATCTAATCAAAACTCTCATTTTAAAGATGAGTAGACAGCCAGCCAGAGAATTGTGACTTCACAAAGGTGAAGCACCTACTGGTAGAACAACTGGACTTTTCCACGTTGCGGTAGATTTAAAAAAAGCTCTTGATGTGCCTGCTACCATTTCTGAGTCCCACATCCTTGGCCGACATAACCGATCATTCACTGTGGTCTTTCGTACCATGCTTTCAGGCCCTTTTGCATTTTTCAATCCATTACTCTAGCAACTCTTAGCAGCCAGTGATTGTTGGCAGAGGCACTGAAACCATTATTACATCATGTGCACTTAATAAATCAATAAATGTTTATAAATAAAAAATATTTATAAATCAGATTATAAATGAGTATTGATTTATTAATCAAAAATGTATAAATCCATATTTATTTTCCAGTAAGGGATAGTTATTTAAATAAAGATATATCTTAATCATAAGAGTCGTATCTAACACTTCTATTTTATATATATTTAATATATAACTACATATGGAAGAAGTATCATTTTGCTAGCATACTAATGCACATTGATTAAGACCCAGCATTACTTTTGTTGCCAAGAGGACAGAGTCACAATTCATACATTAGATCAAAACGTTGAAGAGGAATAGATTGGCATTATTGAAATAAAATCCTCAAACATTTTGCTTTATACTTATTTATTTTTGAGACAGGGTCTCACTCCATTGCCCAGGTGAAAGTCAGTGGTGCAATCATGGCTCACTGCAGCCTCAACTTCTTAGGCTCAAGTAATCCTCTCACCTCAGCCTCCTGAGTAGATGGGACTACAGGTGCTCACCATTATGGCCGGCTAATTTAAAAAAAAATTTTTATAGAGACAAGATCTCACTATGTTGCCTAGGTTGTTCTTGAACTCCTGGGCTCTAGTGATTCTTCCGCCTTGGCCTCCCAAAGTGCTGGGATTCCAGGTGTGAACCGCTGCACCCAGTCATTTTGTTTTGTTTTAAATTTTTTAGGATTGTATCTCCGATGCAAAGCTACTATAACATCTGAGTTTTAAAACAATTAGACAGCTTAATTTTAAATATCTAATTTTTTTTTTTTTTTGAGACAGAGTCTCACTCTGTCACCCAGGCTGGAGTGCAGTGGCACAATCTCGGCTCACTGCAACCTCTGCCTCCCGGGTTCAAGCAACTCTCCTGCCTCAGCCTCCTGAGTAGCTGGGATTACAGGAGCATCACCACGCCCTGCTAATTTTTGTATTTTTAGTAGAGAAGGGGTTTCACCATGTTGGTCGGGCTGGTCTCCAACTCCTGACGTCATGATCCTCCAGCCTGGGCCTCCCAAAGTGCTGGGATTACAGGCATGAGCCCCCACACCCGGCCCTAAATGATCTTTTTTATAGTGTTATTTTTTAAGCTAGGAAACAGTTCCAATCTTGCAATGGTTACTAAGCAACAATTAAAATGAAATCTCAATAGATTTTTAAAACTATATTTACTTTAGAAGGAGAAGTGTGTGGCTTTTGCACGCTTTATGTCTCTTGGCAATAAGTAACACTGGGGACTGAGAGAGAGGGAGTCTAAAGGAGCTGGACTTTACTTGGGTGACGGTTGAGGTGGAGGTTGGAGTGGGGTGGATGGCCCTTGACATGTGTTTGTTACTTTTCACTTCTGCGATTCTCCACAAATCACAAACAGCAAACAAAGCTAACGCATGGAGTCAACGTGGTATTCTTTATTAGCAGTAAATGAATGTCAGAAAAAAAACCCAGGAGACTGCTGGATTCAGGAGCCCATTCCTGGATCAATCACTGTGCTGAGTATTGGGGTATTTGATGGCCCAGCCTTGCTTCTGACCCTCTCTCTGGCTGCTTGAGGGAAGAGTTGCAATTGACCACCCAACCAGGCCCACATGGATATGAGAGATGGGCAGTTCTGCAAAGGCAAAACAGTGTTATTGTCAGAATTGGGGAAGGACACTGGGCAGGTAGTAGTAATGGACTGTTCCAGGCAGCTTCGCTTCAAGTCAGACTTTGCTGCGTGGGGTAGTTGGGGAGAAAATGAGGGGTGGGAATAGTGTCCTGTTTTTGCTGTGTTTGGTTCAGGATCTGTTGCTGGCTTGAACCTGCTGGTGGAGCAATTCAGGGTTCAAAGAATGGAAAGTACACAGACAAGAGAAAGAAAAAGCACTGACAGCCGTGTGACTGAGATTTTCTGTTTCACACTTTATGCTCTTAATGGAGAATGGCACCAGCTCTGTGACTTTTTTTTTTTTTTTTTTGACTCTGTCACCCAGGCTGTAGTGCAGTGGCATGATCATGGCTTATGCAGCCTCGACCTCCTGGGCTCAGGTGGTCCTCCCACCTCAGTCTCCCGAGTAGCTGAGAGTACAGGTGCATGCCTGGCTAATTTTTTTTTGTAAAACTGGGATCTCACTATGTTGCCCAGAGTGGTCTCAAACTCTTAGGCTCAAGTGATCCTCTCACCTTGGCCTCCCAAGATGCTCGGATTACAGGTGTATGTGAGCCATCGTGCCTGGTCCTTATTCTTGAACAACCTAACTTGGTGCTGGGATTCTTTGCAACTATTAGAGATAATTTAGTATGATATTTCTGCTTTTCTTTCTGCTATTGAATAGTTTAAATATAAATTGACTGTTTGCAAGAAACAAATGCTTCATATAGGCATAAGTAAACTGTCACAGAGATTATGTAGTAGAAGAAAATGATTAATTGTGCCTTTTAATCATAGTTCCATTATCATATGAAACCGTCATGTCATTGGACCCATTTCACTAATGAAGGTTTAGCACCACGAAGAGCATATTTGCATTAATGAGGCATCACAGGTTATTAATTGAAATCTAATAACAGCTTGGAATATTATAAGTTTGCATTAATTGGAAACAGAATTGTGGATTTGTTGGCAATATACCTCTTGTCATCTTAGATAAATGATTCCTTGATGGGATATAAAGAGGCCATTTTTGCCCTGATTGGAGTTTCTAGCTTCTATATGTTGATTGTAATTTAAACTGGAATGACCTTTCATGACTGATTTCTAAAGCAGAATTTTTCGGTATGCCTGATGCCATCCCTACCATGGCCTGTTTGGTTTTTGACCTGTTCATCAGCCACCTACTAAGGAAAATAATATGGATTGAAGCATGTGTAGGTCAAGGAAGGAATGCTTATTGACTCATATATGCCGGAGGTTGTAATTTTTTGAATTTTTGCATGAGTGAAAAATCAGACCTTGGCGATGACTTTGAGCAGTAGGATATGGATAACTCCCACATGCTTGGCATTCCAGTAATGGAACACTAGGCCTAAGTGGGTTAATGGCAGTTCTGTTACTAACTTACTTTCCAGGGAGGCCTTGCTTGGCCACCCTAAACAAAGAAGGTGCCTTCGTTATTCTCCATTAGTGCCCCTGTTTGTTTCCTTTAGAGTATTACACTTATAGTCAATCATAACTTTGTTTGTTTACTTGTTTTTAGTGTGTCTCTCTTACTAGTATGTCATCTCTAAAGAACAAAAGCAGTGTCTATCTTGTTCTTCATTGTATGCCCAGCACCTAGCACAATGTGAATGTGTAGTGAATAGCTGTTGAATGGATGATTGAATCCTGGCCAGGGCTGGAAGGGCCTGGGGAAGGGGGTTTCCACCAAAAGCAACCATAGTTATTTCAGTAGAGTTTAACCCCTAGATCTAGAGCAGAATGATAAAATGCCAGACCTAAAATTTGCCCTAAAATCAGCCTGTGTCCTTGGTGTTTTTATTTCATAAACGTGGCCTTAGGCTACTTTTGGACGTAATTCTATCTGGATTGGTGTCCCTAAGACTGGGAAGAACAAAGAAAAGCAGTGCCTGGGTATTGTGCCCCATGGCAATTGACTGAGAGCTGTGTTTTCTAGCATTAATTAATGAAGAATTTTGTAGAAACCAATATTCATGATAAACCTCAAAATAGAATTTTAGTGTAATGACTGGCACTTTGGTCAAAGCTAACAGAAACCAAACAGGTGGGCTCAGCTGAGTGTAGCACCTCTTTCTCCCCCACCTCCTCTTTTTTTTTTTTTTTTTTTTTTCTGGTGAATTGTGAGTGAAAGTTACCTTTCTTTCACTCGGTTTATCTTAAGGAACTATGCCATCGTAGAAAGAACTTTGAAGAGGCCATGAGAAAACACAGGTTCTAGTCTGGGTTTTACTACTTAATAACTGGAGACACTGAGGGAAAGTCCATTTTCTGGATCTGCATCTGGAAAACAGAGTCATCTTATCCATAGTACAGAATTTTTATGAAGATCATTGAGGAAAATAAAGGTGCTTGGTAAATTGTAACGCAAATTCAAGATGCTGCTGTTAGTCGTGTGTTGGCTGAGGAGGAAAATAAACAGAGGCAGTGAGAAAGAACTTCACAGAGACTGCTTGAGTTGACTCTTGGTTAAGCAGCAGCCCTTATTTCTTCATCACACTGCATGTCCAGGATTTCACTTGGCCTTCCTTTAGAGCTTTTTCTTTTGTAGCTACAAAATGAGCATGAATGGATCCTGAGGTTGTACCGTAAGCAACTTAGAGACCTCCAAATTAAAGCAGGGAGACATCATGTTTTAACCTACAGGTTTGGGAATGATTTTTAAAAAGTTATAATAACTTATATGGGCAGGGGTGCAAATGAATAGGCATTCTTACACCCTGCTGGTGGGGTACGGAAAGCCCAGATGGTATAGGTTATAGAGAAGGGGATGTGTAACATGCCATTTTGGCAAGGAGTCCTGGCAGATTTTTAAGAGAACTGTCTTTGTGTACTTTTCAAAACATGTTTTCCTTTGTTATTTTGGGGTTCAGAGCATTTCTTTGAAACTTCTTGAATCTCCCCTTGACTGGCAGCCTGTTAGTTGATCCTCCATTTGTGTATTGTGTGAAAACTCCCTGTGGCAGAAATATACACACACATGTCTTAGGTATTCATACCCTGATCTCTTGACCTTCTGGAAGTAGCTGCGGCCTGCTTTCCCTCCTGGAGAAACAAACAACTCAATTTGTTTCTGCTCTCTGGTTAGTGCATCACATTAGTAATAGCTACAATAATTTTTTCAGGTAAAAATGTAGTCAAGTTGTTGAAGACATGAGAGATCAGAGTAGTTTATGTGTGTACATACATGTGTGCATGTGCTTCCTACGAGCTAATAGATACTTACTCCTATTACACAGCCTCAAGGTAAGATTACCTTGCAGGCAAACTTTTAAATATGTAAATATGCTTGCCATTCATTGATTATCAGGTTTTCACCAAAGGGAACCAAGAACAGGTGCCCCTTTAGCCACATTATTAGACCTTGTAGGATCTGAACGTTGGTCTGTGTTGCATCATGTTGTTGGAAGATTCATTTATTGATTGATTCATTTATTCACCAGAAATTTATAGAGCAATTTATAGGTGCCAGGCTCTATGCTTGATGCTATGATTCAGCAGCAAATAAACAAAAGTACTTGTGCCCATAGGGATTATATTTCAGTGGATAAGATGGATAATCAGCATGTCAACAGGGAAATTATATAGTTGCAGGTGCTAGGAGGAAAATAAGGGGATAGTGAGTATTAGGAAAGGGGCCTTATTTTTGTTAGGAGGTCTAGGAAAAACTTTTTGAAGATATGAGATTGGTGCAGTAAACTGAATGGATTCAAAAGGGAGACCTTGGAAGTATTAAGAGGAAAACAATTGCAGGCAGAGGTAGGAAGGTTTAAAGCCCCCGAGGAGAGAAAGATCTTGGAATGTTGAAGGAACAGCAAGAAAGACAGTGGGGCTGAAGCTTTGTGAGAGAGAGGGAGAGTGGTAGGAATTGGGATTAGATGGATAGGGATGGGGCAAATCAAATCGAGAAGACCTTGTAAGTCACGGTACAGATTTTGCAATGGGAGGACGTTAGAGGTGTTAAGTAGTGCTGTGATCTCATCTGTTTATTTATTTTTTAAAAGAATTTACTGGTTCTTTGAAGAATACATTGCATGGGACTAAGTTTGGACTGATTAGGAGGCTTTGGAAGTAACTCAGAAAACAGGTGATGGTGGTTTCAACTTGATGATAATGGTGTGAATGGTAAGAAGTGATCAGAGTCTTGATATGTTTTGAAGATATTGGACCATATTATATTCAGGAATGTAAACTGATATGATAAAGTCATATCACATGATTATATAATTTATGTACTGACTTTAGAACCTATTTTTTTGGGTAAGATAGGTTCATACTGTTCTTAAATCTGACTAAATGGGTAGGAAATTGACAGAATTTCAAAGCTGTAATAATTCTCATGTCCAGTCTTTTACATCAGAGTTCCTTGGATGATGCATGATTCTCTCACTAAAACCGTGAAAAGATGCCAGTGCAAATCCATCCAACTTTATAACTCACACAAACAATGTGATATTGCCATATAAGCATATTATGACTTGTTGGGGGTCTTTAATTCCATTGTGAAGTAAATTTCAGTTCATGCTGATTTTTAAAAATTAAATCCTTTTTTTTTTTTTGAGGCGGAGTCTAGCTCTGTCACCCAGGCTGTAGTGCAGTGGCACAATCTCGGCTCACTGCAACCTCTGCCTCCTGGGTTCAAGCAATTCTCCTACCTCAGCCTCCCAAGTAGCTGGGACTACAGGCATGCGCCACCATGCTTGGCTAAGTTTTTATCTTTTTAATAGAGAAGGGGTTTCACCATGTTGGCCAGGCTGGTCTCGAACTCCTGAGCTCAGGCGGTCTGCCCGCCTCAGCCTCCTAAAGTTCTGGGATTGCAGGTGTGAGCGACTGCACCCAGCCATTACATTCTTTTCTTAAAATAATTAAGGTGCACACCTATAGTCTCAGCGACTTTCGAGACTGAGGTGGGAGAATCACCTGAGACTAAAGAATGCAAGTCCAGCCTGGAAAACATAGTGAGCCTCTGTTTCAAATAAAAATAATAATCATAAGTATCAAAAAGTAACCAAAGCCAGATGGAATTCTGAAGCATAAATTTCTAGTGTTTGCCTTATGGGGTGAGATCATTGCCATATCCCCACTAGGGTAGGGGCAACAGTGATTGACTCCAATATATTTTATACCCAAGGAGAAATTACAGTACCGTATTCCTAACATCCCATTAAATGCTTAAAGGCAGGCCGGGCACAGTGGCTCATGCCTGTAATCCCAGCACTTTGGGAGGCCAAGGTGGGTGGACCACCTGAGGTCAGGAGCTCGAGACCAGCCTGACCAATATGGAGAAACCCCATCTCTACTAAAAATACAAAATGAGCCGGGCGTGGGGGGCGCATGCCTGTAATCCTAGCTACTCAGGAAGGCTGAGGCAGGAGAATCACTTGAACCCCAGAGGCAGAGGTTGCAGTGAGCTGAGATTGCGCCACTGCACTCCAGCCTGGGCAACAAGTAGCAAAACTTGGTCACCAAAAAAAAAAAAAAAAAAAAAAAAGGCTTAAAGGTTTGCCTTTTATCCAGCCTAACCAGTGGTGGCAGGATGGCTGCAGAAGCTCCAGCAGAAGACATTATTTCTGCTGTAGACATTACAACTCTTTCATTATAGCTCCTGTAGACATCCTGAGAGTCACCCTGATTAGAATGGATTAGGTCATGTGTCTATCCCACAGCAAATCTCTATGGGTAGGGGGGTAGGGGGGTAGGGGCATAGGGGAGTAAGATGTGCCTCTTAGCTTGGCCTGAGGCACATTCTTCATGTCTAAGGATGGAATTCTACTGCGACCTTATAGACTGAGAGGAGGAGATGATTGAATTCCCAAATGATGTCAGGGTTGTTGCTGGAGGAGGAGGAAAGGGGCTATGGGGCAACAGATGTTCATTGCCCTTTGATGGCACCGCAGCACCTTCAGGCTACCTACCCTCTAAAGCATCTTCCAGATACCATGGAGCTCCGGAACCTTAGGTTTAATGGCAGATATATTTTGATCAAAATACCATATACTTGTTTTCTCATTTGCTTTGTGCTTACAAAGGACAAAGACAAAACCCTAGAATAGAATTTTGCAAGACAACTCCATAGAAGAATTACCCTTTTGTTTTCAATACAGTCCATCAACATTGATCCTGAAAAAAAAAAAAGCATGTTGAAGAGTATATCCAACACTATTCTATTTCTGCTGGTGGACTGTGTTCCTCATACAAAATTCTCTCTTTGAGTTCTAGTTGATGGTGCCTATTTCCATAGCTTTCCTTTCTAAATCCTATGGCATAGATGACAGAAAGTAAATAGAAGAAATGCCAAAGAAAACAAAGAAACACCTATATTTAATTTCTGACACCAGTGGTTTCATGTCTTTCACGTTCAATTAGGTGAGTTGTTTGAAGGAGCTGGTTTCGAGAAGGGTTATAGTGTCCAAAGGAAATTATTTTCCCTGGCATGTCAACAACTATGATAGAAATACTACCAGACCGTAGGGAACCTCCTCTTGATGGTGGAAGGAGGCATGCTCAAAGGATTACTGTTCAAGGTCAAAGAGCAGCAGCTAATAAGCACAACAGGGAAGAAAGGACAGCAGAGTGAAAATTAGGGTCACGTTTACACTTACTTTGTTAAAGCTAAATTTATTTTTTAAGTGAGAAGCACTGCCTTTATTAAGACAGTTAATGCCTAAGAATGAATGAAAATATATTGAAATAATGTGTCTTTCTCTTCTGAGCAAAGGATGTAAACCCAGGCTTTAAAAGAATCCCAAGGTCTTAATTCTGCAAGAGACATTCTTTTATCTTAGTTATCTTTCCTTATTGGGAACACTGGCAGATATTTGGTCTTTAACTACGGTGTGGTGTAACCTATATCAATTCAGATGCCCATGTCTGATGGCCTCCTTTGTGTATGCAGTCTGGTAAATCTCCCTTAACACATCTATCCAACTAATATTTGTGATTTTAAATAAAAGATGTTACCAAGACTATATATGATATTTGTAAAATATCCAAAGTTAAAATTCTACCAGAAAGGTAAAGTATAGTTTGCTAGGATAAAAATAAATACTATACAGATTCTCCCAAACTGTACCCACACTTACATTTCACTAGGTAATGCTAGAAAATGGTTATTTTCCCTATTTTCAAACAATTGCTGCATCCCTGACTTGTGCAAAGTACTATCATCCAGTTTGAAAGACTATTACCACATATGCCATTTATCTATCCATATGGCATGTATAGTATGGGACTCTAGGGTTTATTGATATGTGTAATGTATAACACTGAGGAAATAACTGCCATTTAGCATTTCTTTTTCCTTTTCGCCTCTGGAATTGTAGGTTTACATTTATTTTCTTGTGAATGTGGCTATCTCTTCATGGGCAGTAAATATTAGTATTTTGGGACCCTCCTCTTAGTCTTACCAGGCAACATTTGTTTGCTTTGTTTCCTCCATTAATCTAGCACATCCCATGGAAAGAATAATTTACTATTAAACCCCTGTGAGGAAACCCCTTCACCAGTGAAAATAACTTAGTGATAATTGATTTCATCAGAGCCTTCCACCTTGATTTTCCACTGTCCTAATAGTGGCCTGGCGAAGCACTTGAGTCCCATGGTGAAAGAAAGAAATGCACAAATAGGCCTAGACTTGTTTCCCCGAGGTCGTTCGACAACTGCACCGTTGCTCCATGAGGCACACATTCAGCAATTAGCAGGCATATGTTTCCAGCTGACTGCATCTAGCGATAAAGAGAAGCTCCGGGAAGATAGCCTAACTCAACTCCTTTATTCTTAGGGGGAAAAAAATTTGCTCAGGGTTTCTTGGCTGTTTCCTTGCTCTTTACTTACTCTTTTGTTATTACATAAATATCAGTGTATAAACAAATAGGATTCAAAGAAATTCTGTGACCAAGCAGTGAAAGACCTATGCAGTATAAAGCCACAGAGTCTGCTGCATCCCTACCTGTCGCATGTTGAACTTTCACCTCTGTATTATGACACCCACGGTGGCGGAGGTGGGAGCGCAAAGGCACTGCATCCTTTACATCTTGCTCCTATAGTGCCTCACAGTTTGAGGGCAGGATGTATCGGTTTCCTTCGAAACCCAGAGCTGCTGCAGTCTCTCCTCTTGAATCGTCAGTTAAGACTTGTAGTTTGAATTAAGAGTTCTTATTCTAAAATTTGAACTCTATCTCATACTCGGTTTGTAGGTGAGATGGTTTCTGCAAAGACAGAGAGTTCAAAGCATCCTTTTGGCTTTCAGTCCTGAAAGAGGTTTTGGAAAGCTTTGTATTGTTGGAGGCTTTTTCCTCCTGGTTGGATTCATTAATACCCTTTTGTGAGTACTATTTTGCTTTTTTAGAATAGCTTTTTCTAAACAGCTTTCTCTGGTGGAAAATCCAATTTAGTTGCAAGCAATATTACCAGTTCCGCTCCTTTATTTTTCTTCCTCAGTGAAAGGAAAATAAAGGATTGCGTGTCAAAATGGAGATGTACGATTTATGGCATTAGCACTTCTATTAATAAATTTATGCAGCAATTATATATCTTCACATTTTATATCTATTTGTAACTGAAGACAGCTTCTTTATGTTGCAAGAGCATATTTTTCTTCAAAACACATTTTATTTTCTTGGATCTTAAGCTTTTGTTCCGGATTTCCATGGATAGCGGACGCATGGTAGGAAGTTTTAGCTGCTTTACACACCCAGAAATGGAGTAAACTTTTGCTGCAGATTTAATCTCAGACATGTTGAAACTTGGATGGTGTTCATGATGTTCATCCGCACAGTGCTTCTTTCTTAGGAGGGCTACACTTACCCCATTTCAGGCGAGTCCTGCCTCATCCAAATGGTTTGAACGTAGCTACCCCCATTCTCTCTAGCTCCCAAACTGGGTGATCAGAATACTTCATTCCTCTGTGGTAATGTTTAGTTTTAAGAGGGCAGATCCAAAGCCAACCTATTTAGAGCCCTCTGAGAACATTCCTCTGCAGTCATCTTTGAGTAAATCTGTTTGAGAATGAAATCAGATGAAGTAAAGCAGGAAAAAGAGAAGAGAGGATGGGGTGTTTATGATATTGTTTGATAGCTGGATCTAGTATCATGCTGGGGATGGCTCATCCCAGCATACAATAGCCTATTGTTAAATGTTCAGGAATTCTGTGAGCTGGTTGACAGCGTGTTGGTAGCTTGAAATTGGCTGCAAGTCAGCCCCCTCCTACCCCCTGCCCTTTTTTTTTTTAAATGAGTATATTGTTAAATGTTTACCAGCCTCACTGCCTAGACCTATCCTAAATAAAGTCACAAGGCTTCTTGTCATGTGAGCAAATTAACCTCTATTCCACCCTCCTCTCCTTCAGTTTGACTTTGGTTTGCCACATGCAATTGTAAGAGATTTGGACTGGCTAAATTATTTATTTTGCCATTATGATAAACATCTTCCCTTTATGGTGTAGATTAGAAAATATGAGGAAACCAATACAGCTTTTGATGACAAAGCTGTATGTCCCTGTTGCATGTTAAAAAATATTTGAAGGAGGTAATGTGACATTTCTAGAACTTTTGATGGTTTATAACAACCTGACAGATTATTCACTGTTCTTGGGGAGCCCTTAATTGGCAAAGAAAACAATAAAATCTGTTTTGTGAAGCAGTGGTGACTGTCGAAGATGAATAATCTTTGAGGGAAAAAACTAGGTAACCTGAAGTTTTGAGACAGAATTAATAGTAGAGATGGTCTTGTTTCTCTAACATAGATAAAGGGGACCAGGATAAGTGTGGTTTAAGAAGCTGCTCATTGTAAGGGTAATAGTCAGTTGAGTCAAACTGGTATGTCAGCTAGGACCATCTATTTTGTTACTTTGCACATGTGAATCCTATGTTTGTTTCCGTTGCTGATAAATGATGAATATTTGAGAACAGAATGCCTATGTCATAGCACTGCATGATTCTGTGGAGATTTAGTGCCTTTAAACAGTCCCACAGGTCTGTTTTTAGTCATCTGAACTAAATTGGAGGCAAAATGCATTGGAAATGCTCATATCCAGCATACACTGGGTTTGAATTTAATTTCTAATAATTTGTTGCTGGCTATTATGTGCCCCCCACGCCACTGTAGAAAATCAGTAGAATAATGTACAAGCCCAAGTGGTGAAGCTTGTACATAATTTACATATAATGTGACTGCAGAATCTGTTATCTCTTTGAGGTAGCAACAGAAAGAGAAAACTACCTAAAATTTAGACAAAAAACCTTGTGTATTCACAATGCAATTTCCAATAACACCGAGGTCTGTGTATTATTTTCAGTAGAAAGTAATTCAAAGGACAAAAAAAAATTGTAGGTGGACAATCTAACAGTGAGAACATATGAATAAGATTTCAAATGGGTTGAGAGTTAGTTGAAGGGGAATACTGAGGGATTTAGGTCAAAGTCTTTGGAATAAACCTAGACCATTGGGATAATCTGAAACAATATCACTGGAATTGATGTTTTTTTCCTCCAAATCATTTGGGAGGTGTTCATAGTGCATCACACGCCCTTTATTTACAAAAAGTGCTTTCTATTTGGCATAATATTTTCACAGACCAGTTGAAGTTACAGAAGCTTCATATTTAAGAAAAGAATTAAAACTACAATCAACAGCCAGATAGGAGAAATACATTCTGGTATTTTATTGCATGGTAGGGTGACTATGATTAACAGTAAAATATTGTTTATTACAAAATAACTAGAAAAGAGGCTATTGAAGGTTTTCACCAAATAAGTGCATGAGGTGATGGATATACTAACTACCCTGATTGGATCATTACACAACACGGATATGTATTGAAACATCAAATTGTACCCCGTAAATATTATGTACAATTATAATGTATTCATTAAAAAATACATAAACATTAAAAAAAATCTTCAGTTAACTGAGAAAATGTTCAAGACTTACCTAAAGCAAATACTAATCAAGTTTACCTGTTCTAATTTTGCCTGAGAGCCCCTGTCAAACAAGGTGGTGCCTTTGTAACTATAGCCAGGTCCCTCAGTCTCTCCAAGCTCCAGAATACTTGCCTGTAAAAGCAAAAGGCAAAGTTGGTTGGAGAAATGAATAAAAATAACTACCTCCTTGGGTTATTATGAGTGTTCAATGAATTGAATGAAATAATTGATGCTTAGTGCTTAACACAGTGACTAGCACCATCCATATCAATGGGATTCAGCTATTACTGTTGTTATTAGAGTTGTTAGTTGGTCTCCCCAGCCTTGCTCATGAGTTTCATTATCCATGTGTAAATGAATAAGTCCCCATAACAACTTCTGCCGTATGGATGCTGGATAGCTTTGCTCATGTGAGAAGCAACTCAAATCAACACAAATCCTGTGGGACATCTGCCCTGATATCTTTTGAATAAAGCACACATTTGAAGAGACTGATTTCTCAGTCCAGTGTGTCTTCATACACATGGCAGCTCTCCTGAGGGCCACACATGGGCTACTTTCATGCCTAGTGTTGTTACTTTGGAAGCCGTTGGTCTCTCTTTAAGGTATGACCTACTGCTTGCCTCCCTACCCCACCTCCCAGTTAATTTTGCTTATGCTGTATGGCCTGTATTTGGAGGCCTATGACCTCAACCTTTATTTAATTTTGGTGACTGTATTCCAGAGTACTTTCATTTAGTAGGGTGAGTGACAAATTTAATTTATATTAATTGTTGAGGGTCTCTGAAATTACAGTAACAAGGTTAATAAGTTTAGAAATCAAAGTTATGAAGATAGGTTATGGTAAGCCATTTAGAAGGCATACTGTTTGACTTATAGTTGGCAATAGAAATACTGCTTTAAAAAGTGTCATCATTTTGTTACTGAATTTGTTTTCCATTGCTGCATAACAAATTATCCCAAAACTCTGAAGTTTAAAACAATAATCATTTATTTTTGCTTGTGTCTTAGTGAATCATCTGGGGTTTAGCAGATCTAGGCTGGGCTCAGTGGATGGCTCTGCTCCATACTGCTTTGTGTTTTTCATCTCCCTTAGACTAGCAACCACACCAACTATGTCACTTACTTCTATGGCTGTAGTGGAGATGCAGCAAGGCAAGCAGAAATGCTTAAGACCTTTTAAGGCAGAGGGTGAGAACTGAGTGAAGATGCACTGTCACTTCTCCCCATATATCAGGGCCTAAGGAAGTCCTAGGACCAAGCTTTGACTGAAGAGGTGGGGAAATACGTGTGGCCCCAGAGGCCATATACAGGTGTGGATACAAGGAGGGCTAAGAAATTGAGTTTGGCAATGCTATCTACCGTGGCTATGATGTGCCCCTCTGAAGATTTGCTGCATGGCCTTAGTTCCTTATGTTCTCGGCCTCTAACAAAATCACTGTACTCTCTCTTTCTGGGCATTTAGTATATTTTAATCTCACGAATATTGAAAATTGTGCCGCAGACCCAGTTTTCTTTCTTGTGTTGGATGCCAGAAAGCTGAAGACAAACTAGTAGCTGCTTAGAGCAGCCATATCTAAGTGATTCTTATCCTTTGTCTTGTTCCTGACTCTAGTTTTGTCTATGACATTTGTTTACTTAACCTATTCTTAAATATTCTTATCTTGTTAATTCTTAATCTGTTCTTAAGTTGAGTTATATTTTTGTCTTTTGTATGCCTCTTAAATTGTCTTGCATGCTGGGCACAGTGGCTGAGCCTGTGATCCTAGTGACTTGAGTGGCTGATCTAGGAGGATCATTTGAGGCCAGGAGTTTGAGACCAGCCTGGGCAACATAGTGAAATCCCATCTCTTAAAAAAAAAAAGAAAAAAAAAAAGAAACGCAAAAATGTTAGCCGGGCATAGTGGTGTGCACCTATAGTCCCAGCTACTTGGGTGGCTGAGGCAGGAGGATCACTCTGTGAACCCAGGAGTTTGAGGCTATAGTGAGCCATGATCGTGCTGCTGCACTGCAGCCTGGACAACAGACTGAGAAACCCTTTGTAAAACAATAACAACAACAAAAAATTAAAAAATAAATAGCCTGGCATCTTTTCTGGTTCAAGAAGAAATATATAAATAAAATTTTAAGCAACAATTTACTACCACTATTAGCCCTTGACCCGGTAAGTAAGGTTACAAATAATATAGTAGTAGTTAGCATTTATTGAATACTTCTTTCCTCTTGGGCCCTGTGCAACATATTTTTTGAGCAGTACCCAATTCAGTTCCCACAGCAACCTTATGAGCTACGTGCTGGCATTATCCCTGTGGAAACAGATGCAGTTTATGTAACTTGTTCAGGGTCTCACAGCTGGTAAATATCAGAGTCATGATTTGAGCTGATAAAGGCTGGCTTTAGATCTTACATTCTTGACCAGTTAGTTATACTGCTTTCCTATTGATATGCTAAAAGAAAAGGATAACAGGAATGGATGGTAATTCTTTTCTCTTTTCTTGTGTCCTTGATGCACCTTTTATTCCTTGCTTACCTTCTTTTTTATCCCCCCATGTCTGTCATAAATATGCCTAATTAAAATGTCAACTGCTAATAGCTTAAAAATACCATTTTAAACTCTGACACTTGGCGTTCCAATCACTACAGTTTAAACAGAAAACTTTAAGGATTTAGGTTAATGAATATGGTTTATGAATCACTGTTACCAGTACAGATATGTTTAGCGCAACTGTCCTTGTATTTATGATGAACATAATCCTTCCAGGTACATTTTATGTTTTCTTGCTGAAGTTTGTTGGTAAACGTGGAAATTAAACTGGAAAATATGGATAAATCAGCACAATTCCAAACACCTGCTCAAAACATTCATTTTAGTGATTTAACAGTTGACTCTTTAGGATGTTTTTCTAAAAACATTGGCTCTAGGCAGAATAAGTATTCTCAGTGAATATATTTGTTGACATATCACTTAGAAGCTACTACACTGACAGATTTTAGGAATTCTATATGAGTTTGATGACAAGCAAAGGCCATTTTAGATGAGAGTGACTTCCTGTTTTACTGGCTGATTCTCATGTATTTGTATACTTTTAGTGATGGGACTTTCTCGCTTTGATTTTTCAATATCTCATTTGGCTCAGTTATTTGTAAAGTCTTCAGTGTTTTTTTTTTTTTTTTAATGGGCATCATGCTGTCTCAATATCATTACTGCACAACTACAATCTTAGGAGGAAACTGTAAGTAATCAGTTTTCTTTCAGAACAATTGTAATTCCCACAACCCTGAAAAACTCTGAAGCCATTTTAGTAATGATCATTTTCTGTTAATCAATTATCTGTGCATTTAGACAGGGAGAGGGCTTATTATGTTTTAATTCTCTTAAGAATGTCCAGGTGATAGCCTCATCTCTTCCAGTTATCCCCCCTCGAAATGGCTGCACAGTAGATGACTGACAGATTGATGTCCCCCAAAGCTGAGTTTCATTCTTCTGCTATTTAGTCATTGCCATTTCTTCAACTAATAGTTTATGTATGGTAAACTTAAAACTTTGAATTTCTTTTGGTGTTACCAGACTGAAACCATCCTAGACCTTCTAAGAAAAAGAAAAAGAAATTTACTGACCGATGACAGCTTTGACACCCTAGATCCGAGTACTCAGTGTTGTTAAGAGTCTGTGTCTCTCCCGGCTGGGCGCATTGGCTCACGCCTGTAATCCCAGCACTTTGGAAGGCCGAGGCAGGTGGATCATCTGAGGTTGGGAGTTCGAAACCAGCCTGATCAACATGGAGAAACCCTGTATCTACTAAAAATACAAAATTAGCTGGGCGTGGTGGTGCATACCTGTAGTCCCAGCTATTTGGGAGGCTGAGGCAGGAGAATTGCTTGAACCTGGGAGGTGGAGGTTGCGGTGAGCTGAGATCACGCCATTGCACTACAGCCTGGACAACAATAGCGAAACTCTGTCTCAAAAAAAAAAAAAAAAAAAATAGAGTCTGTGTCTTTCCCTCCATGGGCTCTGATTCCTCCATGTTGCCTTCTTTGGACACCTTGTCTCATGTGGTGGTCATTGGCCATACAATGTTACTATCTTGCCACTAGTAGCAATCTCAGCATAAGAGAGCAACTTTTTCCCCCTCACTGCCAAGTTGCTCATATCAAGAATCCCACGGAGAACTTTCATTGATCCAGCCATGTCATGTGCCAAACTGAAACCCCAGGGCTGAGGTCATACCCCTCATGTGAATTTCTTCATGTGAGGGGAGTAGCTGTGGTTTCCTACAGGAAAATTGAGGCACTATCATCAGAATGGGAGAATGGTGGTTCAGTTAACAGAAACAACATTTGTCTACTACTGTACATAAATGTACAAAAATATGTCTATAGGAATATATTCTTACAATTATCAATCTGTAATCTACAATTAACCAATTTTTTTTTTTTCGAGATGGAATCTCACTATGTTGCCCAGGCTGTTGTGCAGTGGTACGATCTCTGCTCACTGCAAACTCTGTCTCTCAGGTTTAAGCAATTCTCTGCCTCAGCCTCCTGAGTAGCTGGGATTATAGGCATGTGTCACCATGCCCGGCTAATTTTTGTATTTTTAGTAGAGACAGGGTTTCACCATCTTGGCCAGGCTGGTCGTGAACTCCTGACCTCATGATCCACCCACCTTGGCCTCCCAAAGTGCTAAGATTACAGGTGAGAGCCATTGCGTGGCCATAGTTAACCATTTTTTTTTTTTAATAATGAAAGGTACTTAAGGTAAAGAGAGCATTTTCTCCTTTTTAAGTAGATGATTGATAGTGGAAGGAACCTCGGGACGTAATTCCATACAACACGTATTTCTGGAGCTTTCGTTTATGGGCCAGGCACTGTGCTATGTTCTAGAAATACAAAGTGGAATAGCCCCTCCTTTCCCTTGACCTCCCACCCTCATAGTCAGGGGGAACAGTAAAGCAGGCAAGAACATGAATGGTTACAATTCTGTGTGATCAATGAGTAGCTGAGGATTGTGCAAGGCTTCTAAGAAGTTCAGAAGGGATATCTAGCTTAGGCTGAGAAAGCTTCTAAGCTGGGGTGATAGACTTTTCATCATCTGGCCTTTTCTTGCCTCTCCAGCTATATCCTCCACCTTGTTTCCAAATGCACTCTTCACTTAGTGGGTGCTAAACCCTTTTTAGTTCTCTGGTTAAATTAGTCTGTCATGTTTCTGTGCATTTACTCATATACTTGGCTTTGCCCCCTTTTTGGTTCTCACTCCCTTTAATTAGGAATCAGCTATGGGATGGCAAATCTGATGAAGTAGACACAGTGATTGAGCTCTCAGGAACCTTGCTAGCCTCCTCATCACGTGCCTTCCTGTACTGAAAGGCGGGAAGGTCAAACATTACATTTCCAGATGCTTTACAGCTAAGGCCCTGGATCTGATTCCTTGTTTGCCAGTTAGATGCACTTGTTTGAGTTTTGGAAGACAGAATTGAGACTGAAGCCAACTTTCTGTATTCTCTGTGATCTTTGCTGGCTAGAACATTGGAGGAGACATCGGGCTTTTGGGCACTCATCTTTCAGTACCTGGCCACTCAGTGAAGGGCCACTGAGAAGCAGTGGATAGAGCGTTTATTTTGTTGCTAGTGTGGCTTTCCTATAAAGTCAAAGGCTGTGTTGGTGACAGCAGCTTTCTGATCCATGTTCATAATTCAGACAGTCTACTTCTAATAATGATTCTGTTGGTGACTTCCTGAGTCTCTGCCTTTCTGATGGTGGCAGAAGTAGTGGTACTCCTCGTGGTCATCCTGGATGTCTTTCTAGAGCCCACAGCTTCAGCTCTTTCAGTGACTTTGAAGCACCCCATTCCCCAGTTCTCTCTGTACTTCGAAAAGCTCAACCCTGCCTGAAAAACAAACTTACCTCTACTGAGACTCAGTCTCTATCCAAAACTTGGAGATAGCATGACAACTTATGAGGTTGTCATGAGGATGCAATGAGAAGAGGCAGGCAGGGAGCCTAGATGATAGCATAGCATGTGGAACTTGCTATGGAACCTTGGGTAAAAGGTTATTATTAACTTGTGCACTTGCTAGTTTTGTCCATTCAATGAGAAAATTTCTGTCTACAGGAAGCATCATTGAACTGAAAAAGATGTTTTCTTTCATCTTCTCAAAGAGGAGAGACAATGTGTATTTACTTTTGTTGTTGTTGTTACCTGGATTCCTAGCCCATCATTTCTCAGTCACAGCCAAATAACTCCAAACTCTCTTTGGGTTCTAGTCACTCATTCCCTTGGTTCACATGTTGTGTACAGATGCTTAGCATCAATCACTTTTCATGGCTTAATTATCTAACTCAGAGTTTTGCAACTTCTGACTTCCTTTGCGTCATGTTAAGAATAGAACTTCCATAGAGCCATAAGCCGTGAAATCATGAGGCAGATAACTGAATTTTACAGTGGACGATCTTCGATTGGAGCCACTAAGATTGTGAAGTAAACTTCAGTCTTCTCATCTTTAAAATGGATATTTACTGCCTCACAAGGTTAAGAACATCAAACTAGACAATTGAATAGCCCTGCACACATGTAATTCATAATGCTGTGCAAGTGGAGCTGGTCAAGATAATGACTAATGAGGTCAGTGGGCCACAGGATATGAGAAGCATGTAACCATTGCTTTTATTTCAACGGATATTCATTTAGGGTCTCTTATGTGTAGATGTTGCTTAAATATTCATTTACACTTTGTGTTGTCACTTTCTTTTTATCATATACTTATTGAGTGGATATTCTTACCCTCATTTTACAGGTGAAGAGGTTGATCCAGTGCTGACTTGTCTGAAGTGATACTGACTGTGTGACTCTAGCCTTTGGCTTATTTCCTTCCTTCTATCCAAAGACCTCAGATTTCCTAACAGAGTTTCAGGTATTGTTGCCTACAAGGACATCATGCCTGACAAGCTTTGTCTCCATCAGTGTCAGTGCCCTGATCAGTTCCACCTGAATCATGAAGCCAGCCCTCATCACATAGTCACATGATTGCTGAAACAAGAGTGTCTGGCAGCTAGCTACCTAGTCATATTATTCTGGAGGGAGAATCACAGATGTAAGATGTTTCCTCAGTTTAACTCACATTTTAATTGTTAGTTTTCTAAAGTTTTGCTTAAATGAGAAAGTGTGTTTCTGTCTCACTGAGGGGCTTTAGAAGCTCTTGTAAAAATGCATTGTGTGTTCCTGGGGGACTCTCACCCCGCCTCCCCTTCACTTTGCATTATGAAAGGCAGTGAGAAGGAAGTTCAGTTTTCAAAATGTCATTAATTATTCTTCCAAGGTGGTTCTGGCATCAATAGGGATTCCTTAAAAGAAAACCATTCCGCTCTAGGGAGGCGAGGTACCGTTGGGAAAAGCTGCTTCAGTATTTTCTTAGTTAAGTTTGTTGTTTCCGTGCATTTGGTGGAAATGTAATGATTTGTTAGTTCTTACTACCTGTGTATTTTGAAATAGAAAATTGTTTGAATAATACGGCTCCTTGGAGGTATTCATGCTAATGCCAAAAGGACACTATCATAAAAATTTTTCCTAGTGAATATTTTATTCTAATTAGAAGAGGTGAAATATTAAACCAAGGAGATATTGTACCTCTTATCAGGTCACTGGGTTTTATTTGCCATGTCCTGTGAAGTTTTGAGCTTCCTTTTTTCTAGTATCAGACTGTTACTAATCCATAGGGCATGTTTGTATAAAATAGAAAAAGATACTCCTTTTGTGGAGACACAGCTCCCCCACAAGGTACATGGCCTCGTGAGAGGGGCCAGGCTGGATAGCCCCCAACTCATTTCGTGGGCTGATGCAATGTGCGGTCTTAACAACTGCATGTTACATCTGCGGGTAATAGAAATCTTCAAGGTCCTATGTAAGGTAAGGTAAGGAAGCATCATTCCTGAACTCACTGGGAATTTGGGATTTGTGAGCATAGTCTAAAACCGAACCCCTATAAGGATAGAAATTGGATAGTGGCTCAGCCCTCATGAAACGGAGTTGTGGGCAGGTTTGAGACAGAATGGGGAAGAATTTCAGCATTATGTGGTATGTGAGACCAGGGGTTAGATTGTCTTCTAGTGGTAGTAAAGTATTTCTGAGCAAAGGGTGCCAGATAATGGGTCTGGAATCTGAAATTTAAGTTGGGTTTGCACAGTTCCACAGAACTGTTTATTTTTCTGTTTATGGGATGAAGAAGAATATATAGCCCTTGGCTCTGTTAGTACAGTTACTAGTTACACTTGCATTCAGGAAACACAAGGAATGGCAGCTGGGAAGTAACCTTGACATTGAGCTCTCCAGATGCCTCCCTCTTCTCCTCTCCTTGTGTTGTGCCAGTGGAGGTGTGCTTGTGTAAAATCAGATAGCAGCAAGAGTCATATTTGTTGGGCCAACAGATAAATATATATCCCATGCTGACTATGTGCCAGATGCAGGTGATTTAGTCATGAGCAAGTCTAGACTCTGTACTTGACCTCATGGAGTTTACAGTTTAGTGGAGGCAATGGACAGTAAACCAGCAATTACTCAAATACATATATTGTTACAGATGGTGAGACGTTTTATAAAAACACATACAGGATAAAATGAGAGCATTGTTGGTGGGGAGGGGGCGATGATGGACAGTTTAGGTGGATTTAGATTTTGAGCCACTCTACTGATAAGAAAATGTAGGAAACAGACACCATTAAGAATCCATTTTGCCCCAAATTCTTCTGTTTGATAATGGAAGTGTCTGTAATCAGCATGTGAGAAGATCAGCATTTTGATTTCAAAGAAGTTGCTTCAGACATGGTATTGGAGTCTCTGCTATGTCCTTTGGGGTTGTGCAGGCTCCTGCTGCTGAGACCTCTGCTCACTGCCACTGCCCGAGGTGAGAAGTTCTGGTAGGTCAGGGTTAGTTGCTTTTCCTTTCTCAGTACAAATAAGTCAGTCGGGTTACTTCATGTAGAACCTCTTCTCCTCTCAACAAATGTTGAAATGTTTGTGTTTTTCTCCCCATGATGAGGAAAGAAGCCTGGAGAGGCTAGAGGTTGCAGCTGTTCAAGTAAAGTTTTGTGATTAAAACCCCATTGTAGGTATTCCACAAATATTTGAATCAAATTGATTTGTTAGCTCCAGGGTGTAGGGATAGAGTCTGGGCTGAGCTGTTTGATCTGCACAGTTTTTCTGCTTGAAACAGATGCTGTGCTTGAAACTTAAGCATTTTCTCGCCTATAATCTTATATTTATGCTATTTGCCTGGTCCCTGAAGGCATTTTAAGGACGTGACGCTGTACCACCTCAGCCCTGGGTGCCGAATTGATTTGTTTGTATGTGACCCTGGTAATAGAAAAGCTTCATCAGTGGGTGCCATCTTTGGAATCTATCTATCTTTTGAAAACATTGCACCTTTGAGTTCCTGTGGCACTGTTGTCCATCCACTTCTGTTTTTCTGAGTGTCCTCTGACTTTGCCCTTTTTATTTGAGATTCCTCCTCCATTCTCAGCTAGATATTCACTCCCTCACTGGCTTCCCTTTCTCTTCTATCCTTTTTCATCTCCTTTCCTCCCTCCCCCCTTTTTTCCTGTCCACCTTTCTCTTTCCTCTACTCCATATTTATTGAGTGCTTGCTCTGTGCCTCTGAGGCTATACCAAGGCAGACTCTGCTGGAGGTGGTAATGAGCTAGTGAAAGAGCCATAGTACCACAGCTTGACACCACAGAGTGTCTAAGGAGTACATTGAAAGAGAACCTCAACTAATTGTATCAAGATACAGCTGACTCATACGTTTGATGACTTGAAATAAGTGATAGCTATTCCATGTTTGGAGGAGCATGTTTACGTGTCTACATTTGTCGGTGTCTCTCTTGGAGGATTGGCTGGCAAGAGAGACTGAACAGGAGCCCATTATTGTGGAAGTAAAACCTTGTAAGATTTGTGAATCTAGGTTGAGCTTGACTGCATGTATATATGTATATGAGCATGTGTGTTCATGAACATAGTCATCATGTTGTGTGTCATTCACAATCTATGACCTATGTAGGTATAAACCTATGAAGTTTTGTAAAGGCCTGTGGGCCCCACGCCCAGAAACTGTGATTCCCTGCTTTTTAAAAAAGCTTATTGGATGAATTATAACCATTCTACTTGAAACTATGATAGGGAATAAATGTGAACAATTTTCTAAAGTAGAGAATAAAAACCTGCCCCATTGGATTATCTTTTTCCAGATGTCTCTGCGACTAAGTGACTAAGTATGTTACAGACCATAAAATGTTGCAATTTTATTTTTGAACCTGTTTTGCAAATACTGGAAGTGTCATGGATATTTTCCTATCTCCACCTTGGCCCAACTCCATTAGGCAATTACTTATGTTTAAACTTGATTTCTCCAGAAATATAGTTGGATCAGTGACTGAGTAGTACTTCTGTCCCTTTTCTTTAATATCATTTCTCCTGGACGGGTCATGCTTGAATCACTCTTTTTGGTAAAACATGGAAAGACCTTCACTTACATTGTGTCTCAGTGGTGGTAAAATCAGTCTTTAACAAACAGTTAATGTAAGAACTGTGCACAGTAATAAATAAACCTAGGATTCCAGCTGGCACGAAGTCTGATTTTAGATTGAATGACAAGCTCTACAGTATTTTCTTTTTTTCAAGGGAAGGGGAAACTGTCACAAAAATGGAAACATGTTTTTTTTTTTAATTCTTTATTTTAGATGCTATTTAAAATAGTCATGAGCATGAAGTACTCTATTTTTAGATTTAGGTCATTTGAAATGCTTCCTCTTTTAGGATTAAAAAAAAAAAAGTCAGGAGGAGCTCTGGCAGAGGTTAACATTGGAAGGGCTCTGCCCAGTATGTGAATGGGTTGTGCTAAGCTGCCAGAGCTGCTGTACAGCAGACCATGTAGGTGACTCTGCCCCCTGGTCCCCACACTCTCAGGACAATCTTCCACACTGGGGAAGAGAAAAAGAGATAAAGAATTGAACCACAGGGGCCTCCCACACTTCTCCCTGTGTGATTTATTTATGAATCACATTAGCTGGTAGACAAGATGCTGAGCCATACCCTTTGCAGATCTCTCCCTCTAGAGTAGAAGCAGGACATCTGTGCTTGCCCCAACTCATTCCCTGCTCTACCCCTCCAGGCAGGAGAAGTTTTGGCAGGGAGCTGGCTTTGAGCCCAAAGGATTGAAATGAAATTTGCCTTTTATTACTCAGTTTCCAGTATTTTATTAGCAAGGGAAGAATTGAAGTTTGTGGGGGTAGAGAAAGGCAGAAACACGGAGAACTTTGGAGTTTCTCTGGCCGAACACATCAGATTTCCAGATTCCCAGGCTTGGGGTATAGCCCTCCTTCATCAGCACCAGCCCATGTCTTCACTGTCCAGCCTAAGGTTTTAAGAGCCGTGAAAGATGTTCCATCTCAATCATAAAGACCACCGGATTTCCATTAGCTTTTTAGTATCAATCCACATTAAATCCCTGTCTCCTGGTAGTCTTTCATGTTTCGGTAGGTGTACAGTCACTGCTATATTTAAATCTGTATTGGGTAGATGTTTGTATATTAACGCTTTTAGATGCTATTTCAGTATGTCATTTGTCTTCAGTAATCTAACTCAAAAGCGAATTTAAGTGTGATGTTCTTTTAAAGATCACTCAAATGTGATAAAAGGTGTTAGATGGTGGGTTTAGCAACAGGAATTTTGATTTTAAAAAAGTTTTCTACTATATTATGGTGGATTATTCTCTGGCATTTTACCTTATTTACCTTAGCTGTTGAATGTAGATCCATAAAAATCAGCATGACAATAAGCCAGCAGAAAGGTAGAGACAATCAGGGGAAAATGTACAGAGATTTTTCAACCATCCAGTAAATCTCACAGAAATACTTATCAATTCATTAGCCCCTCTTAGTCACACAGAATATCCTCACCCATTTATTAACTTTTGGGCATAGGCACAATTCTAAAAGTATCTTCCAACTAGGGATGATATATTAAATATGTTAAAGGGCTTTCTCCATTCTTTTAACATCTATCAAGGGCCTGTAGTAATGTTTGCCAATACCATTAACTTTTGCTAGCCTTATAATTTTTCCCCCCTTTTCAAATGGTTTACTTTTCTTTCTCTTAAGGCAAAAAGATCTGAGGTCATATGTTCATTCGTTTAACAAATACATAACTAGTGACCATCTAACCTGAGCCAAGCTCTGAGTTAAATGCATGGGATGTATCTATCAGCAAGGCCAGCTGCTTTCCATCCTCCGGAGGCTTGTGTGATAGTGAGAGAATATAGTTCACACACACACGTGGAGATGGATAACACAATGATCAATCAGAATTATTATGAAGGAAACAAATGAAGAGTGAAGAGAGAATAATGGGCTTGGGTCAGACTAAATAAGGGGGACATGGAAAGCTCTCTGGAGGAGGGTTCTGTCTCAGCCTGAAAGATGTGAAGGTCCGACTGTAGAAGGCAGATGGAGAGAGAGCACTCCAAATCAAGGAGCCAGGGTATGTAAAGGTTCTGGGTTGAGAGAAAGCTAAGCTCAGTCTGTTTGACAACTGGCAAAGACTAGTTGGCACTTTATAGATGTGGAGAGCTTGAGAGTGGGCCTCTGAAACAGTGGAAGGGAGTTCAGATTTTATTTCTGATGCAATGAGGAGTCATAAAGGGGTTTTAAGTGAGGAAGGGACCTATGTGATTGGCTTTGAGAAGAGATAGGAAAGCAAGCAGTGTGGAGAATGGACTGAGGAGGGCAGAGGCTACCAGGTAGAAGGCTGCTGTCTCAGCAGTAGGGGAAGATGATTGGAGTCTCTCCTAGACTGGCAGCAGTAGGGGATACTGATGAGTTCAGGCTTGGGGACAGGATTGAAAGAGAAATCAAAAGGGCCTTCTTAGGCAAAAGAGAAGGAGACATATCTGTGGGTGCCACCTTATAGCAGGGAGAACTGGGGGGAAAGGCTGTAGCTGCCCTTATTAGGTAGGAACATTGTTTTATAAAGGACACAGAGCATAGGCAGTTTTCTTGACAAGCTGATAATATAATGGGATCATATAGTGCTTACGTTACTTGAAAGTGTGAGATTATATGAATCTGTGCGAATATGAGTATTGGTTAAAAATGGAGTTGGACCTCTGTATCCATGGGCTCTGCGTGTGTGAATTTCATCCACTGTGGATCAAGAATATTTGGGAAAAAAACCATAAAAAGTAATACAACAATAAAAATAATGCAAATAAAAACAATATGTTAGAATAACTATATAGCATTACATTGTGTTAGGTATTATAAGTAATCTAGAGATGATTTAAAGTTAATGGGAGGAGGTGGGAAGGTTATATGCAAATACTATACCATTCATATCAGGGAATTGAGCAACTGCTAATTTTTGTATATGCAGGGGTCTTGAAACCAATCCAAGGGATGACTGTGGGTTTGTGTGTATATATGTGTATATATGTGTATACATACATACATGTGTATGTATGTATATATGTGTATATATACACATATGTATATATGTGTATATATACACATATGTATATATGTGTATATATGTGTATATATATACCTTTCTACTGGTTTATTGTCACATATGTATATATATAAACATATATGTATGTATACATATATGTGTATATATGTGTATGTGTGTATATACATGTATACGTGTCTATATACATGTATACACATGTATGTGTATGTATGTACACACCTATACACACATACACACATATATATGTGTGTATATACACACCACACACACACACACACAAACACACACACACACACACACCCCTATTCAGTAAGACTGTATTTTGAACAAATATGCCAGGGCTTACTGATGCCCTTTCAAGTAATTTTTGGAAAGGAAATAATTTTTCAACAATGTGGGGTGTTTCTTTATTTTTGTATATGATTTCATTATTTATAGGTCACATGCCCAGTGTTTTCATTTTTGAAGTTGTATAAAAATACAGATCAGTTGATATGAGCATGTGATGCAGAATCTGTAACCTGAGAGTCATGCCGTCTGAGTTCCAGTCTTACATCCATATCCCATCAGGTGTGAAATGACTTTACCTCTCAGAACCTCAGTTTTCTCAGTGACATAATGAGGATAACCGTGGCACCTTCCTTATGGAGTTGTTGTGAGCATGGATAGTGCTAGTTATAGCCAGCCGTTAGCCTGAGGCCTGCCATGCAGAAAAGCACAATAAATGTTAACTGATAATAGTGAACATTTCAGAATTAGAAAGGTTTCAAGACATAGTCTTGTTTTACCCTCCAGTTTTAGAGATGAGAAAACCAAAGCCAGATATTACATGGCACGTATCACACAGCTGGTTAGAGACACTCCCAGACATGGGGACCTTTCCCTTTGCACCTTTAATGATTGCTCTCTAAGGTTCCTTTTCACTTTTTTCCGGTAGAATTGATTCCATGGGAAAGAGGAACTTCTAACAAAGGTAGAAGAGGAATGGCATATCACCAAAATGCTTAGACTGTGAATTTGGACATCGAGTGTGTGGTGTGTGTATGTAGGTGAGCGAGAGAAAGAGAGAGATAATCCTAAAGAGAAATGTAAAACTCTAGAAAAGGGCACAAAAACAGACACAGTGTGGAAAGGGTGAGAAGAGACAGGATTTTTGAATGGAAATCTAAGCATCATTAAGAAGATAAATCAGATAAGAATTAAAAGTTCAGTATATTCTATAAAATTCATGATAATATATTGGATATCACTAAGATCCAGAATTCAATAATGGGCTGTACATTAATCTGAGAGGGTTTTATATCTCCTTAACTTTAACTTGATAACAAAACAGATGTTTATATTTGGGATGAGAAAAAAAGCAAAGCAGGATGAATGAAGCAAAGCAGAAAACAAAAAGTAAATTCACTTATAGTAGACTTAGGGCATCTCCTAGGACTTTACGTACATAATATATTACTCAGAAGAAAAGGAGTTTGATACAGCTTTGTTAAGAGCCTCGAAATGTGGATATTCAGAACATCAACATGTAGTCTAGGAAAGTTTTCAGTTTGGCTTCAAAAACCCTTTGACATGGATAGGTACAAAAGATTCATACATATATTTACATGTACAGGACACTTGTTGAATTCATTCAGAGGAAATTCTTTGTAGGAAGCAGATGTAGAAATGTAAATTGATGTGCTTTTAGAAAGAGAAAGAAGAGGCCAGGCACAGTGGCTCATGCCTGTAATCCCAGCACTTTGAGAGGTCGGATCATGAGTTCAGGAGATAAAGACCATCCCTGCCAACATGGTGAAACCCCACCTCTACTAAAAAGACAAAAATTAGCTGGATGTGGTGGCACTCACCTGTAGTCCCAGCTACTTGGGAGGCTGAGGCAGAAGAATTGTTTGAACCCGGGAGGCGGAGGTTGCAGTGAGCCAAGATTGCGCCACTGCACTCCAGTCTGGGCAATGGAGCAAGACTCTGTTTCAAAAAAAAAAAAAAAAACAAACAAAAAAGGAAAGAAGAAAAGGGAAAATTAAGTATAGAGTAACCAGGAAGGAAAGGTGTGAAATCAATGAATTATCTAAATTGGAAATAGAATTACGTTGTTAAAAACAAACTGAAGCAATTCATCTTGGTATCTGTCCTGCAAAATGAATGTCTATTATGTGCAAAGAACTGTGTTAGGAGTCTTGAGGTATATGGAGATGGAATAACCAGGGAGCTTGCCTCAGAGGAGGTCACAGCCTTATCTGTTCACCTGTGCAGTGTTCATTGAGCATACATGGAATGGACTATATCATTTCTATGTCCAATCCAAATCACAGACTCTGCTAATCAATCCCAGCACTCTTTCTACCTGATGCTCAGTTACTATGGTGATCAGTTGGTTGCAGAGTAATTCTTACTTGCCTTCTGGGCATGTGGCCCAGTTCTGCCATAGAAGCAGATTGGTGGGTATTGTTTGCTGTAATATCTTGGGTACTTGCCCCAGAATTCAGTGCATAGTAAGGGTTTGTATTAGTCCATTTTCATGCTGCTAATAGACATATCCGAGACTGGACAATTTATAAAGGAAAGAGTTTTAATTGACTCACAGTTCAGCATGGCTGGAGAGGCCTCAGGAAACTTATAGTCATGGTAGAAGGGAAAGCAAACATGTCCTTCTTCACGTGATGGCAGGAAGGAGAAGAATGAGAGCCAAGTGAAAGGTCAAGTCCCTTAAAACATGAGGTCTTGTGAGAACTTACTATCACAAGAATAGCATGAGGGAACAGCCACCATGATTCAGTTACCTCCCACTAAGTCTTTCCCACCACATGTGGGGATTATGGGAACTACAATTCAAGATGAGATTTCAGTGGGAACACAGCCAAACCATATCAGGGTTCAATATTCAATTCACTTATTGAAGTAAAACTTATCTTCTTTTAGTCATTTATTCTCATTTCATATTAAATACTCAATGTTGTTTCAACACTGATCTTCAAGTTACTCTGCACTTGTATATACTTCATATCCATGCATATACATGCAAAATTTAACAATCTTAATATTACTTGAATATTAAAGTCAAAGGTTTTGCTGACTTTGTGTAACTTACTAAGGCTAATAAAATGTACTTGCAGGCTGCATGAGATGGCTCATGACTGTAATCCCAGCACTTGGAGAGGCCAAAGCTGGAGGATCACTTGAGCCCAGGAGTTTGAGACCAGACTGGGCAACATAGTAAGGCCTCATCTCTACAAATGTATACATATTGGCTGCCATGGATATATACAAATATATATATTAGCTGACATGGAGGAGCACGCCAATAGTGCTAGCTACTCAGGAGGCTGAGGTGGGAGGATCCTTGAGCCTGGAAGGTGGAGGCTACAGTGGGCCTAGATCATGCTACTGCACTCCAGCCAGGGTGACAGAGTGAGACCCTTTCTCCAAAAAAATAGATATAAAAAATAAATAAAATGTTCTTATTTAAGCATAAAAAATAAGATGTATATCATTTCTGGAGAGTAACTTAGTATGTAAACTTGTTGAATATGAATGAGGTTCATATCATGGGGAGTTTATTAACAAGTAATAGCCTTGTGAAGTTGTAGAACATTTCCAGGGCTGGGTGGAAAGGGGGAGGAAGTTATTTTAATCACTTGCAGAAGCCATTTATAGACCTGTCAACTTTTCTGCCATGAAGATTATCACTTAATTGTAAGATAACATGATTTGCTATTTAGATATCAGAGATAGAAATGCGTAGGCTGGGATCAAAGTGGAAATCAATTATCTAAAGGTCTGGGTACTCATTAATAAAGTTGGTGCAGCTGTGTGCCTGTCAGCCTCCCCTGGGTTGGGGTCTATTTTAAAAACATTGCGTGGGCTGAGTTCTCTGGCCTGTGGGTCAGAGAGGATGGCCACTTGTAAATCTAGATGGGATCGCTTGTGTAATTGGGAGATTGCACAAGTAGAAGCTAGTGATAAGGTACCTGATCTCACCAGGCAGGCCTGAAAAGTCCTAGAATACTAGAGAAGAGTGTCCAAGGGCTCTCTCCCTTGCTTGCCTGCATTTATCTTGAAATTTCACAGGAAAAATGGCAGAGATGGTGGTTAGAACAAAGGCCACTAGTTACGGAAGCGCGCACCTCCCTGCAGGTATTAGCTCAAAGAGGAGGAAACTCACAAGCCAGTTGGTGAGTAGATATGATAAGAGGGCACATTTCAGGTCTCCTGAATTTTCACACTAGGCTTTCTGAAAATCCCCAGATCTGGCATGGGGAGAAGGATTGGGGAAAATTTCTTATGACTCACATTGAAGATCCATTTGGCAGGGACATTGTTGAGGTAAATGTGGTAATACTTCAGCATTTATGAGCGTGTGCTGTGGATTGGGTTGACTCTGGCTTGAATCTGAGTTCTGTTGTGAATCAAATTCTGTTGGTTGATACTCATGTGGGTTTTATATTTCCAAGGTTTGGTTTTTTGATTTGAAAAACAGAGATGATGATAGCAACCTCAGGTATACAACTTCTATAGAGCTTGTATGGGATATGTGTCCAATAAACGGTAGCTGTTTGTTATGACAGTGGTAGTAGTTAGAATTCCATGAGAGATCATGACTTGTTTGTTTGTTACTGTATTCCCTAACTTCAAACACATTGTTTATATCAGACTTCCAACTGGAAGAGAGGGTACACTCAACTGAGGCTGCGCTCCAGAGAACTTCTTTATAAAGGGACGATATAGAGAGGCACTGGTGGGGTTTAGAGGAACCACAAGGTTAGTACAGGAACCTGGGGATGGTAAGCAGTGGAGTTTTAAAGACTCAAGCCCAAAGGGATAAGGTGAGGGAGTGGTACTGCAACACAGTAGGAGAGATGTTTGGGAAAACAGAGTACTTTGGGAGAAACAGGAGATCTCTGTGATTGGGGCCTTGGTCTGATCTTTCTGCTAGATCAGACCAAGTTCTTGTTTTTCCTCTCATTTGGTATCCTTATGAAGCCCTCACTGGCCAACTTGCAGGAGAAGCCAGAACACCAAGGGGCCTGTCAGTGTAGTCCACATAGATCAGCCTTCTGCAGCACAGAACAGAGAAAGAAGGGGAGGAAGAGATTTGAAGGAGCAAATGGACTGTCACAGTGTTTCACACAAAGAGGCCTCTCAATAAACTGTTCTGAATGAATAACACGTGTCATGGGTAGTTGGATTAGATTGTTTCTTCAAAGCATTGTTTTTTTAGTGTACTCACTGTGTGTTAGCTGCTATACCAGAAGGAACAATGAATAAAGCCAAATGCAGTCCTCCCGAGTGTCTCTACTCCTCCCATTTTGTAAGTACATTACATATACATACGTGTGTGTGTACATATATATATGTACACACGCACACACATATATATACACAAACACATACACACATATGTATATATACACTTTTTTTTTTTTTTGAGACAGTGTCTTGTTCTGTCGCAATGGCATGATCTTGGCTCACTGCAACCTCCGCCTCCCGGGTTCAAGTGATGCTCCTGCCTCAGCCTGCTGAGTAGCTGGGATTACAGGCATGCACCACCACACCTGGCTTATTTCTGTATTTTTAGTAGAGATGGGGTTTCACCATGTTGGCCAGGCTGGTCTCAAACTCCTGACCTCAGGCGATCCGACCGCCTCAGCCTCCCAAAGTGCTGGAATTACAGGCGTAAGCCACTACGCCTGGCCTACATGTGTATTTTAAAAATTAATTTGCACAATTTCCCTCTAAGGTAGGCTTTATTACCACCATTTTACAGAAAAGATATCCTAATCTCTGAGAGGTTAACAGACTTGTCCAAAGTTGTACAGCTGGTAAGAGAGCAAAGTGGGAACTCTAGACCCTGGCTGGCTCTTCATCTCCATCTTGCTCCATGACCTTTGGAGGTCAGCTTCTTGGAGTGGCTGCTGGATTTCTCCACAGAGTGGATTGTGCAGCTGGTTTAGCATGCATTTCCTTTGAGCTAATGGTTGAATGAGTTCAGTATATAATATTGTAGATTGTTTCAGCTATATCTATTCTGTAAGAGACATGCGTGAGAAGCATTTGGGAACTTACTAAAATAGAGAATTTGGAGGGCCCCATCAGATCTAATATGTGGGTTTTGACCCCTAGCAAGATCCTCAGGGGCTAGTTGTGTGGCCAGGCTGACAGTGGACTCTGCTTTCATGAATCACTGAAAGCTTGGACTTCTCATTTTACAAATTGGGGGAGCAAAGTCGAGAGAGTCAGTAATAGTGGCACATCAAGGCTAGTTGGTGTCAAACATGGGTATTTTTGTTGTCAATAAATCAAATCAATGCCAAATAAGAGTAACATTAGCTAAGGAGTATAACCTAAGGATGGGTGCATAAAGCTTATTTGGCTGCATTGCTCTTTGGTAGACATGCTTCTGATGGCTAAATGTGAATTAGATGACACTTTGATTAAAGAAGATGCAGTCTAACAACTTATATTGATATAGTGTATAGAACAAGGGGAAGCACTACTCCCCATATCTAGATCATTTTTGCAGGCAGGATGCAGGATAATGGAGCTGACTTGAAGTCACTTATTTCAGATGAGCATGGGCTGTGTTATAAGAATAGGTATCCAAGGATGAAGAAAGACACAAACATCAGGGAAAACAGAAGATTCAAGTATTTTTTTTTGAAAGATAGACATTTTATTAATGAACCTGGTTTTAGGGCAGATACTTGCTAGCTCAAGAAATAAGCCTTTCTGAGCATAATTGCTACAGGGACTGTTGAAGACGGCTAGTCTTCAAACTGGTCTGGTGTCTCTAGGAGGTACATAAATTGTTGTTTTAAAAAAAATGTAGGCCAGGTGCAGTGGTTCATGCCTGTAATCCCAGTGCTTTAGGAGGGTGAGGCAGGAGGATCACTTGAACCCAGGAGTTCAAAGCTACAATGAGCCATGATCATGCCACTGCACTCCAGTCTGGGCAACAGAGTGAGACTTTGTATCTCTCTCTCTCTCTGTCTCTCTCTCTCTCTCTCTCTCTCTCTCTCTCTCTCTCTCTCTCTCTATATATATATATATATATATATATATATATATATATATATATTTTTAGTGCATTTCTGTTAATGGAAGTGAGAATTCAGACAAAACTAAGTCGTGGATAGGAATATACTCATGTAACAAATATTTTTAAGTGTCTCATTCCAGGTTGAATGAGAATCCAGTGTATTCTCATTCAGTAGTATACTATCACTACTGAAGTATAATGATAGATTATAAATTATTTTAGCAGCACTTGCAGTGGTCTGCTTAATCCACTAAACTTAAAGTGGGCACTGGCGTTCTCTCATGATTAGAGAAATGAAGTTGACAAAGGAGGATTTCTTAGGTAGCTGCTGAAGCACTGACAGCAGTGATTGGGTTTCTCTACTCATCATTTGAAAATCAATTCAAAAGACTCTGTGTTGGTATTAAAACACATTAATTCTTTACTCTTTCAACGATATTTTAGAATTCTCTATAATATGTTTAATGAATCAGAGTATATAACACATTTGCTTTTTTTCTCCTTAAGGAACAGCCTTTTCACAACTTCTCCCTAAGTTTGTATTTATTGAGGTTACTCAGTCTCTTATAGAAAGATAATTCAGAGACTGTTATTAAGACAATGTCTTTGACTTTAGAATGAGTTTATGTCTTTAAGGATAGTTTTCAGCAAATGAGCCAACCATATGTTAAATCAAGTTTAACATCCATTATGAAACACTGAATCATACTTTATATTTCAGTAATGATAACAAATGATCGCTTATCTCATGTGCTTCTCATTTGTACTACTTCTCATCAATCTTGCTAATACTGCAAAGATTTATGAAATGAACAAGTGTCCAACTGTAACTGTTAATATTAATAGCTTCTTTTTATATTTTCTCTCACTGGCTTTCTTTTCCGTGCTTGCTTAAGCCTACTTTAATATAGGCTTTAAAAGTAATAGTTTTTCTTACTCTGAAATGATAATTAACAGAAAACTAGGAAGTCAGTAATAAAATTATTTTAATGAAACTGCACAATTATACCAGCCCATTACAAGGCATAGGATTGCTCTGTGCTCAGCACTAGAAGCCAAAATCTTTTTTTCACTTGTGTAAAACAGTCCATTTTAAAACTCTGGAAACATTTCAGATCCCTTATGACTTAAAATTGCTACTTGTGCAGTAAAAGTTAAAATCACTTGAGTAAATTTGTAATTTAATCTTTAAAGTTTAACTAACATTTATTCTTCCCTTCTAAATGGTTTCCTGTTGGTGTAAATTGTAACAAGCTGCCTCTATCTTTTTCTAGACTTCACTGTGGGTCTTTAAGTCAACATTCCAAACTCTCCCCAGCCAAAGTTTCTAGAAGAGATTTCACCAGATACTTTTTTCTCTGAGGCTCTGAGTGTCTATCTGTCCTTCGTGTCCTGAATTGAATGTTTTCAGGAGGGGCTGCTTTTTCCCATAAAATGATCTCTTAGAGGTTTAAACCCCTCCTCTGTTCTTGTGGCTAGACACTGTTTACCTAACTCCTAGATTTTTACCACCACCTCCTGTTCGAGTTCCAAGACGTTCATGTTTCCTCATGGATTCATGTATCCTGAATTCCTAGCAAAACAAATCTTGCCCAGTCTTTCTGATTCCTAGTTTTATTTCATGAACTCAAATGTTCCCTGAGGGCCGGGATTCAACACAAATTTGTTTTACATTTCCCACAATTCCCTGCTTTGCCCCAGACAACACGTATCATAGGATCTTATCTGTTGATGTGGTTGTAAGCAACTCTTTGTTAATGACAAACATTATACTAATATAATGTTTTTATTAGAATGCTGAACACTTCTTTCTAGAGTAATTAGCAGTACATTTGAGTTGACAGTTGTGTGTTGCTTTCTAACGTCTCTTTTATTATCTCTAGGCGTTTTTTTTTAGTTGCAATTTCTCTTCTGAAGAAAAGAAAACTTTTGTGCATTCTCTCATTTCTTCTATCACAATTTAAGATTTGCAAGTGTAGTCTGTTTCATATTTCTCACAATACTTAGGAAAGCAGATTATACTTAGCAGGCCTGATAAATTATCCTTGGTTTGAGCAAAGAGTGAAATAAACCCAAATATATTATTTCTTAGTTGACTGTAGATACAACATTGTGAAATGTCTCATAGAATTAGAGGCATAGAGTTTCAGAAAGGGAGGCTTGGAGAAGGGATATGACTGATAGGATCACAGGTTTATTTCATACATAGTTGTTGGAGTGGGACCAAGGGATGGCACTGTGACATTAGGCACAGGGCTAATGTGTGTGTGTGTGTGTGTGTGTGTGTGTGTGTGTGTTTGTTTTGTTTGTTTGTTTGTTTTTTGAGACAGAGTCTTGCTTTGTCTCACAGGCTGGAGTGCAATGGCATGATCTCAGCTCACTGCCACCTCCGCCTCCTTGGTTCAAGGGATTTTCCTGCCTCAGCCTCCTAAGCAGCTGGGATTACTGGCACGCACCACCACGCCTGGCTAATTTTTATGTTTGGTAGAGATGGGATCTCACCATGTTGGCCAAGCTGGTCTCAAATTCCTGACCTCAAATGATCCACCCACCTCTGCCTCCCAAAGTGTTGGGATTACAGGGATGAGCCACTGTGCCCGGCCTGTACACATGTATTTTCAAACTGCAGTTGACTGCAGGTAACTGAAACCATGAAAAGTGAAACAGCAGATAAAGGGGGAAACTATATTGGATTGTTATATACATTATTATAGTCATATTATCGATTATATATAGATCACATTTTACTTTAGTAGCATTAATATGTAACAGATAATTACTACTAATAATAATGTTGGACATAGGCTTCTGTCTTCTTACAGCCTTGATTGCTGAGGCTAGTGAACCATTATAGGGGTAGTTTAAATTGCCCACTTCTTAAATGGTTTAGTAGAATGAAGACATGATCAATGATTTAAAAAAAGTTTTTTAAATGAAATCACAAGAAGATTTCATGATTCTTTAATTATCTTTTGAGGGTTTCAGGAGGTCAGGCAGAGAATGAAACTCTTAAGGCTCTCTTATGATTTTGTGGAGAAAGCCTTTTAAAACTCATTGCACATGATATAAACCTAAAGGCAAAATTTGGGAACTGCTATGTGAAGACTGATAACAGTGTAAAGTTGTTCGCTGCTATGTGAGCAAATGGTGGAAAAAAAAAATCACTTAGCTGAGATATAATTAAAGTAAGAATTAATAACCTGAGACATTTAAGTAACTGATAGTCCCCAGGACCATCTTTAGGATCCTGCAGAAGAGAGAATGAGTGAGTACCTGTCTTGAAACTTGCTAGTTTCCAAAACTTGCCTATTGCTGAAGATGATATTGAATATTTTAAAATAGGCTGTTCAAATACTTCCTTTAAAAAATGCTGTTTAGAATGTTTCCCATTTGATCCACAATTAAGCTTACATTCTCAACCCTACAGTAAATTTTTATACTCCAGTCCTCGCTGCTGTCGTACTCTTAATCAAATAGGAAATTGCTTCCCTGGGTTTGGCCAAGTTGGAGCAGGAAGATTGTGCTTCATCAGCATAATAATACCTAAAATTATGCCTTCCATGGTGAAACCTAATAAAAATATGCAGGTGCCCTGCATGGGACTATGAATTTCAGTTCAGTGAAGTTTTATTTATAATATCTTTAACCCTGCCTCAGAATCAATTCTGGCTTTGTTAAAGATTTCATGCTTAGCAAATAACTACTACGTGCAGGCACTGTGCTGATCTCTGTGGAGGAAACTGAAATGATTAAGGCCCAGTTTCTGCTGCCAGAGAGTTTACTGTCCAGTTGGGTGGACAGACAGGCATACATCAGGCAAGACTACATGCTCATTGTGCTGTATATTGTGGGAATGCTGAGATGGGAGAAATTGATTTTAATGAGAGGACTGGAAAAGGTTGGTGGAAGGTGTGATGTTCAAGCTGGGCCTTGAAAGTTTAAACTATTAGAAATGTGGTAACAGTGCCGTAAGCTTCAGGAATGTTGATTAGGCTGATTTTTTAAGCAGGGAAGAAGCAGCTGATGACTGTGATACCAGAAAGGCAGGGTAAGGACAGATTTCACAGGACCCTAAATGCCATTTGATGGTATTTGGGCTTGATTCTGAAAGCACTGGGGAGCCAGTAGAGTTTTATAAAAAGGAAGTCATGGAATCAAGTATGTGTTTAATGAGGATAAATGTGACAGCTCTGTGGTAGATTTGATTAGTGCTACACTGGAGGGACGGTTGAAGTTTTAAAACTGGGAAGGGAAAAAAGCCTGAAGAGGTAGAAATTGAGTCACCAGTACTCAATGAGTGGTTAGATGCTGACCATAGGAGGCAAGTATATGCCAACAGTTTATTTCCAGGTTTCTAGCACAGGTGAGTCTTGATTTCCTTACCCGACACGATGACAGTACCCATACAGGGACAAAATTAATTCATAGAAAACCTTGTTTCAAAGAAACAATAAATATGCAATACCCCTCCCATATATCCTGGATTTTATAATGCTGTTAGTTGTAAGTACACCACTGATTTCATATTTTGGAAAAAATGAGTGCTTCCATATTAAACATATCAATTACAAGATGCATCTTCATTTATTTATGTTAAAAACATAAAATAGGCATCTTAAAATTAAAGAAATATAGGCTGGGCATGATGGCTTATGCCTGTAATCCCAGCACTTTGGGAGGCCAAGGCAGGCAGATTGCTTGAGGTCAGGAGTTCGAGACCAGCCTGGCCAACATGGTGAAACCCTGTCTCTACAAAAAATAAAAAATTAGCTGGGCATGGTGGCAGGTACCTGTAGTCCCAGCTACTTGAGAGGCTGAGGCAGGAGAATCACTTGAACCTGGGAGGGAGAGATTGCAGTGAGCTGAGATTGTGCCATTGCACTCCAGCCTGGATGACAGAGTGAGACTCTGTCTCAAAAATAAAAAATAAATTAAAAATTGAAGAAATAGGGTAATGACCCTGANGTTTTTTTTGTTTTTGTTTTTGAGATGGAGCCTTCCTCTGTTGCCCAGGCTGGAGTGCAGTGGCAGCATCTCAGCTCACTGCAACCTCCGCCTCCCACGTTTAAGTGATTCTTCTGCCTCAGCCTCCCTAGTAGCTGGGATTACAGGTGCCCGCCACCACGCCCAGCTATTTTTTTTTTGTATTATCAGTAGAGATGGAGTTTTGCCGTGTTGCCCAGGCTGGTCTCAAACTCCTGACTTCAGGTGATTCACCACCCCCCCCCCCCCGCCGCCCCCACCTCAGCCTCCCAACATGCTGGGATTACAGGCCCGGACCCTGAAGTTCTTAATATTTACTAACTTCTAGTTTATTGCCCAAGCAAGTAATTATAGGAGGTATGTACTTTCTAATATTAGCATTCGTTTCTTATTTTTGTTAATTCACTGTGTGACCTTGGGCGAGTCACTTTACCTCTGGGGAGACCAAAGATTCTAAAGTAATTGAAGAAAGCACTGTAGGAAGCTCCTGACAGTATTATGCCTCCCTACTGTCAGTCACCCCTTGACATATTCCATCATTCAGATTAAAATAAGAGATTACCAAAACGCTACCTATATTTGAATTTTAAAAGTTAAATTTAAAAAATTAAAACAGGGCCGGGTGCAGTGGCTCACACGTATAATCCCAGCGCTTTGGGAGGCTTAGGCAGGAGGATTCCTTGAGGCCAGGAGTTCAAGACCATCCTGGAAAAGACCCTGTCTCTACAAAAAAAAAAAAAAAATTAAAAATGAGCTGGATATGGTGGTGTGCACCTCTGGTCTTAGCTACTCAGGAGGCTGAAGCAGGAGGATCGCTTGAACCCAGAAACTGGAGGCTACGGTGAGACATTATTGCACTACTGCACTCCAGCCTGGGCAACAGAACAAGACCCTGTCTCTAAAAAATAAGATATCAAAATACATTATAACACCTTGCTGTACATTCACGATTACTGTGAGGTTTGTTAAAAGATAAATAATATCCTTGGTCTCAAACTCACCGCTTGGATCATCAGCATTTTGCAAGAATGGAGGTCAGAATCCCATCTTTTAACAAACTCCACAGGTGATTCTGATGCACAACCAGACCTGATTTTCACTGGTGCCTGACAGCCTCATGGATATCCTAAGGCATCTGGGTACTGACCCTGCAGTTGGTGGTCTTTCTTCCTCCTTGAACATCCTGAAGGTTGTACAGAGGAAGCAGGGGATTTTTTTTTCCTTTTCACTGGTGGCCTCTATAGTCCTACATCTTCTTAACCTTCATCATCTACCCTTGCAGCCAACTTTTTAATGGAATCAGCTCATCTGCATTCTCTGCGCGTCTGTTCATCTGGACCCTCAGCATTGGCAAGTTGTTGGTTCTTCATCATTTGCTTTGTTACAAGTTTAATAAAAAAAGGCACGACTTAACCATAATTCACATTTTTCCCAATTAACCATAGCAAGCTCCTAAATTCTTAAGAACATAAAAAATATAATTACCTAGGTGATAAACAGTGTCTTTTTTTTTTTTTTTTTTTTTTTTTAGATAGGAAGTAATAGACTTTGGGTCTGTCTGGATTTAATATTGACATTATAGTACAGGAATGCTAATCACTGAAGCTGTAATAAAAATAAAAAAATTTAAATCCTCTTTTCTATACAGTATTATATTCTAAATTTCAAATGGGAAAAGGCAATTTGAACTTCCATATTTTCTTTCTAGAAGTTTTTGCCATTCTGTAACCTATTCTACTATTTACCCAACTTCTTTCATTCCAAATACAGACATTTTAAATGTCTTCGGCTTGTAGGGCTCCCAGGCCGGGGAAGAAATAATCATTCCCTTCTGGAATTCAAGCCAACTACTGGAAATCTTATCAGCCATTTAGTCCAATGCATATTAAAATTTAGCAATTAATTATCTCTAGTTCTAATCCAGTAAGCCTGTACAATTAACATCAGGGATTCAGTTCATCTTTTTGCTGACTTTCTAATTTAAGGATTGGGACAGAGTGGATCTCCCTAGAAGATGTATTTAATAACAATTATTTCCTGTATTTAAATCATTTTTTTAACCCATGGTGCATTTTGTACAATATTTCCGTAACTTTTTCTAGAGGGGAGATTGTTAGCGGTAAATAACTCAAAAAATAGAAGGGAAATTTTGTTACTCCCCTTAATTTTTTTGTGTTTTAAAATTGTTAGAATATCAACATCACCTATGGCAGGAAAAAATTTTCATATCAACAGAGAAAGTCATTTGCGTCATGGTGTGATTTCTCAGTGCCTTGCTCTTCCTTCTTGGCCAATCTGCCTTACCTGCTTGCTTGATCCTTGGAATTGCTTTAATATTGGGGCTACTTTTTATTTCACCATTAGAGGATAGGTAGACTACATATTTAATTAGAAATGCCAGGAAGAGTTCATTCTTGAGCTTTAATTCATACTGTCTTGTAATGAATGAGGGGATTCTTTTTCAGAATTGTTCATGATGGGCTGTAAAAAATGAATTGTCTCATTCCTAGGTAAACAGTATCTCAAGGAGGTGAGAAAAGAGGAAAGTACATAATTTATGGAGAAGCAAGAAAAGAGGGGCTCTGAAGATGGGCTTTATGATTTTTATTGAAGGCTGAGGATCGAGTTCAAATGGTGATGCCCGCTATCGAGAATACTTTGTGCCACTGTTCCATGAGATGGGGCTCCAGCTTTTTCATATAAAAGTTACACACCACCTTTTCCAGGAAGCCTTTCTGGCTTTCAACTACAATATAATTCTCATGCTTTTTTTGTTTATATTTCTACTTTACTTACATTACAGCCTTTGTACCAACATGTGTCTCTTTCTCCAGAAGTTCTCCTAATGTCAGGAATGTCTTTGTATCTGTCTACTGCTTCTTTTTCTTTGTCATAACACCTTAGCATAGTACACTAGTCTATAGTTAACGCTAACAGATTTAATATGTCTAGGGAATGAGTGTTCATGACATCATTGGATGTTTTCTAATACACTTCCAATTTATTAAAGAATATTTGAAAAATGGAGAGAAATAAAGAGAAGAGTTAACATTAATTCAACTTCTCATCTATAACCATCATTAACATTTGAGTAAATTTCCTTCCAGTGCTTTAAAAAATTCCTATCTAAATGCATATATGCATATATGGATAGGTCTTTGTAGATTTATAATATATATGTATTATACATGCACATAATACCTATTCGTGTTTGTACATTTTGTGTTCTACTTTTTTATACTTTACTATGTCAATACTTTTTCATTTTATGAAGTATTGAAAACCTGATTTCTTAATGTCTTTCAAGTATTCACCTTTGTGTATCAGAATTTGTTCTCTCATTTAGTTTTTTACAGTTTTGTTATGGTTATACATAAAACTGTGACAAATGTTTTACAACTAATCTTTGTGTGGGTCTCTGATCATTACATTGGCATAAGTTGCCAGAACGCTATGAATAAATATTTTGATATGTAGGCCAATTTTCCCTTATAGTGACATATACCTGTGGCCTCTGAAGACTTGAATATAAATGAAAATACTCTGCCTATTTTTCCAACAAAATTACCGTTTTATTATTTAAAATCGTAGTTAATTGAATATAGTGAAGTTGAGTATTTTATCATATGGTAGTTAACCACATATATTTCTTATTCTGTGAACTACTCATGCTTTAAATTTAGTTTTCTAATAAAGGATTTGTACCATATTGATTTGAATAGCACTCTGTCTGAAGATGTTAGCTCTTCGTCTTTAATACTTTTTTCAATACATATTCTCCCTATTCTTTCACTTCATTTTATTGATAATGGCTTTGGGGAGCTGAAAGTTTTAATTTTCTGGGGCGTTATGTTTCATTTTTTCCTTTGTCATTTTGTTTTAAGATCTTTATACTTAAAATCTATTTTAATCCAGATAAAAGTTTCTTCTGTGTATAATATGGCTCAATTTTCTGCTCTTATTTTATTAATAAGCATGTGATTAATTTTAATATTTGACATGAGATGAGAAAACAATGTAACATATTTTCCTTAAATAGTTAGCCATTGTTTGTTGAAGAGCTCTTTCTTCCTAGAATCTGCCTTGCCAACTTTTATCAGACAGCGGCTTTTCAGTATACTATGATTCCTTTCTGGCCTCTCTCTTCTGTCAGTTGACCTGGATACCCTTGAATCAGTACACTTCCAACAATTGCTATTACTCTTCATTTTTAATTTTAAGGAAGATTTTTCTTTTTGAATAAGTTTAGCCCATCAGTGCAAGATTTCCCATGAGGCTGAGACAGGTGCATTGCTTGAGCCCAAGAATTTGAGACCAGCCTGGCAAAGACGGTGACACCTCATCTTTAGAAAAAATACAAAAATTAGCTGGACTTGGTGGCATGAACCTGTAGTCCCAGCTGCTCAGGAGGCTGAGGCGGGAGGATGACTTGAGTCCAGGAGGTGAAGAGTGCAGTGAGCTGAGATTGCACCTTCACTCAGGCCTGGGAAACAGACTGAGACCTTGTCTCAAAAAAAAAAAAAAAAAAAAAAAAGGATTTCTCTTGTTCTTCCTTATTTTAAGGGCCATTTCTGTGTATTAGTGTGTACAATTAATTGCCTGTTTACAAGAAACAATGGGAGAGTCTGTCATTCAGACAGAGCCAGGGAAGAGACCAGACTGTTTGAAAACATGATGCTATTGCTTATTTGTGTATCTGTGTGCTCATGATCTTAGGAGTTGGAGATTTTTAAATTCTAGTCGCAGCCCTGCTCCTAAGTAGCTATATAAACTTGATCAAGCTAATTAACCTTACTGGGTCAGAATTTTTAAAATAGGAATATTCATACTGTTTACCTTGTCTGATTATGAGGATTAAGTAAGTAATTTACATAAAAGGTTGTGCTTGTTTTATAATGTATTTTTTATTTTTATTTTTGTTTCTTAATTGTGGTAAGATACATATAACATTATATATATATATATATATATATATATATATATATATTTTTTTTTTTTTTTTTTTTTTTTTTTTTTTTTTTGGAGACGGGGTCTTGTTCTATTGCCCAGGCTGGAGTGCTGTGGCGCGATGTCGGCTCACTGCAAGCTCCGCCTCCCGGGTTCACGCCATTCTCCTGCCTCAGCCACCCCAGTAGCTGGGACTACAGGCGCCCGCCACCACGCCCAGCTAATTTTTTTGTATTTTTAGTAGAGACGGGGTTTCACCATGTTAACCAGGATGGTCTCGATCTCCTCACCTCGTGATCCGCTCGCCTCGGCCTCCCAAAGTGCTGGGATAACAGGTGTGAGCCACCGCGCCCGGCCCAATGATAAAATTTATCATTGATCATGTTTAAGTGTACAGTTGAGAAGTGTTAAGTACATTCACATTGTTGTGCACCCGTCTCCAAAACACTTTTCATGATACTGTTTTCCAATGCAGCTGTCATCGTAGAATCTTAATCTTCATGTACCAGTAGTCCTCCTTTGGGCCAAGATTTCTGATTTATGCATCGCTAATAGTAGGGTACAGTGACTGGCGCATAGTAGATGTAACACTGAATCCCAAAAGACTAACCAGTTAGTAGATTCACTGTGTATGGCCACACACACGTTGAACAGCTCTCTCTTTCTCATCCCCTTTTAAATAAACTGCTAAGCTGGCCTAACTGGGAAGAACATAAGCATTTTATTGGTAAGGTTTCTGTAGTACATGGATTATAGCCTATTCATTTATGCATTAAACAATTTATTGAATGCTTGGTATGTGTTTCATGCTGCTGTAAGTGTTGGGGATACAGACGTGAAAAAGACAGGATCCTTACCTTCACAGAGCTTGCGTCTTAGTAGGGAAAGGAGATAAGGAGCAGGCAAATAAGTAAATTGGCAAGATAATTTCAGAGTGCATTAAGTGCCATGAAGACTTACCTATTGGTAAGCAGACACAGAATTCATGGGTCAGGAGAAGAGGCTACTTGAGATTGGATGGTCAGGAAAGCCCTCAATGATTAGATGTTATGTAAGCAGGCACACTATAGACTACACTGTGGTTGACACTCAACAGATTGTCCATCTGAGCCAATCAGCCCATAGCATTCCATGGTCAGTGGTATTCGACTGTGAGTCAGCAAATGGCTTAAAGTGGTTCCATAAGGAGTAAAGGAAGGCCTTCTATGCCATAGCCAGGAAAGAGATTTTTTTCTTCTCTACTGTTAGAACATATCAAAGGCTGTGGCAGCCTTGATTGCTGCTTGCTTCCATCATGCTCCTATGTAAAGACTCACCCAGGAAGCTGGTATTTTCGTATGCTCTAGATGAATTTATGTAGTTTCCATTCTATCCTCATTCAAGTTAAAGTTGTTGCAAAACTAAAAGCATCATTTCTCAGATTCTCTTTTAGCCAGCTTCAAAAAAAGTCTTCTCCAATTAGATGTGTATATGTGATGTGTGGAAGGTGAAAGCCATGTGGAGGCCATATTTCAGCCCTCCTTTGGCTGTTTCTGCTGGTAAACGTAGCTGTGGCAATGTCCAGGTTCCCTGCAGTCGTGTTTTTCTGCCCACTCTCCAGCTTTCTGAGTTTTACGAAATGGTTGGGATGGCAGAAGCAGCAGTGGCAGCGCTATGATCAGGCTTCTGAAACTCGGGACCACAGCTACAGATAAGCATTCTATGGTTTCTTGCATTAGTAGAGTCAGTTGTAATGGTGACAAGTTCTTGATTTTACTATGGCTCCAAGACAGCTTCAGGAGGAGTGGCTCCTTACAAGTTCCATGAGGTCAATGGGATATTGTTCTGGGAGTCCTTACTGAAGGCTCTACCTAGAGTTGTACTTTCAGCCCTCCAAGTTATTTCTCCAGCACCAACTTTGCTGTATTAAATCTCCCCTGCTTAAAATATCTAGAATGGGTTCTGATTCTTGTACTTGAACCCAACTGACACATTGATGCTTTCATGAGCAAAGAGAAATAATCCCATACTTAGCTTCACTGAGCCACTTATCTTAGTGTGTGAGACAATAATTTCTCTTATGGTTTATGCCCGTTTTAGTTGGGATTTTCTACATCTTGCAATAGTAAGCATTTAAGAGATACAAATAATAGAGGCAAAAAAGGGCTAATCTGGAAAGCCCTTAAGGAACGGTGTTTCAGGCAAAGAGTTGGATGTTTAATTTGAGGTGTCTCTTAGATGTCAATGGGGAGATGCCTGGGAGGCCTTGGCTGTGCAAGTCTAAACCTTAACAGAAGGCTCGGTATGTGGATACAAAGCTGAGGTAGGACAAGAGCTAGTCTAGAGGCAGAGCCAAGATAGGGACCACTTTTTTCTTACTTCTTCAGTGGGTAGTTTGACAGCATTTCAGCTTCTTTGTAAATCAATAGTCTGTTCCTTTTGGACAAAAACACTGAATTTTACAGTAGCAAAGGACAGCTAATTATAGAGCTTTAAATGTAGTTTATTTGTGCAAAATGGAGTATAAATGAAAGGTATTTCTCAAATCACCATTGAAGGAAAGATAGCCCCAAAGAAATGGGTAATTACATTGCTGGAAGAAACTAATCTGCATGGGTTGGCATCATTTTTCTAGGGTGTCAGTAGGAGTCTATTATATATCAGTGGTTTTAGAGGGATCTCACTACCAACTTTTGTTGTTATTCTTTAACTGCACCTTTGGGTGAAAAGCATATGTTTGTCTTACCAGAGGGGCATTTTTAACTTTACACTTTGTTTTTACTCATTCCAGATTTAAGCTAGGACTTTATCCTTAGATACAGGACTGTATCCTTATATACGGGTATATGTGAATTTATAAGTGAATTTCTCTAACACTGATCTAAATTCTGAACACAGTCTTTGTAAAAGACTAGAAAAATCAATATGCGGTGACATTCTTTAGTAGAGAAACAACATATACTTTTTTTTTCTTCTCGGTCTATCAGATTACTTTTTTTTCTTCTTGGCCTATCAGATCACTCTGTAGTGTACTCAGTATTTTGTATAGTTCACCTCTGACAATATGGATGTATGAGTTACTTCTGACCCACGTCATTTTGGTATCTGTATCACAGGAGACTCTCCTAGGCTTTGGGAATTGTTTCATGGGACAGGCAGAGTAGAGAAACACTTAGCAGAGATTAGATGGGGTGTGTTCTGATATATATGGAATAGAAGATTTTAGTTACATAATTGAAACATGAAAAATTAAAGGCAATCATAAAGTCCTAAAGTGGGAAGAAATCTTGAGTGGTTTTTATGTCAAACCCCTTCCTTAACTGGGTAATGATGACCAGGTCTCAACCTTAATGGTAATTGAATTAAATCAATGAATAACTGAAATAACCATTATATGTAACACTTGGTGCTTATTTTAGATAATCTATTTCAAACACCTCTATGAAGTCATGTTAGTATGTCTGTTTTACAGATTAAGAAACTGAGGCTCGGAGGTGATGTAACTTATCCAAGAATGCACAGCTACCAAAGATGGAAACAGAATTTGAACTTACGTAAACTTGGCTCTGAATCACACCTGTTTTACATCACTAAGCCATAAACTGGTGTCTATTTGGTGATCTTTGGATTCATTAGGGTGAGAAGACTCTCTTACCCTGCTTTAATCACTCCTTAGAATCATTTTGTCCTGATCAGAAAGTATAAATGTTGCGAGGAATGTGGTGATTACTTAGTTCATCTTTGTGCTCCATGGAAGAAATTTTCAAGATGGTGAAATGAGTTGAGAGATTGTGACTTATTCTGAGCCCACTTACCCTGCTTAGAGATTTATACTGAATGTTAGTATATTACATGATATGAAATGTCCTGATGCTTAACCCAAAAATTCCAAATTATTTTGGAGGCAAACTTTTATTATCATTCTATGGAGGTAGCCCAACCCCCCGTGTCCTCATATGAGAGGACGCTGGGAATAGAGTGATGAAGAAGATTGTCCCTGGAACACAGGTTTCCTGTTTCCTTTATAGCCATAACATTGGGCTAATTTAGGCCTAACTGAGTGCGTGAATCATGGAGTATTTCTGATCGAGGTCTCGAAAAGAAAACTCCTTTACCTTCCAAGTAGTTTTTTGAGAAGCAAGTATCAAAGCACTCAGCTGAAAAATGCAAGTTTGGATTATTATTAACTTATTTAAAGAAAAGTGATTTGGGGAAGTACGAGAAATACATCATTGGTTTAATTTTGGCTGCTACTGTGGGTCAGTAGCCAACTAAGAGGAGAAACTGGGCTGTAAAGAAGAACTTCACCTGCAGAAAGGTCAGATTTATGCAGAAAGCCAGCAGGCAAAGCTAAGAACATGTCTTCCAGGGGCCTCAAGTTCCATTTTCACCTTTTCTTCTTGGTAAGTCTCAGTACTATAGGATACTTAGGTACACATAAGCCATTTTCTGCCGCATTTAAGGAAACCATTAACCACTTGCTTCTGTTATTCTCTTCATGTATATTCAGCCCCTTTCTCTGTTCTGCTTTGCTGGACCTGTTGGGATTTGGAGGCCTTTGGAACATAAACCCTAAGGGTTGTGATTCTTCTCATTATTTGGCCCAAGAAATATCTCTATTTACTCTCTCTTTAGGAATAAGCCAGACATGGAATTTTTTTTTCCGTTCCCTAAGACTCACTTATAGAGTAAAAGTGGGAAATATTTCACTTTTGGGATTGTGTTTTATGGAGTTTAATACCCTCTGAGATGCGTGAGATGACATGAAAAGTTCAAACACAAACTCTGCTGATAAATTCCTTGTGTGAATGACATTAACTGAAGAGCTAATATTTCTTACTGGGCTTTTATGCTGAAGTTAGAAAATCAGGCCCATTTTAATATATGAGATGGGGGAGAAAAAACTTCCTGGCTGAAACAGCATTTTCATTTTATCACTGTAATCTCTCTCTCTCCCTGCCCCTACCCCCGTCCCCCTCTTTTACAGCATCTAGAGCAGAATTAACTGTTTGTGAGGCTCTTTTAGTTAGGAAGCTCCCAGTTAGCAATGCAGAAACCAGCTCTGCTTATCTGGTGTGAAAAAGAAAATTACCAGATTAACAATGAGAACTCAAATCTTAGAAAAGAGAAGGAATGGCTGGGCATGGTGGCTCACGCCTGTAATCCTGGCACTTTGGGAGGTTGAAGTGGGCAGATCACTTGAGGTCGGGAGTACGAGACCAGCCTGACCAACATGGAGAAACCCCGTCTCTACTACAAATGTAAAATTAGCTGGGCTTGGTGGCGCACACCTGTGATCCCAGCTACTGGGGAGGCTGAGGTAGGAGAATCACTTGAACCCAGGAGGTGGAGGTTGTGGTGAGCTGAGGTCAAGCCATTGGACTCCTGCCTGGACGACAAAAGCGAGACTCTGTCTCAAAAAAAAAAAAAAAGAGAAGTAACTGGGACAGGATTAAAGGCCAAGAAATGCTAAGCACAAGGTATAATTTTAGCATGATCTGTCGAGCTAGGAGTCCCCTGTCCTTCAGGCTCTGGCAAGAGGGAGGGCTGTGGTCAGTAGCAGGAGCTGGTCATTTCCCATCCAAAAGAGTTTACACAGTAAGAATTCAGGCATAGGTGGGACACAGGGGTGGGTACTAGATAGGCATGAAATAAAAACAAAATGAATACACAGAAAAACTGGACAATGAACCCCTGGAGGGAGTGACATTACCTAACCTTTTGACTTAAATGGCTGAGAACCAACTTTTGAGCTAGCTTGAATTTAGTTGTAATCAAAGCTCTCAATAGTTGCTTCTGCAAGTACAGAATATTAAACTGTGTCTAAACCTCCCATCTGTCTAGTCAATTCAGAGGAACTCCCCCATACAACCCAAGTAAAAACATAATGCCTTATGATGGAAATAACCCCGAAGTGGACACATTGAATTAGCTTTTAACTTAACTGACATGACACATACGGTCAAAGTCAAGCAAAGCACTTTCCGGACCCATAAAACTGTATTGGATTAAGTTGACCAATCTGTCAAAGTAACCAAACTAACATATATGTGAAGATGAAACCTTGAAGAAAAGTTTAAAGAGGTTTTGTCCACTCTGAATGTCCTTTCACAGCAACCCCAGAGTAGTATTTGTTTCTTTGTTTCAAATTAAATGATTAAATCTGGTCAAACAGATAATGCCTCAAGGAAGCAAATTTAGACTGTCAACACTATTCTTTCCTGTATTTATAAAAGGTTGTATTGATAAAATATCTGCATATCTGCTGCCTGTTTTTAATATTCTTATGGATAGTGTTAAAGTAAATTAAAATGGAGACTAGGCCTGAAAGAAACAGATGATATCAGACCTCATAAGTGACCTAAACCTTGCTTGGCTTGCAAAGCTTAAGTGAAACTTAAGCTATTCCTTGCAAATGCCTATATTAAAGGAAAACAGAACTTAAGCCTGTCCAGTTGGAAGTAGCCAACAAACTTATGTATATATATTTAGTGACTTTCTAATGGGATAGAGCAAATAAGGCAATTATAGAGCTATAACCAGTCACATACTGACTTGCTTTACTTTTGTGACCTTCCTATAAAAGTCCACCCATCATGTTCCCTCTGTGGAGCTCGTGAATGACTTCCAGTTAGAAGCTGCCCAATGCATGAATTGTTGTTCGATCAAATAAACTCTTTAAAATTTTATCCTGCCTCAGTTTGTGTTTTAACAGTAGGTTATTCTGATAAGATTAGAATATGAATTGTATATCTGTATTTTAATTTTTTTTAGTTTTGTTTCCCCTAGATTGCTCATCAGAATGTATTTTTATGTGTAAGAAAAGCTATCTGTAACAGGATAGTTTACTGCAAAGTTTTATCTATGCACATGTGCTCTGGATGTGTAAGTTGATCCAACCATCACAAAAGAGTCCTTTGTGTACAAAAAAAAAAAAAAAAAAAAAAGAATTAAAGCTTTTAAAGGTTAAAATTTATTTAATCAAATGAGCCTTTTCCTAGGAAAATAGTGCCCAGATTGGTTGTCAAATGCATGTAAAATTCAGCTTTTTAAAACTGATTAATTCACCTATTATAAAACCACCGTGAACTATCACTGATCTTTTCTTAATTATATACAGACAATGGGAAGGCTTACAATAAAAAAGTTTCGTTTCCTTAAAGAGCAGTTTTCACAAGGAAGTTTCACATTTCTAAGGGATGCCAAATTAAAAAGGATAAAATACACTTTTGTTTAAGGTATCCATACAGAGGAACTGTATGATTGGAGCTGGATTCTATCCTCAAGGTTCTTCAGAGCCCAGATACTGGACGTTTCCTGCCGTCCATCAATATTGTGGCTTTTGGATTCACTCCTGAAAGGGAGAGACCAATGGGCGTACACTACATGCACCCTTTGGGAAGATAGAAAGGATAGGGGAGTCTCATCTCTTCTGGGAAGCAGCACTGTCCTTGGCTGGGCACCTCAGATTTTGTTTGATATACAACAGTACCCCCTTATCCACAGGGGATACAATCAAAGACCCCCAGTGGGTGCCTGAAATCACAGATGGTACCGAACCTAATTGCCATCAGTAGGAACGAACACATTTCTGTTCATGTCTTCCTTTCACAGATTTAATGCCTTTTCCATCTTAATTAAGCACTTATCATGAACTGTGGTTGAAACTTTTGCGGTTTGAGGTGTGAGAGCAAAACTAGCATGAATTTTTCTTTTTTTCCCAGTTTCATGGATAGAAGATTTATTCTTCCTATAGGTGTTGCCACCCTTAGCATATGACTTCTCTTTACTAAATCAGGAACTTTTGACTTTTCACTTAAAAGAGATACTTTGGGACTTTTCCTTGGCATATCCAAATTTACAGCATCACTACTCTTCTGTGGGGCTATCGTTAAGTAAGAGAAGAGTTACTTAAACATAAGCACTGCCATACCACAACAGTTGATCTGGTAACAGAGATAGCTACTAAGTATCTAACAGGTGAGTGGCATATACAGCCAGAATATGCTGGACAAAGGAAAGATTCCCGCTCCAGAAGAGACAGAGTGAGAGACAATGAGATTTCATCACACTACTCAGAACTGCTTGCAGTTGAAAACTTATGAATTGTTTATTTCTGGGATTTTCCATTTAATATTTTTGGACCATGGTTAACCAAGGGTAACTGAAAGCACTGAATGGGAAACTGCAGATCAGGAGGGACTACTGTAGAATTCTTTTCTCTGAAAATTCATCTCTCATTACTAATTTTCCTGCCCATTTTCTTTTTCTTCTTTTAATGTAATTTTGAAAGTTTTTAGAGTAAAAGTAAAATACTTCATGATGGGCTTTCAACTAAAAAAAAATCCACACTTTTTATAAATTTGGAGTCGGAAATTTGGGTGTGAAAGCTGCTACATCTCACATTTCTGTCTTGCTAACATATTTAATTATACATGGCAGAGCAAAGGAAGTTAGTTCAGGGTAAAGCTAATTAAGAGAAGTTTCTTTATAGGTACCATTAGCTGAGTAGTGACACACAGCTTTGGTGTTGCAATATTCTTATATGTTTCACCCTGATCACTAAAGTAGGCATAAAAGGTTGAATGAGGTCTTGTCCTCTTACATTTTAAATGTAATTCCTAGAAAAGTAGAGAAGCCACACATATCTCAGTCTCAAGAAATAAAAGTGTTTCTCTGTGATTTACTAAACATTCTGTTCTTTGTTGGCATAGAGCACAAAAACTGTATTATATGCAAAATTATCGAGAGATTTTGTGTGTGAGTACATGCATGCATTTATTTCTAAGTCCTGTAGAGTAACAATGAAATCTTACTGTCTCTGAAATAAAGTTGAGATGCATTTTAAAGTAGGGCAGGCAGCCTATACTCAGAACCAGTGAGTGCCTGGTACTTGAAAGAAACAAAGTCCTTGTTAAGTGAAGCCGTATCCTGGAGAGTTTTGTATCCAAACAATAACCTCAACATTGGTTGGTTCAGGGGAAATAGAATGAGTGATCTTAATTAAAAATTGCAATGCTCTACAGTACAAGTGTGAACGGTACAGAGCAGTCACCCAGCCAAAGGTTGAAGCACACAAATTATGCTTAATTGAGCTCCATTATTGTTGAGTTTTTATTTTATTTTAAAGTATACTAAAGACAGTAAGAGCTTCAAGAGAGGATATTAAACAACCATCATTGATCTTGAATTTAGCTGGTGGAATTTGAAAGAAACACTGCCCTCCTTTCTGAAGAGGAGGACCTCTGTTCCCATAGTAACTAAGTTTCCTGGATTCTTGGTGACTGAAGTGACTAAATTTGAACTCAACTTTGGCGAGGTAGCATTGTTCTGGTTTTTATTATGGATTTTTAAAAATTCTAAATTTTATCTGTCTTAAAGAGAAGTCTAAAAAACTTTCAGTTTCTCTTTCTGATCTCACCTTCTCTAAGGCCATTAATTGAATTTTGCTTTGTTTCATTGTTATTTTCATCTGAAGTTCTCATCTGTAATCTTTTGGTGATTGTTCTTCTAGTATCACTATTCACTGCATTGCAATTCTAAAAGATAAAAACCTCTCCCCCTCTTTCTCTTTCTATTCTATAAGCCCACTGATTGTTGTAAAAAAAAAAAAAAGTTTAATTCACTCTCTCTTCAAGACTTTTACATTGTGTGTTCAAGTCAGCTTTTTGCTATTCTGAATATAAAGTCACTTATAGTTGTTTGGAATGATTTGGGTCATTTCAAAGATAATTACAATCAAAGCACTGAATGCACACATTGAACACAAAATAGAATTCTTTATACCAAGCAGGTTCTAGCACAGAGTTGGTATTTAATGAACACTGGTTGATTGATGATGTGTTGACAAGGAGGTGATTTTCTTATGGCTACGTGACCACTCAGGGGTAACAACTAAAGGAAAAGTTATCTTTGATGCTACATTGTTTAATTTATAGTATACTGGTTTGATAGGACTTTTTTTCCTCCCCAAAATGAGTTCTGAGTTTTTGCCTGTGGCATGGTTTAAAAAGAGTCTACCTTCCTCACTCTTCTCAAAATCCTGGCCTCATGTAGGGGTCACAGACTTAAATTTGAAACAGAAATATGAGCCCATATCTGATAGGAGCATAGGAATTACTTCCTTTCTGCTTCAGAAGTGTCTATAAGGAGGGAAAGCAGATAAGCTTTCTAACTCAGAAAGTGATCTGCTTTTTAGAAGTGGCAATATTATGCACAAGCGACATGTAATTAAAATTGGTTGGAACTTAATATCCAAGTAAAGCACAAAGGAAAACATATTCCTGAAGCAGTGAAGGACATGCCATCCCAGAATATGCGAATTGGTATGTTGATTATTTCGAGCTGAAAACGTTGGAAAAAGTATAATTGCAGAGGGCTAACTGACCAGTCTTTTTCTACACGTAGCAAGCCATAAAGATTCTTTTGGGAGGGCTGCCTTCTCCGTACAAGGGTAAGAGAATATTCCTTATCAGTGGAGACTGTGATTAGGTGCTGCAATGTGTCTGAGCAAATAAACTTCCTGAAATAATCCTTACCTTCTACTTGTTTTACATTCATATAGCTCCTGGTCACTCCCATAGAAATTATTTTCCCTAGCCAGATCCCTTTTTATCCTGTCATTTCTTCACAAATTTATCGTGGTGTTTGTTTGTTTTTGTCTAAAACGTGTAAAAGCATGTTGCTTTGGTCACTTCTTTGAACTTCACTGTCTTGTGAAGATTCCCATGTATGTGTAAAATTAATAAAATGTGTACGCCTTTCTTTGTTAATCTGTGTTGTGTCAATTTGGTTCCTAGATCGGGCCAAAGAGCCCACATAAGAACTAAGGAGGGGAATAGGGGTGATCGTTTTCTCCCCTACAATATACAATGTGTTTATCAAGTAAAAACAAGTCTGTCAAGTCTAGAAACACAGCTGTCTCCTTTCCTGTGGTAGGGGGTAAAACTGAGAGAGAGCTGCCCAGAGAGGAGAACGTGCAAAGACCAAGGAGCTGGGTCAAGCAGTAAGCTGTGATGTGTTAGCTTTTATTAAAAAGAAGCAATGGGGTCTTAAGCTTCATAATTTCTATACTACAGGGGTAAATAATATTCATTGTCACATGTGCTCAGAAAGAAAAAGTCTAGGAATTATTTGACTTTCCACAACTCCCCCATATGGCACCTTCGCAAATGCATGGCATGTATGACTGGTTAAATGCACCAAATCTATAATTGTGATTTTATCAGACACGGGACTTGTGTGGTTTGATATGTAGATGTGTCATTTTTTTCTCTTTTATTTTGAAAATTATCCTGCACATTCTCTTTATGTTATTCTCCCTTGAATCCTGTAATGATGTAAGTGACAATGGTCTTTATGAGCCTAGGAATTAAAAAGATATGAAGCTTTGCTTGGGGAGTGTTATTGACATGGGTGACCTTGATTGTTAAGCAGTGCTTTATTACACATAAAGGTGAAGGGTTTTTTTTTTTTATTCTTATTTAACACTAATTTTCCAAAATAGCCAACTATGGATTTACAGATGCTTACTTTGTGCCTTCTTGGGGAGATGGTGATTGTGACTGGACATGCTGAGGAATGTGGAGGCTGTCTTAGAACCATAAGTAAGAACCCCCAGATCATTCTGGACTAAATGTTTCCAAAGTGATAGAAGTGAAAGCAGAAAGTGCTGGCTTACTCGCCCCATGTTGCATTTCTCGTTGCTTCCATGTCTCACCTGAACTTTGTCTTTGTTCCTTTCACACACCCTCAAAACTTTATGCTTCTGCACTAACTGGACTTCTGTGCAATGCAGCTGTAGTTATTATATTTAAGCAGGCTTTGCTGCTGCCAACATTGGCGGCCCTCAGCCTCAATCTATACTGAGCGTAGTGATTGAGATGTTGTTAGTTCTCAGGAAGTTATAATTTAGTTAAACTCACTCATTTGCCTAACACTTATTGAACACCTATTGTGTGCCAGGTATTGTATTGAAGATAAAGGTACGATTTAGCCATGATTTCTGTACTTCTGGGACTCACCCACCAAAAGGCAGCTTTTCTGACAGATTGTTGCCACATTTAACTTTGCCTTGGTGCATTCAAAAATTCTTTTGAAATCCTAGAGGAAGTAACAATTAAACTGATCCTTGAGCAGAATTAGACTTGAGTGAGGAAGGGAAGAAAGACATCCTAGCGAGAGGCAACAGCTGGTATAAAATTTCAGAGGCAAGAAAAAGTGACCTATTCCTGAAGGAAGTGGCTCAGTGTGCCTTGCGTAATTGTCCATGTGGGAGAGCGCTGGTTGATAAGGCTGGAAAGGATGGCAGGGGCCCAGGTAATGACAGACCTTGGAATGTGATGGAACTTGGCATTCGTTAATTTATTCATTGCACAGATACTGTTTACATCCATGTGATGTGTTGCAGGTTAATAGGGGGTACAATGCCAAAGAAGATAAACAAGGGCTGTGCCCTCATGGAATTACATTCCAATAGGGAAAATTGAAGATAAGTAAGTCAATACGTAAAGACAATCATTGCAGTTTGTGTAAAAAGGAGCAGGAAGAAAAAAATACGTAATGTAATAGAAAATAGCATGGGGTGGGTGAGGGAAGGCAGAGACCTTTGTAGAAAGCATAGGTAGAGAGGACTTTCTGAAGGTGACACTTAGCTGAAACTTAACGGATGAGCAAGAGCCAGTCCTGGGGAGCTGAAAGAAGAGAGCTCCAGGTCAAAGGAGCAGCAAGTGCTCAGGTGTGAGAGGAAGCCAGTGAGCCCAGGGTGCAGGAGGTGTGAGGGAGAGTGGCCCGAGGTGGACATGGCCATCTGTACAGTGCCACATCACATTATGCAGGGCCTTGCAGGCCAGGTAATGTGCTTGGTTATTCTCCATGCATTGAAAAGTCATTGAAGCACAGGGTCAGGGTTCCCTGCTTTACATTTGTGTCAAGCCCTTCTGGCGGCTGTATACAGAAAGGATTAGAATAGGGAGCGGGGGCCGGCAGGTCAGTTAAGAGCAGATACTGCCCTGTTCCCCAGGTAAGAAGCAATGGTGGTCTGGCCTAGGGGGTAGACTTTGAGACAGAAAGAAGTGTACATATTCAGACTCTATTTCAGAAATAGAGTCAACAAGAATTAGAGCTGTTACATGTTCCTGGCCTGTGAAAACAGGACCTTAGCCATACATGGCTTATATATAACTACTTTTTTGTCCAAAGGTCAAGTGGTTCTTGGTGTCACACATGCAGTAACAAGAGAACAAAATTAAATGAAACAAGGAGATGTTGGTCTCTGTTTTAATTTTGTCTGATTGACATAGATGATGGTGTGTCTCCAGCATGACTCTACTGTTTAGCTTTAGGGATTAGAAAAGAAGTCATGATTTAACCATATGTAATAGAAATAAATTCACTCTGGTTTTAAGCTAAACTTTGTCCTCGAGCCCCTTCTACCCCATGACAGAGCAATCCCAGTGATTTGTGGTGTTTTTGATACAAGACCAGAGAGGGGTTTCTGGAATGATGGGACTGGAACCACTCGGGGTCAGCGTAGTGAGGGACGAAGGCTCCTCTGCCTATGCCTGCAGGTGGAAACAACTTAGGATTTTTAAAAACCAGTTTTTTAAAATGACACAATTCTGGACTTGGCCAAGAGTCAAAGCAAGTGATTTTGTTTGTACCATGACACCAGTGAAGAATTTAATGGTTTCAAAAAATCACAATTTTTTTTTTTGAGGCAGAGTCTTGCTCTGTTGCCCAGGATGGAGTACAGTGGCACAATCTCAGCTCAGTGCAACCTCCACCTCCCGGGTTCAAGCGATTCTCTTGTCTCAGCCTCCCGAGTAGCTGGGACTACAGGCGTCCACCACCATGCCTGGCTAATTTTTTATTTTTAGTAGAGACGGGGTTTTACCATATTGACGGGGGTCAGGCTGGTCTCGAACTCCTGACCTCAGGTGATCCAAACAACTTGGTTGGAGAAGATAGCTTTTCAGTCCTATATTGAGACTGGTGAGAACAGACTGTCCAGTTGACCTGATTGTCAGGGTCAGGGCAGCACTCACAGTGAAGAAAGGGGGTTCCAGTGTGCTACTGTGAAAAACTGTGACTGTTGTTCCTGATAATTGTTTGAACAGAATTCAACACACACCACAACCATTTACGGAGCACTTCTACTGTGTGAAGCATGAAAGATGTTCATTCACGAAAAATACTTTAATATCTGCTGCAGCTCAGACAGTCTGATTGTGGGTAAATCAGCCAGAGTTTCCGCTTTCATGAAGCTTACCCAGTATACATGCTCTATGACATATGATGGAGCTGTGTCCCAATAAACTTATCATGAGTTAAAATGCATTTAATACTCCCAGTAAACCATTAAAAAGTCAAAAAAATTTGAGATGAACCATTGAAGTTAGGGACCATCTGTATTTGGTGAGATGAAAAAAGTATGTAAATATGTCGGGTGAGGCCAGTGAGATAACTTCCAGAGTAAGGAGGGCTTACACCTCATTGGGGGCATTCAGAAAGGGATCTGGGGAGAAACAGTTACATTATAAAATGCCAGGGTCACAGTGTTAGAAGGACCATTAGAGGCATAGAGGGTACAGGTTAACAGCCCAGCTCTAAAGTCCTACTGATTGGGTCAGAATCCCAGCTGAGTGACCTTGGAAATGTTCTTTGACCCTCCTGGGCCTCATCTATGAAATGAGGATTATTATAGCTCCCTCTTAGGTAATTATGAGAATAATGTATTCCACATGCTTAGCACAGTTCCTGACACCAAATTAGCCATTATTATTTTTATCGTTTGAGCCCATCCCATTCCATTTGTGAATCATTTCAGATGTTAAAAATTCTTGGTTGGTAGATGGATAAGTTATCAAGAGGTAAACAGAGCAAAGGGAGAGCCTTTGAGGTAGGAAGACTGGCATGAGCAAAGACTAGTAGGAGACAAGTATGGGGTATGTTCAGGCAACAGCGCATGATTACTCTTTGGCTGGAGTGTTGGGTTTTAGGCACAGTGGGAGATGGGGTGAAGAGGCAGAGGCAGTTATACTGGAGAGGCTTTGAGAGCCAGTGGTCAACAGTCAAATCTAAGCACTCTACTATATCATTGGCCTATCCTTTCCATATTAGAAGTTAGGACAAGTGTAAGATCAGGTAAACATTGGTGAGCTAACAGAATACAACTGACCCTTGAACATCACAGGGGTTAGGGGTGCTGACTCCCAGGCAGTCAAAAGTCTACATATAACTTTTGACTCTCCCAAAATTTGACTACTGTTTACCAGAAGCCTTACTGATAACACAATCAGTTAACACATTTTGTATGTTGTATGTATTATATACTGTTTTCTTACAATAAAGTTTGCTAGAGAAAAGAAAATATTAGTAAGAACTAAAGAGCTTCTGCACAGCAAAAGAAACTACCATCAGAGTGAACAGGCAACCTACAAAATGGGAGAAAATTTTTGCAATCTATTCATCTGACAAAGGGCTAATATCCAGAATCTGCAATGAACTCAAACAAATTTACAAGAAAAAAACAAACAACCCCATCAAAAAGTGGGCAAAGGATATGAACAGACATTTCTCAAAAGAAGACATTTATGCAGCCAAAAAACACATGAAAAAATGCTCATCATCACTGGCCATCAGAGAAATGCAAATCAAAACCACAATGAGATACCATGTCACACCAGTTAGAATGGCAATCATTAAAAAGTCAGGAAACAACAGGTGCTGGAGAGGATGTGGAGAAATAGGAACACTTTTACACTGTTGGTGGGACTGTAAACTAGTTCAACCATTGTGGAAGTCAGTGTGGCGATTCCTCAGGGATCTAGAACTAGAAATACCATTTGACCCAGCCATCCCATTACTGGGTATATACCCAAAGGATTATAAATCATGCTGCTATAAAGACACATGCACACGTATGTTTATTGCGGCACTATTCACAATAGCAAAGACTTGGAACCAACCCAAATGTCCAACAAGGATAGACTGGATTAAGAAAACGTGGCACATATACACCATGGAATACTATGCAGCCATAAAAAATAATCAGTTCATGTCCTTTGCAGGGACATGGATGAAACTGGAAACCATCATTCTCAGCAAACTATGGCAAGGACAAAAAAACCAAACACTGCATGTTCTCACTCATAGGTGGGAATTGAACAATGAGAACACATGGACACAGGAAGGGGAACATCACACACCGGGGCCTGTTGTGGGGTGGGGGGCGGGGGGAGGGATAGCATTAGGAGATATACCTAATGCTAAATGATGAGTTAATGGGTGCAGCACACCAACATGGCACATGTATACATATGTAACAAACCTGCACATTGTGCACATGTACCCTAAAACTTAAAGTATAATAATAATAAAATTTTAAAAAAAAGAAAAAATTAATTGGTAGAATTAAGAAAAGATTAAAAAAAGAAAATCAGAAAGAGGAATTATAATTACTATTAAGTGGAAATGGATCATTGTAAAGACTTTTCATCCTTATCGTCTTCACATTAAGTAGGCTGTAAAGGAGGAGGAAGAGGAGGGGTTGGTGTTGCTGTCTCAGAGGTTGTGAAGGTGAAAGAAAATCCATGTGTAAGTGGGCTCACACAGTTCAAACTCATGTTGTTCAAGGTAGACCTGTTTTCCCTGGAGTCTGTCTTGGAAAACTGGGACTAGATAGCTCCCAAATGAACACAGTATACCTCAGGGGCAGTGTGTCCTCTTTGTAGCACTACCCTGGGCTCCTAGGGAAATTCCCAGCTCATTTTATTTAGACCCATCATGGTCAAGGGGTAAAGCTCCCCCTTCCTACTATTCCATTTAAGCTCCTCATCTTCTGTTTGGAGGGGCTGGTAGATTTCCCAGACCATAAGATGTTCAGTTACCTGTAGGGGATAAATTGCCAGTCCAAGTTGGGTGTAATAACTGGACTAAAATTTGGGGGTGCTGGCCAATGGGTGTCCTTACTTGATATTTGGGTATGTTTTCACCTGGCCACCTGGTACTCTACATGGAGACCCTAATTCTTTAAGGACTCGAGTTCTTCTATTCCTTTTTTTTTTTTTTTTTAATAATAACAGAGATAGGGTCTCACTGTGTTGGCCAGGTTGGCCTTGAACTCCTAGCCTGAAGGAATCCTCCTGCCCCAGTCTCCCAAGGTGCTAGGATTATAGGCACAAGCCACTGTGCCTGGCCGTTTCCATTCCTTTTATACCCTAAAGTCATTCCCTCTTGCATCCTCCTGCCCCTTCCCCAGCCTGAGCTTTTCCTACTCTCTGGTTCCTAAAACCATTTCCTCTGTAAACATTCCATGACACTCTCTGCTCTGTATTTAGCCAGCAGTTTGTTTTTCTTTGTCCATGCGTCTGCCTCAGCTTGAACTGGGGAGAAGGAAAGGAAACACACAGAACAAAACAGAAATCTGCCAATGGAATGTTTGTGAGAAAGGAAGGTACAGGGAAAACAAACTGATGAACAGATGACTCTGAGGACAGTAGGAGGCAGCCAAATACCTAGTCAGATAGAGGTGAGTCCCCAGTGAAATCCCACCTCCGAACCAACAGAAACAGCCTGAAGGCTGAAAGACCAGACTGCTGGTCCTGGATGAAACCTGCGACCCAGAGTGAGAACTTGCGTTTCTGTTTGCCTGACCTTTCTTGGTTGATTCTTTCTGAATAATGCCGTTGAACCAATCTAATGTTGCTTTTTCGAGTACTACCTACTGCCTGCCCCTCCCCTATTCTGAGCCTATAAAAGCCCCAGACTCAGACAAATTGGGTGGACTTTCCTGCCTTCAGATAGGGGGACCACCCCTGCATCCCCACTCTGCTGAAAGCTGTTTTCATCACTCAATAAAACTCCCTGACTTTTTCTTTGATTGTCAGTGTATCCTCATTCTGCTGGGGCGCAGGACAAGAACTTGGGAACTAGTGTGCAAGTCAGACTCGGCCTGAGCGGGCTAAGTGGGCGGGCCATCTCCTATAGCAAGTAGCATGGCCGAGTGAGGCCTGGGCAGGGTGTCACTGGCCAGAGGTCCCTGGCTTGCAAAGTGATCAAGAAAAAATCCTGTGTCAACTCCTTCAAGGTGTATATGTTATTTCTGGTCTTTTTATGATTCCCTTCTTCTCAAAGCCAGCCACCTGGGGAGGTGACGTGGAAGAATATACACAGCCCAGGATGGGAAACAGGAGCTCTGGGATGTAAGCCTGGCTGTGGTGGTGGCTCAGTAATATTCTGGACCAAGTCAATAAACTTTTGCTGGATTCAGTTTACTGTCTTTTAAACAAGGTGGTTGTACCAGATAGGCCAACTAGAATGGTCCTTTTACAGAACGAACAGGCTGTTGTTTTGCCTTTTCTCAGCCTGTGAGAGATCTGATTTATGTTTGATTCTTTAACTTACAATGAGGCCGATTATCTAGAAAAACATCTGTATTGAAATAGCTGAGAACCGGATTCAGTCCCTTCACCCTCAGCTTTCCCTCTACATGCTTGGTCGTCTTGTGAACAAATAGCCTTTCTCCTGAGCAAGACTCACATGTGATATTGCAGTTTTTAAATCAAATCAGAAAGAATATGCTTCAAAAATAATTTCTTAAGGATTTATTCACTGTTTGCTTAGTGCAGGGGTTATATTTAGTCGCATTTTAAGCTCTCCAATTTTCTCTGAAATGTACACGGGAGGGAAATGAGAGAAGCAATTGAAAAACAATAGAAAAAGCACTTAGAATAAATAGAGAAGGTTTGGTAAAACCTTCCAATGTGTGGGAACGATTTCAAGACTTTCTACAGATCTTTAAACATTCCACCTGTTTCATTTGGGTGTTAAATGGAATGTATGCACTGCTTTCAAAGCTATCTAGAATCCTAGAAGTTTTGCCTCCGAGGTAATAAATGTACAAAATGCATCGTTGTGCCTCTTGGCTATCAACACGCCCTGCTTCAGACCTTTTTGAGATAAGTCTTTATCTCAGCTTTTTACTTCCTGCTTCATAATTGCCCAGCTAAGCTAATGAAGCCCATTTGGTGTTGTGAGCATTCAAAGCGTTCATTTGCATGAAAGCTACCACCCCTTAATTATGTAAAACAGATATTAAAAAATAATTCCCTGCTTCTGATCATGATCAAGACTCTAGGGATGAATCCTAAAATTCAAGTCCGTTCAGAGTTGTCCTTTTATGCTCATAATCATTTGCTAAACTTAAAACGCTTGGGTGCTTCCTTTTGCAGTGTTGTCTTTTTTTTTCTCTCCCTCTCTCCTTCTCTCTCTCTCTTCTTCTCTCTCTCTCTCTCCCCCACCCCTTGTGTTCCCTTCCCTTCCCTCCCTCACCTGCAAATGGTGGCACAGTGCCAGCAGCACCCAGCTACCACTCTGTTTGCTGGGTGACATGAATCCTGCAAGTTAGGAATCAAGGTGTAGGGGAAAATGATGTGGCTTTGGCATCACTTCCCTTTCACAGGTGTCTTATTACATTTTGACAGGTGTCTGACAGGAGATGCTGTCAGAGCTAGGATTTAACCTTGGAATGCCACCTTCAATTAGGTTGTCTCAGAATAGGAAACAGTGAAATGGATCTGAGTGGTTGATGCCTCAGTATTGTTCTATTTAATTTCATTTCTGTATCAGATGTATTGCCTATGTGGGCATTTTTTTTTTCCAGGTGATACAAAAATAGGTGCCGGTTGGGCCCTGTCACTAAAACTGTGAGTTTCATAAGCTGTTCTTGTTGAGGAGTCAGATGAAGCAGACCTGTCATCCCAAAATATATTCAGTGGAAGGCAGATCTGGTATTGTTTAGATGCCTTCACACTTAATGGGGTTTTAATTTCTCATAAGTGTCTAAACTGCTAACAGCAATGAAATGCATTAGATATCATTTGTCAAATATAAAAAAATGTAACAAAATGAATGATTGAGAACTTGAGATGGGGAAAAGTCTGTTAGTGGGTAGATTCTCTTAGAAACTTCACTGGGTAACACTGTCTCTCTGTTTTTTAATCTTCAATATTTTTTTTTAAATTTTGGTTTTCTGGAATTCTGGGGGCTCTGAGAGCACATATAGTCAGCTCTGCCTAGCAAAATAAGATAGGATTCTCACACCTTACACATACACAGTTTTTCACAAATGAGAGGCACTCACTTGTATTTGTGGTAGCTGGACCTGAACAGATTTTTAAGTAAATTTGAAACATTGATGCCTGTAGTAGGCAATATAGAACAGCAGTCCCCAACCTTTAGGACACCAGGGACCTTGTTTCATGGAAGACAATTTTCCCACAGACCCGGTGGTGGAGGGAGTGGTTTCGGGATGAAACTGTTCCACCCTATATCATTAGGCATTAAATTCTCATAAGGAGCCCGCATTCTAAATCCTTCGCATGTGCAGTTCATAGTAGGGTTCTTGCTCCTGTGAGAAATGAATGCTGCTGCTGATCTGATAGGAAGCTAACCTCAGGCAGTAATGCTTGCTCACCCGCCACTCACCTCCTGCTGTGTGGCACGGCGGTTGGGGATCCCTGGATAGAATACCCCCCTCCTACCAAAGACCTCCATGTCGTAATCCCCAGAAACTGTGGCTGTGTTACCTTATATGCAGTGGGGAATTAAGGTTGCAGATGGAATTGAGGTTGCTCAATAGCTGATGTTAAAATAGGAAGATTATCCTAGACTGTCCAGGTGGGCTCAGTGTAATCTCAAGGATTCTTAGAAGTGGAGGTGGGAGGCAGAAAAGCAGGTCAGAGTGATGTGATGTGAGATGGTTTCGTCCCATTATTGCTGACTTTAAAGATGAAGGAAGAGGCCACGAGCCAAGGAATGTAGTTGGACTCTAGAAACTGGAAAAGAAGCCTCTGGAAAGGAAGTCACCTCTGCGCACAACTTGATTTTAGACCTGCGTCAGGCTCAAGGTGTCAGCTCTGCCCACACCTGGAGACCTGTGTCAGACCCCCAACTTCCAGAAGAGCAAGATAAGAAAGTGGTGTGGTTTGAAGCCACTAAGTTTGTGTTAATCTGTTACTGCAGCCATAGGAAACTGATGCGTTGCCTTGTAAGTGAGGCAGTGGTTACCTAATTTTCCTGTCGAAGTTCATGGTGTTTGAGCATGAAGTGGAATTTTTCTTCCATTTGGAATTTTTTCTTCTCTGTGACAGAGATGTCTTTGGCACCAAGCTGGTTCCAGCTTGAAATATGTTTAGTTTGAACAGATGCACAATCTATTTTCTCTTTTCTGCTCCCTGAGATTACATGAGGAAGTTCATTATAATCAGCTATTAAGACCCTTAGCACTGATATTTTTGATTTGCTTACAGAGTTCTTTTGCTCACAGTGAATGTCATTATTGTTATTATTTTTATTATTGTGCTGTTCCAGCTAGCTCAGATATCTTGGCCCCTCTTGCTGGAGCTGGGATGAGTTTACCAGTGTTTCACTCTCCTTTCCATTTCTTCCATTCATTAATCCTCTCTTGCTGGCCTCCTAGTGACTTGTTCTTACCATACTTACCCTTGGTCTGAGATATATGTGTGAAATAAAAGCACCTCTGAATGGAATCAATCTAGAAATGCTATCATGTTTCACATACTTTTTAGTTAAAAGCCAGACCTTAATGTAGACATTGTAAAAGCATGATTTTGAAAATCTCTTACATTACCTCTAAAGTACTATGTAGATAAAATGTTGCTTCGTACTTCTACCATGGCCAGCCTGTCCTTGCAACAGATCATTATTTCTTAGGTTGAGAACCAGATGAAGAAGTTGACTTGTGTTCTGAGGCCATGTCATACAAAGACTGTAGATCTTTATGTAATCAAAACTCACATGGTACCAAGCAGATATAACCAAATCAATATAAACCAGTTACAATTATGAAACAAGTACACTGTATAATCATTTATTCTTTCATTCATTTTCATTCATTTAACAGATGTGTGTTCAGTATCTGCAACATACTGGCATAGCTTCTGAGAGGGGTTACTGTTACTTGATTGCAGATGTATCTAGAGATTATTGTCGTACTATTCCTTAAAATGCCTTTATTTGTCTTCTACGACTCACCAGTAGTGGAGCCTGTGGGTAGCAGCCAACCAGGGGGAGACTCCTGACTTAATTAGCAGGTTGGAGGTACTATGGTGTATTTGTCTGTTCTCACATTGCTGTAAAGAAATATCTGAGACTGGGTAATTTATAAAGAAAAGAGGTTTAATTGGCTCACAGTTCTGTATGCCATACAGGAAGCATAGCAGCTTCGGCTTCTAGGGAGGTCTCAGCAAGCTTCCAGTCATGGCAAAGGGAAAGGGGGAGTGAGGCATCTCATGTGGTGGGAGCAGGAGAAGAAAGGCAAGGTGGGAGGTGCCGCACACTTTTAAACAGCCAGATCTCATGGTAACTTACTATCATGAGAACAGCACCAAGGGGATGGTGCGAAACCATTCGTGAGAAACCGCCCCCATGATCAAATCACCTCTCACCGTGCCCCACTTCCAACATTAAGGATTACAATCCCACGTGAAATTTGGGCAGGGACACAGATTCAAACCATATCATACAGTAAACCCACCAAACATGCCAGTCTCTTCTTTATAAGAGTGGCTCCAGAGAAGAATGTTCTGTGCCAGATCACATGGATGACACTCTCTTCCTTCCTCAACTCCTTGTCACTCCAGGTGCCAACAAGTGGCAGCCATCTGTTCTCTAGCCAGCAAGTTCTAGAACCTGAACAGCGACATTTCGCTTACAACTCTAGAAAGTCTTTTACTTTCTTGTCAATAAACCAAAGACCCTTCCTCTTTATAAATCTTCTTCAAAGCATTTTTCTTCCTTCAGATAACAAACTCATATGTCCTTGCCTGGATGGGCTTTAGGAGAGTTCAGAAAGAGTGAGCTCTTAAGAATAAAACTGTTCACCTGCCTGATAATCCCTGCTTCTTAAGGTTTTTGAGTGTCAACTCTGTTTCAGTTGAATTACTTGTAGTTGCAAAAATCCCCTTACAAAGTAAGCTACTGTAGAGCAGTGCCTTTTCCAAGGAGACGACTGTCTGCTTCTGCATCAGTGAGCTGAGGTCAAGAGGCTAATGATCTCCTAGTTGTCAGTCTGAACATTGTGGTTAATCGGTCATTATGGATGAGTATGATGAGAAACTGTTTTGAAATCATATTCAGTGTTTCTTACCTGCTTCAACTTGCTTTGCTCCTTGACTTCCTTCACTTCCACCTTGCGGACCTTACCCCGACCCCAGAGCTCAGACAACAGATCTTCTTTCACAGGTGCACAGGCCCTTTGCTTCTAAGAAGTAGTAACACTTGTCTCCTTAGATGTATGTTTCACCCAAAGTCTGTGTGGCCTGACTGGTGGCAGGTACACTCTGAACCAAGCATCAAAGCAGCCCATCAAAGACACTCATGTCAGTTCTCAACTATTCAAGACCCCAGCATGTCACTCTAGTGGTAGATAGCAGAGAAAGGGTTGTCACCTTCACTTCGTTGGTCATTCTAAGAGGCTCCCTTCCCTTCAATTACTTGTGGGTGTCAGAAGAAGAAAGAGAACACAGGAGATATATTATATGTTGTGGCACTTCAAAGGTGATTACTTTTTCTACCCATCAATCACGTAAAGAAAATGCTCCCAGCTCACTTGATAATCCTATTTTGCTTTTGAAGAAGGGAGACTGACTTTCTACCAAACAGGCCACTGAATTAGTACTGTCATTACCGACTTTTGAACTCATTAGGGCTTATTTAGTATTCCCAAGCTGTAGAATGGTCTGAAAAGTAATTTCTCCAGTGATGGGTATGAAGAGAGGAATGACAGTTTTGCAGGAAACAAATTGTGAATTGATCCTTCACATTTTCATACTGGGAAACCATGCAGTCTCTTTGGTTGGGCACTTAGTGAGAGGTTAAGTTTACTTCTGGAATTAATTGTAGCATTGTCATGTAGACCATTGATGTACGTGGGGTGGGGGGCAGATGGGAGAGATGATCAGATTCCCATTTTGATAGATGCAGTCTTGGCTCCAGATCAAGAAGGAACACTCACTTTTTTGTATTAGGAATTAAGAATTCATATATGTAAAGCATTTAGATCAATGCCTGGAACACAGTAAGCACTACATAAGTGATGGCTGTTGTTATTGTTGTTGTTCCATTCATTTTAATTCATATATATTCGTTATTCTGTCATCTCTAAGTGGGTTCTATGGTTTGAATATTTGTGTCTCCTCCAAATTGCATGTTAAAACTTAATCCCCAATTCAACAATATTACGAGATGTTGCCATTGGGAGGTGATCACTTGTTTCCTCCGAAGGAGCTGCCAACAAGTTACCATTTTGGAAGCAGAAGACTACCCTCATCAGAAACAAGATGCTAGGACCTTGATCTTGGATTTCCCAGATCTGTGAGAAATAATTTTCTGTTCTTTATAAATCACCCATTGTCAGGTATTTTGTTAGAGCAGCGCTAATGGTGTAAGACAGTGGGTAAGCCTTTCATCCAGCCTATAATGGAATGGGATTATTTTTGTTGCTGTTGAACTTGTGTTATTATTTAGGTTCATAACCCAGAAGCTTGTATGGGTGACTAGCTGGCCTCTTTCCGTCCATTTATCCACTCAACCATCCATCCATCATACTATATGCATATTTATTCATCCAACATTTGTTGAGCTTCATCTACTCTGTGCTGTGTAGTGGATGTACAACAATGGACAGGGAATCATGGTTCCTTCCCCCACAGAACTCATAGTTTATTGAGGATACCACCAACAACAAAAAAAACCCAAAAATATACTAAAAAGTTTAATAAAGTTAGAGTAAGCTGTGGTAAGTGCTCTAAAGAAAATAAATGTGTCATGAAGTCAACAAATATTAATCACTTGTGTTTGTTAAGACCTCTGATTATAGGTCTTCATAAGAAGTGTGCTTGGAGTGTTCCCTCCACATCCAAAATCATCTCCTGTGGAACCGTGTGGAATTATGCAGCTAGCTGTCAAACATTCCCCACCAAACAAGAGACTATGTCTCATAAATGATGATTTCTGCCCTTGCCATTAGCGTTGGGGTCCTCCATTTCTGTAAGCCCCAGCTTCCTTTTAACATCAAGGGCTAGATTTTGGCAAACTGAATTGGCCTAAAAGCATATACCCTTGAAATTGTTGCCTTACATAGTCTTTCCTAACCAAGTCTGGGTATTTTTTCATTTAATAAATATTTATTGAGTACCTACCATGTGTCAGGCACTTTTCTAGGTTCTGGGCATAAAAAAGCAAATGGTATGCCTAGTACTAATTACCTGCCAAGTTTCTTATCCAATTAATTATGTTTGTTGGACATATGCAGCAAATGCTAAACTTTGTTTTTCTATAACTTTGGAAGATGAATTGTCTTTAGAAAGTAAATAAGAAGGAATTGAGTAGTGCTAGATCTATAAAGTAGGGTTGAGCCTAATAACTCCCATAAGAGAGATCCAAGTACAGTGTTTATTTATGCAAAAAAAGGAATGTTCTCCTCTGATTGTGGAAACTGAGGAGACCTTGCTGAAGAAGTCAGGACTCAAGATGAATCATGAATTAGAGTTGGGGTTTCCATGACATGATGATGTAGGATGATACTCGGGCATAGGGAATAGCACTTTATGCATGAAGGTACAGGTTTCTTGGAAAGAAGTAAGCAGCATGGCCGTGCAACTAGTTAGTGAGAACAGGGAACTAGAATAGAGGTCTCCTGACTAACATTTAAATACTCTTTCCACTCTACCATGTGGTGTTTCTAAGGATCATGCTTGATTTGTTTGTCCCTGTCAAGGCACATGTTGAAATTTGATCCCCAGTATTGGAGGTGGGGCCTGGTGGGAGGTGTTCGGATCATGAAGGCAGATCCGTCATGAATAGATTAATGCCTGCCTTTGGGGGATGAGTTCTCCATCTGTTAATTCCCAAGGGAACTAATTGTTGAAAAGAGACTAGCACCTTGTTGACATCTTGCTTCCTCTCTGTCATGTGATCTCTCCATACATAAGCTCATAAGCTCCCTTTCATCTTCCACCATGAGTGTAAGCAGCCAGGGGCCCTCAGCAGATGCAGATATTCAATCTTGAATTTTTTAGCCATTAGAATTGTGATCCACATAAATCCTTTTATTTATAAATTACACAGCCTCAGTGACACCTTTGTAGCGATACAAAATGAACTAAGACAGAAAATTAGTACCCAGTGGTTGGGGGTAATGGGCAGCAGTCGGAAGAGTTTGGAGGTCTCAGAAGAAGAAAAAAAGACAAGGGAAAGTGTTGAACTTCTTAGAGAATGGCTAAGTGGTTGTGACCAAAATGCTGATAGAAATATAGACTGTAAAATCCATGCTGACAAGGTCTCAGATGAAAATGAAAAACTTACTGGGAACTGTCACCCTTGTTACATAGTAGCAAATAACTTGGCTGCATCGTGTCCATGTCCTAGGGCTTTGTGGAAGGTCGAACTTAAAAGTGATGAGGGTGGGGTATCTGGTGGATGAAAATGCTAGGCTGCAAAGACCTCAGTTAGTGGCATGGCTACTTTTAACAGGTTATGCTGAATTAAAGCAGCAAAGGAAAGATCTAAAGGTGTAATTTATAATTAAAAGCGAAGCAGAGTGTAAAAGTTTGGAAAATTTGCAGCCTGGCCATTTGGTGGGAAAGGAAACATTTTCAGAAGAGGAATCCAATGCTATTGCCCAGTCCAGTGAAATTGCTAAAGAGATTAGCATGATTAAAATGGAGCCAGGTGCTAGTAGTCAAGCCAATGGGAAAAAGGCCCTTAAGGCATTTCAAAGATCTTCACAACCACCCCTCCTATCATAGGCCCAGAGGTGTAGATGGACAGAATGGTTCAGGTGACAGGCCTAAAGTATTGCTGCCCTGGGCTGCCTCTGGATGTTGCTCCCTGCATCCCAGCTGCTCTGGCTCCAGCCATGGCTCAAATGGCCCCAGATATAGCTCAGGCTCCTTCTCTGGAGGGTGCAAGCCATGAGCCTTGTCAGTTTTTGCATGACGTTACGTCTGCAGGCACCCAGAATGCAAGGGTGGTGGAGGCTTGATGACTCATAGATTTCAGAGGATTTTAGAGATGACTCATAGATCTCTGAAAGCATAGACAGAGACCTTCCACAGAGGTGCAGCCACCACAGAATCTCTATCAGGGTTCCTAGTGGAGCTATGGAAGTGGAGCTACCAAAGGGACTCCCAAATTATACAGCCACCAGCAGCAGCAGCAGTGTGTAACCTCAACCTGGAAAAGCCACAGGCATTCAACTCCAACCAAGGAAAGCAGCTACTTGAGCTGCACCCACTGAAGTTATAGGGGCAGAGCTGCCTGAGGCATTAGGAGCCCACCCCTTGCAGTACCTAGGATGTAGGGCATGGAGGCAAAGAAGATTATTTTGTAGCTTTAAGATATCATGTCTGCCCGGCTAAGTTTCAGACTTGCACAGGGCCTGTTTTCTCTTTCTTTTGGCCAATTTCTCCCTTTTGGAATGGGACTGTTTACCCAGTGCCCATGAAACCATTGTATGTTGAAAACAAACATCTTATTTTTGATCCTATAGGCTCATAGCTGGAAAGAAATTACCTTGGGTCACAGATGAGACTTCGGACTTTAAACTTTTGAGTTGATTTTGAAATGAGTTAAGACTTTTGGGACTATTGAGATGAAACAATTGTATTTCACATGTGAGAAGTACATGGGTTTTGGGAATCCAGGAGTGGAATGCTATGGTTTGGATGTTTGTCTTCTCAAAACCACATGTTGAAACTTGATCCCCAATGATGGGAGGTGGGGCCTGGGGGAGGTGTTTGGGTCAGGAGGGCAGATCCTTCATGAATAGATCGATGCCTGTCCTTTGGGTTAAGCAAGTTCTCACTCTATTAGTTTCCAGAAGAGATGGTTGTTAAAAAGAGCCTGGCATCCCCCCACCCTTTTACTCTCTCTCTTGCTTCCTCTCTCACCATGTGATTTGTGCATACAATGGCTTCCATTTGCCTTCTGCCATGAGATGATGAAGAAGCCTGAGGCCCTCACCAGATGCAGATACCCAATCTTGAACTTTCCAGCCATCAGAATCATGAGCCAAATAAACCTCTTTTCTTTATAAATTATACCACCTCAGGTATTTCTTCACAAAAACAAAAAATGGACTAAGACTGATCATATCCCTAATTGCAAAATCTCACAGGAGGAGCCACCTTAAATGACACTGACTGTGTGTGAGGGACTTTCCAAAGAGTTTGTCACTTATCCTGCCAGCAGCACTGTAGAGCCAACAGAATTGCCTGTATACAAATGAGACAACTGAAACTCAAAAGATAAACAACTTGTCCAAGGTCATTTGATATATAAACCATTTTGGCCTGTAGGGCACAGGAGAGAACACTTAGAAGACTTTGGAGATGTATCTTCTGACCTCCCCTATAATTGTGTTTCTGGCTATTAAAGAATACTGTATATGAGGTTCTGAAATGACAACAAGTGGCATTCAACTTGTAGCAAACTGGTAGAAACTTTCTGGGAGAACATTCCGGAGGAAAAAAATAACATTAGAATTTGCTTTGGCTCTGAAGCACTGCAGATAAAAATCCCTACTGTCAGGAAAGCAATATTAAACATCTTGGAATATATACACATGCATCAGTTAGTGATGCTTTAATTTATATATAGATGCTTCAGTGAAAAGGGAAGATATAATGTAAGTGTAGAATGATGTCATATGGAAAAAAACCCAAGCAAAGGATGTAGTAGGGCCTTTGGAAGAACCTAGACCTCAAAAAATCAGAGGCACCTGGACAGAATGATCTGCTCTTGGTAATCTTCTCTCTGCTTGTCTGTACCCGTCTTTTATCTCTGAAGATCTTTGTCTCTGTCTAGTTTATAAGGAATTCTTCATCCCTTGAGTTAATACATTGTAAAATCTAGACCACTCTCTTTTGTTCCTGTTTTGAGTGTGTGAGGAAGGAATTCTGGCCCAGCTAGGATCACTTGCCTAAGTCTGTTGTCATATTACACAAACATGGCGACAGGGAGCCAGTCCCTAGAAGTGGCAAACCAATTCCAGAGAAGGTGTTTGGCATATAACTCAAAAGACAGTGCCTCCAACATATAGAAAAGAAGACATGGTCTCTGCCTTTGGCCTCTAGGGAGAATGATAACAGAAGATGCCTGAAGTAACAGCAAGATCATAACATCTAACCCATCCCTGATTCTAAGAGTGTGAAAAAGAAAAAAAAAAGTCACTATCAATGTAGAAAGCCAAGGAAGACTTACAAATGCCTTGTTTCATTGAATTTCAATTTCAGTCTCTTTAAAACAGCTGTTGTGATTTTATATTCACAGCAGTTTTAAGGAAATTATGTAGATGATATGGTAGGAACCAAACACCTATATGCTGAGTCTAAAGTCCTCAGCGTGTTTACTCGTATCATTTTCTCTGTCTCATCTTTTTATATTCCCTGGCATAGATTTTATCCTCCAGCAATAATGGGATATAATACCCAATAAATATATTAATAAAGAAATGTGATGCCATCTCTCCTTCATGTACATTATTTGTTTTAATTACAATTTTAGCTTATATAATTATGTTTTTCCACCTAGATCCTAAACTTCATGAATTCCTCACACATAGCGTAGGGTCTGGCCCAAAGTGGATGCCTATTATATGTGTAGAGTGAACGAATGAGTGATTGCTTGACAATAGCACCTCTGTAAAGCTTAGGTTGGAACTGGGGAAATGGATTAACAAAAGTGTTTCAGCACTGTTAAGACTCCACCTTGATTTATTCCTTTTTATTGTTGTAACTTACAATGGTAATATTTGCTTACTCTAAATAAATTCAAAGACTACAAAAGAATGTAAAGCAAAAAATCAGAGTAATCTTTTCTTCCTACTCCTGATTCCATTTTCCAGAGGTTACCCCTCTGAACCTTTCAGTATTATCCTTTCTGAGACTTATGAATCCTTATACAACATTATGTATGTACGTATAGAGGATCATATTTTGTTAAAAAAAGTGATATTGCTATAAAAAGTGTGATTTTTTCCCCACTTAATATGTGGTGGTCATCTTTCTTGTCAATACATAAACGTGCCAGTTATCACAGAAGAGAATACCAAAGGGTGAATTTGATGCTGAGGCAATAGCTTAATAGCACTATAGCAGAGCATGGCCTTGTTATTATTAGCAGCTCCCTAAATTTTGTCTGAGGATGATTTGAGCTGGGGTTGGCAAACAAGAGCCTGCAGGCTAAATTTGGCCCACTATTTGTTTTTGTAAATAAAGTTTCACTGGAACACAGCCACACCCATTTGTTTATATATTATATATGACTGCTTTAATGCTGTAATGGCAGAGTTGAGTTGTTGCAATAGAGGCCATACATACTGAAAAGCATAAAATATGTACTCTCCAGACATTAGAGAAAAGGTTTGAGGGACCAGTCTATCTCTGTCTTCTTGGCCTAGTCAGGACCCAATATCAAAGACCGCACAGTATGCTCATGGATTGGAAGAATCAGTATCATTAATATGGCAATGTTGCCCAAAGCAATATACAGGTTTTCAGTGGTATTCCTATCAAACTACCAATGTCATTTTTCACGGAATTAGAAAAGACTATTCACATGGAACCAAAAAGGAGCCCGAGTAGCCAAAGCAATCCTAAGCAAAAAGAAGACAGCCAGAGGTATCATGTTATCTGACTTCAAACTGTACTATAAGGCTACATTAACCAAAACAGCATGGTACTGGCGTGAAAACAGACAAAGACCAATGGAACAGAATAAAAAACCCAGAAATAAAACCTCACACCTCCAACTGCCTGATCTTGACAAAGTCAACAAATTAAGCAATGGAAAAAGGACACCCTATTGTTATTGCTGGGATAGCTGGCTAACTATATGCACAAGAAAGAAACTGGACCCCTACCTTTCACCATATACAAAAATTACCTCAAAATTGACTAAATATTTAAATGTAAGACCTTAAACTATAAAAATCCTAGAAGAAAAGTTAGGAAATGTCTTTCTGGACATCAGCCTTGGGAAATAATTTATGACAAAGTCTTCAAAAGCAATGTAACATAAACACAATTTAACAAGTAGGGCCTAATCGAAGAGCTTGAGCACAGCAAAAGAAACTACCAACAGAGAAACAGACAACCTACAGGATGGGAGAAAATATTTGCAAACTATGCATCTGACAAAGGTCTAATACCCAGAATCTATATGGAACTTCAACAATTCAACAAGCAAAAAACAGCCCTATTACAAAGTGGACAAAATACATGAACAGACACTTCTCAAAACAACACATACAAGCAGCAAACAAACATGAAAAAATGCTCAACCTCACTAATCATCAGAGAAATACAAATCCAAACCACGGTGAGAGACCATTTCACACCATTCAGAATAGTTATTAATAAAAAGCCAAAAAGACACAGATGCTGGTGAAACCGTGGAGAAAGGGGGATGCTTATACACTGTTGGTGGGAATGTAAATTAGTTTAGCCTCTGTGGAAAGCAGTTGGGAGGTTTTTCAGTGAACTTAAAACAGAGCTACTGTTCAACCCAGTAATTCCATTACTGGATATATATTCAAAAGAAAAGAAACTGTTCCACCAAACTGATACATCTACCTGTATGTTTATTGTAGCACTATTTACAATAGCAAAGACATGAAATCAACTTAGGTGCCCATCAATGGTGGATTAGATAAAGGAAATACGGTACACATACACAGTGGAATACTACATGGCCATAAAAAAAGAATGAAATCATGTCTGTTGCAGCACCATGAATGCAGCTGCAGGTCATTATCCTAAGCAAATTAACACAGGAACAGAAAACCAAATACTACATGTTCTCTCTTATAAGTGAGAGTTAAACAGACAAACATGGTACACATGGACATGAAAATGGCAGCCATAAACACTGGGGACTAGTGGGAGGGAAGGAGGGGGTCAAGGATTGAAAAAGAGCTATTGGGTACTATGCTCACTACCTGGGTGATGGTATTAATCATACCCCAAACATGAGCATCATGCAATATACCTATGGAACAAACCCACATGTGCACCCCGAAATCAAAAATAAAAGTTGAAATTACAAAAACAGATAAGTAGACAATGCAGTGAACTCATCGAGTTTGTAGAACAAAAAAAAAAATCACTTAACGTTTGTGGTTATTGTACTTCCTCTTTCTTTTGGCAAGTTTATCACAGGTGGATTCAAGTAACTGAAAAAGAAACAGGAAAAGATGCCTGGCATGCATGGCTGTTATTCCTGGCACTCTCTCTGATTAGGGTCCTGTATATATCTCTCAAAACACACACACATATTCACACACCCCACAGATCTATAATAAACTAGGGGTTTTCCTTATTATCGGATAGTTAATAAACCGCAGCATAATTAAATAAGAGCCTACATTTATTATTGTCATTCAGTAAGCAGCATATAGTTTTGGATTTCCTGGTTGGAGTCCATCCATAGTTAATAATTGGGTAGGATATGCTGGTATCTCAATCAGGATATGAATGATTAGCCAATAGTTCCTTGAACAGAACCTTATTACTAATGAGGAGCAGTAGATTGAGTTGAGTTTTAAGGAACTTCAGGATCACTCTGTTTTCCTTGGTGGGAGAGGAGGGAGTGTGATACAGAGAAGTAAGTGGATCAGGCTGCATGGGGTTGTGGTGACAAGGCTTTGAAGACACCCATTTATACTGTTGGTCAAGTAAACAGTAAAATAGCACCCTTGGATTTAGGGAGTGGTCTGATCTTAAATTTTAATATGCAGAACCACCCCCCAAAACGTATATAAAATGCAAATCTTAGAGTCCCAGCCACAGACATTCAGGCTCACCAGACCTGGGTCAGAGCCCAGGAATCTGCATTTTAAATAACCCCCTCAGGTGATTCTAATGGGAACATTCCTGCACCAAACTTGGAGAAGCACTGCATTCCTCTAAGATTTGTCTACCTCATTCCATCTCCCTGTCTATTTCTCTCTCTTTGCTTTCTCTTGCCTGGTCTCTATCCCTTCCTTTCATTACATGTCATGTACCTTGATAGAGATAGATGCCTGCACTCCCATGTCTAGAGGTACATGGTTGCCAATGAATGCAAAACTCAGAAAGGAGACTAGAACTCTAGCCCTCTCTTTCACTCCTCCTCTTTCCTGGCAAGGTCACAAGAACAGTCATCTATTTCATCCAAGTGTTTGCATCTAACACAATCACTGCATTCAGTTTTGAGATTTGTCATCAAACAAACTGCACCCTTGGTAAGTAATACCATTGCCCTCCTGAGCTGTGGTGCTATTTTCTTCTTTTGCACTCCCTTCTTTGTAAATGCTCTTACAGGGTTGCTAATCCTCACCTATTTCTTCTTTCTCGGGGACTTTATGAATTCAAACAGGCTCAGACAGACTGGCAATTTCGTGCAGTCTCCAGCCAGACCTGTTTTATTCTTCATGTCTTAGTACCTTGCTCAGAATTTATTGTATAAAGAAGTGCTTAGTAAATGTTTGGTGAATAAAGAATGAAAAAATAATCAGTGCCTGGATGAAATGAAGCAAGGCAGAGTAAATCTCAGAAAATTTACTTGCAGCTAAGTAGGGCTACGAGGCTCTAATATGCAAATATTTTATTTACTTGAAACTGGGACTGTCCATCTAAAACTGGTTGATGGCTAGACTCCTGATTTGAAAGCTATTTCTATTAAATCTGAACTTGTGTCTGGCAGCTTTCTCCTATCCTAGCAGAGGTTCTCCCACCCCCATACACAAGCACAACCCTGAATCGCAAGCATTGTCAAAGGTAGTGTATTTTCTGTTTTTTCAGTTTTCTAAAATCAGAGAAGGTATTTCAGGAAAGTGATTTCTAACAGATAGGTACTCTATCAGGTAAATTTTGATCCTCCTTGACCTTCATTATTTTTCTTTTGGCTGTATCCACATTTTGACTGTCAAGTAATGGGACATTACACGGAAATAGAAAAGATATTTTTTTCTCCTTTCAAAATTACTTATTTGTAAATTAACCCAGATTGAGTTTTCAACATTCTACATCATTAAAGTAATGACAGTAAATGATAGTTTATAATATTTACAACATATTGGAGTAGAAAAAAAATCTATCATTAGCACATCTTTACTGTACCTTTTTAATAGTGTAATATCATTTGACATTCTGGGCATTATTTTTTTCAGATCTGATGAACAATAAGAATGCACCCCCTTCCCTGCATTCATTTTCTGCTTTTTACTTAGAATTTTCTGGGCTTTGGCAAGCACTGAAGTTTATGGTTGCGCAGGAGGTTAGTGTGAGTTGGAGGAAAAACTTAAAACTTGACAGGTGGTGAAGTAAGGAAGAGCTCACCATTTATTTCCTTCCCACGTATCTTCTTTGTTCATTTGGGATTAATATTTTTTTCAAAACAAAGCCAAACAAAAAAATAAGAGAAGGTAGGGTTCTCAGGAGTGGGTGGCATATGAGTGACTGGAAGCAAAAAGGAGAGAGGGGAAAATGGTGAAGGGACAAAGAGAAGGGCAGGCTGAGAGAAGGAGCAGCTGGTGGGAGCAGGGAGCAGAGGGAGGCTGCTTAAGGAAAAACTATTTTTAACTGTTCTGAGACCTTTTTAAAAGTAAAAAAAATAACCCCTCTTCTCAAGAAGCCCCCACCCACGATTGCTTTCATCCTCCCACTCTGGAAAAAGTAATGTTGTTTTCAATTGTGTAGAAACACATTTTAGAAAGTAAAAAGCCCCATTTAAAAGCATGTGTGAGGAGCCTGTGTTTCTGCTCCTGACCTAGAACAGCATTGTCTCTGCGGCCTGCACATCACCTCGGGTGCCCCCAAACTGCTTTCAGACAGTAACGCCCTCTAATGGGTTGTTGTATTTTGGATTTACCAAAAACAAGCTATACTTACTGTGTGCTTCAGGGGCCAGCTCTTGGGTTGGAGCTTTGCAGCACCATCTTGTTTGTCCACCCCGATCACCCTGTGAAGTCATGTTGTCTCTATTTTGCAAAGGGGGAGCCGAGCCTCAATGAAGACAAGTCACTTGTTCAAGAACACTTTATGGTACAGCTGCAATATTAAGTCAAGCTCCCTCTCTTTTCTTTTTTAACTTTTAATTCTGAAATAATTTTAGAGTTGCAAAAAAAAAAAGTTGCAAGCATAATGTAAAGAATCCCTCTACCCTCCTCCCTCAGATCCCCAGATATTAATACTTTACTTACTTCCATTATATTTTCTCTCTCTCACCTATATATGAGTGTGTGTACCATATATGTTATATGTGTATAAATGTATATATAATTTTTAGTGAAATATTTGAAAGCAAGTTACATGATGCCTCTTTGCTCCTTTAGTGTATTTAAACAAGACATTTTCTTAGAAAAACATAGTGTAATTACTGAACCAGGAAATTAACCTTGATATAAAGCTATTTCTGGTCTGCAGACCTTATGGAAATGCTGCCATTGTCTTTTATTTGGGTCCAGGATCCATTCCAGGATCACACATTGTGTTTAGTTGTCCTGTCTTTTAGTGTTCTTTAATCTCAAACAATTCCCCAGACTTTGTCTTTCATGACCTTGACATTTTTGAAAAGCACAGCCTATTGCTTTTCAGAATGTTTCTTAATTTGAGTTTGTCTGATGTGGCATTTCTTCATGGTTAGAATCAGATTTTGCATATTGGCCAGAATCCTACAGAGGTAGTATTATATCCTTCTTAGTGCATTATATCAGGAGACACTGATGCTCCTTTCTCCCATTCTTGGTATTAACTTTGATCACTTGGTTGGTGTGGTGTCTACCAGGTTTCTCCATTGGAAAATTGCTATTTTTCCTTTTGTAATCAATAAGTATCTTATAGGAATATACTTGTAGAAAATGTAGTATGTTTTTTCTTATACTTTTACCCATTCTTTTTTTGCATTCACTACTACTGATTCTTACCTGAAACAGTTACTTTTGTGATGATTGTTAAATGGTAACTTTCTAATTTAATTACTCCTTATTTATGACTTGAAATTCTGTAAGGAAGGGCTTTTCTCCCCCACCTCCCATTTTTTTAAAAATAAATTTTATTTTGTGTATTTGAGGTTTAAAGTATGATATGGGATACATATATACAATAAGATGGTTACTACATAAAGCAAATCAACGTCTGTTATCTCAGAGTTACTTTTTTTGTGAAGAGAGCAGCTAAAATCTACTTATTTAACAAAAAACTCTAATTCAATTTTATTGACTGTAGTCATCATATTGTATATTAGATCTCTAGACTTGTTCATCCTACATGTTACTTTGTATCCTCCCCCCCCCCTCTATATATGTGTGTGTGTGTGTGTGTGTGTGTGTGTGTGTGTGTGTGTGTGAAGTAAAATCGTAGATTTTTTTTAATTCTGTAGTCTCTGGGATATTATCAGTTTTTATTTTATTTTATGTCCCTATTTAGCCAGGGGAATCCCTTCATTCTGGTTCATGTGTTCTTTTGACCTGTCCCCACAATTTTGGTTTTTCTTTGTTTTTTTTTAGCCATTTGTAACTTTGTGGCACCACAGGATATTCTAATCTCATCTTGTTCCTGTCCTGTCCCATTAATGGAGCCAACCACTTCTCCAAGGAGGTCTGGTTCCTTTTTTATTTTTATTTTTTGGAGAATGGTATTTAGAAACCAAGATCTGGACATCAGGTATGCTAATTTATAGTGGGGTATCATTGCTTCAGCCTCTCTGTGAGTAGAGGTAGGCAATACATGCGTGTGTATTTATATGCATGTGTACTTATACACATACTATATATATATTTCCATATCTCTCAGTTTATATATTAAAAATTATGAATTCACGGTGATGCTTTCAATCCTGTAATAAGTCCTCCTTAGGCTGCTCTCTTTCTGCCTGAAATATACTTCAGAGTCCTTGAATGATTTTTAATTGTCAATATTTTCAGCAACACTTCTCTTTTGATTGCTTTGTTTGCTATGAAAAAAATATATTTCTGTCTACTAAGTTTTATCTATCTTATTTAATCAGTTATTTCTTATAAATAGATTATTAGCACATAAATACAGTCCAACTCTCCTTTGCTCAGAATAGAAGCTTAACTTTTTGCCTTAAATTGTTTTCAGTTATTGTTTTCCTTGGATGGGGAAAATGAATGTTCCTTTTACCTTTCAGTCAGTCGTGTCTCACTTTGGTGATTATTTTATTTTTTGTGCTTGCCTTAGGAATAAAACATAGTGTTTGGGTTTTTTTTTCTTATTTATCAGGATTGCTTTAATGGTTTCAATCATCTTTCTTTCTTTCCTTTTTCTCTTCAAAATTAATTTTAAAATAATTATTGTAGTAGGAATCCTCAACAGCTGAGCTGTACCATCTCAGAGTACCATTATTATCACTCTGTTAGGTGACATGATAATAATCATTTCTAATCTGGTGTCTCACTACATAAACATGCATTGCTAATCACAGTATGCCTCTGATCTCATTTGTTTAAAAAAAGCAGCAGCAGCAGAAGCAGAAGTAGAGAATAAGAGAAGAATCCTTCTGAAAGCTCTTAGTTTGGCCATATTACCCCACAGTGTGGCTTGTATAAAACACTTTCACTTTCTTGCACGAGGAACATAATGGGAATCCAGGAAGACAATATGAATAATTTTATAAGTTGGCTATTTAAAGAGAAATAGGCTTTTCTGAGTTTCTGGCATATCCAACTTAATATTACAGTACTGGACCTCATTCTGAATACTTAGAATATTTACGACACTTGATGTTTGGACTTTATAAAAGGTCACTTGAAAATGAAGTCACTTTCATTTTAAAGTAGAAGAAAGTGGATGTGGAAAAGGGAAGAGCTTTTAAGGAAAACCATCATGTCTGTTCTCCTGTAAAAGGTCTTCATTTCCAGTAGTAATTGTATTTCTTAATGGCTTTCCTAATATTAGATGATTACGTCTTGATGTATGAAAGTATTTCAGCTCAGGGATTATTGAGGCTCCTCTGGCAAAATGACTATCATACTTACCTGGAACTTTTGTTTCAGCCCAAGTAACAATTGCAGATAGACATAAATTAGCAATATTTACTCAGAACTCACACGTAGCTGTTTTTCTTGTTTAATAAGGTACTTTTGCTTACAAATGATAGTTACCAGTTAAAGCCATCTTAAGATCAAAAAGGGACATCATTATAAGGATTCAGAGGTATGGCATAAATCACAGGGGAGGGCATAAACTCAGCTTCATGAGAATGCCAGGCCTCAGGACCAGGACCCAAGAAAACTATTCTCTTTAGTATCTCTGTGTCTTCTATAATTGATGGCCATGTATTATAGAGAATAGGAGTTCTACAAGGCTGTCCATGGTAAACAAACAGGATCTTTGATTCCTATTAGTCTGGGGAATGTTCCATACCACATCCACCAGGTCTGAGAGCTTCACGGTGCACAGTAGACTATTAAAGTTACTGAGAAGTTGCATGGAACAGAAACCTGCTTAACCTTCTTTAATCTACTGATTTCCAAACTCATTTGACCATTGCTTTGAGAAATATCATTTTAAACAAACACTCGAATAATATGGAATTAAATTTAATTGGATTCATGGAGTTCTATTGTATTATTTTTTAAATGATACAATGAGCACTTGTTAAGTGACTAGTTGAAGGTCACAGTATATTTTTGAGCCTCTTGGTCTAGTGCTCTTCCCACTGGTGCTTACATTCGTGGATCTTGGCTGAGGAACTGTACTGTCACAGCTATTCACTTTGTGCCCATACCCCATCACCCTAGCATTTTAAAGGAGCTCCCCACTTTAAATTGAGTGATTGATTATTCCATTGGTTCTCCTGACAGGCAGTCTGCTATTTTAAAGATGACCCAGCAGCTCTAGTTTAAAATGTGCCTTTATTTCCTGTGTGTGACGCATATATGTTGAGCAGTTTCTGGTCATAGGAACTTTGGTTCCAAATCTTATTAAGGTTTTTGTCATTCCAGAGGGTGACATTTTAGGGGGGCAGAAACTGGCTAGCATGTTAGCCTAATCCTTGAATCCAGGCAAAATAAATTTTGGTTGAGTTTGCTGTAACATTCACCCATTCGTTTTCATTGCTTCATGTCTTGGATCCAGTGAAAGGGAGACGTGTCAAATGTTCTGAGAGGCTGTAGATTCACTTGGTAATTAAACCAACTAGTGCAAATGTACACCAGTGAAAACAGTAAAGTTTCCCAGGGTAAGTCTTCTGGGAAAGTGAGAAAAGCCAGGCAGAAAAAGGGTAATTGAATATCAGAAATAAAGAGCTGAGGAAAGTGTTGGGGGAGTAAACACCAAGAGAAGAAACTATTGTAATTTCTGCCAACAAGAACATCATGCTTTTAAAGTGCATGTTGTTTTTTTTTCCCCTTTGGAACAGTTAGCAGGAGTAGCAAAAACAGTAACAACGTGACCTCAGTGATAATGTGTCTCTAGTCCATGAAGCTGAGCCAGGTGTTGTATTAAATACCTTTGAGACAGAAACTCATTTCTAAAATCCACACATTTGCTGAATGAATGAATGAATGAATGAATAAGCAAATTTTAATTTGTGTCTGTCTAGGGATAAGAACTTTTGATGCTTTGCTCTTCAAAGGAGTTTAAAACATAATAAGGGAGAGAATACAGGACATGAAGTTAGAGAAGTGGCATGGGAGAGGTAATACCATAGAAGTAGAGGAACAAGAGAAAATTTCCATCCAACAAAGGTTGGAGAAAACTTCCAACCTTTGTTCCAGTGAACAAAGGTTTAACATTTGTATGGGTGCATCAGTTAACTGTTTCATAAAACTCATGTGTACCAAACTGTCCCCAGTACTTGGTGGATTGAAATAAGAGTCATTTACTCTGATTCTTGTGTCTGTGGGCCAGCTTGGCTTGTTTTGACTATAGGGTGTGAGTTAAGTCCATGTGTCTGTCACCCTCCAAGACCCAGCAAAAAACTAAGACATCTGCTTCTCATAGTGAAAGACAGGAATGCACATGACATTTTAAGCCCCTGCTCCATTCACATGTCTTAAGCCAAATCAAGTCTGATATCAAAGGAATGTGACAGTATACTCCTCTCAGGAATAAGAAGTAAAGAGAGAGTGAATATTTACTGAACAACAATCTAATTTACTTCAGTGGGAAATACAGGGTTATTTCGTATATCTGGTGAACTTGTTAGGAAGTAGCAGTGTTTATATTGTAAAATCAAGCTGGAGGTTGCAGGACAGAGGCTAGAATTCCAGCTGAGAATAATATTACAAAGGGCAGGAGTGGAGTGATTTTTTCCAGTGAGTCAAGGGCCACAGGTTGGTCAAGGGAAATGGGCACTGAAAATACCTTTCCAGAAACACTTACTTAGTAGGGTGACTTCGGTAGATCATGAGAAAATAGATTTGGTAGAAGATTAAAAGCAGGAAGCTGATTGTTTGGGGCTGAAAACGATGAGGGGTTAGAGAAGCAAGGTAATTAATATCAGCGTCTCTTTTGAAGACATAAAGGGCAGAAGAGAAATAGGGTTTTGAAATGAGAGAGAGCAAACGTGAGACGAACATAAGCATGTACTATGAGAGCCTATATTCATTAAAGAAAGATTCTGGGGCTGTTTGTTGTCCCAGGATAATGAGTAATAGGTGATAGATACAGAGCTGTCATCCTTTTCTCTCTTTTAATATAAGATATTTTGTAAGATGATAAGGCAAGGTGAGTGAGTAAGGCAATCCCCTTTCCCAATAGTTTTGTTATATACAGACTTAAAATGTGACATATTAAAGGGGTCAGGAAACTCTTGAATCTTGAGTCAACCATCTCTACTACTTAATATGCTCAAGGGACCTTATTTTTAAACATCATATGGGGGCACAATATTTACCTGTATGGTTAGCAAGCAACTTGCTAACACAATCAGTCACTTGAATTGTTAATTAATGTTTAATTTTCTAATTACTCACACCTGCAGAAATTTCCCCCAATAGGAAAGAAGACCTAGTTTCAAACTTGGATGATAGGAGTTGGGGTTTTCTTCCATGAATATGTAAGCAGTCACAACTTCTGTGTATTCCCTGGCATTTAGTAACACAGTGCAGTCATCTGTTGACCATGAGCCTATAACAGGATAAGTTGGGTGTGGGGTCCAGAGAAGGAGATGGTTGAATCTCTCCCTTCAAACAGTGAATGCTGTAGCTGGGAAAAGAAGGCATACATAGACAAAATAATGAATAATTAAGAAAGTATCATATCCTGATACCATGAAGCGCTAGCTTCATAGATACTGTCAATAGAGAATAGTACAGAAGATGTAGAGTGGTATATGCTGCAAGGGTTAAGAGCACAGGCTTGGGATCCACACTGCCTATGTTTAAATCTTTGATCGTCCACTTACCAGCTCAGTGATGCTGGGCAAGTCCTTGACTTTTTTAGGTTTCAGTCTCCATCTATAGAATGGGAACAATAACGGTGGCTACCTTGAAGACTTAATTGGAAAGACTAAGTTAATATATGGAATGTGTAAAACAGTGCCCAGCACATAAGTAAGCATGCACAGGCTCTTAAATATTCTAATTTTTATTGTTGTTGGTGATGTTTTGTTGTTGTTGACGATGTTTTGTTGTTGTTGACTTGGTTGGTTTCTTTATTTTGTTGTTGATATGGTATGGGCCACAAGGTTTAGAGAAGGTGTTGACAGCCATCGAACTGGACACCTTGCGTGATGTTCTTAACATTAGCACCAAATCATCTAGAAGGAGTCTTTCCTAGCCATTCTAAATATAAAGGGCTGTCTTCTCAAATGACAAGCTAGGGTTAATGTATCCGAAGCCACTTTGATTTATTCCTCTTAAAGCAAGAGTGTTTGTCTCTCTTCAAGCAACTGCCTGTTGTCATCAGGCTAAGGCTTGGTAACACTCTTGGTTTCTCCTCCTCTACCTTTGTCTTTCCTTCCTACCTCATGTCCTTCAAGTCTTTATTACCTGTATTAGTCTGTTCTCACTCTGTTAGTAAAGACAAACCTGAGACTTGGTAAATCATAAAGGGAAGAGGTTTAACGGACTCACAGTTCCACGTGGCTGAGGAAGCCTCATAATCATGGTGGAAGGCAAAAGAGAAGCAAAGGAACGTCTTACATGGTGGCAGGCAAGAGGGCTTGTGTAGAGGGGAACTCCGCTTTATAAAACCATCAGATCTCATTAGACTTATTCACTATCATGAGAACAGCATGGGAAAGAACTGCCCCCATGGGTCAATTACCTCTCACCGGGTCCATCTCATAACATACGGGAATTATGGGAGCTACAATTCAAGATGAGATTTGGGTGGGGACATTTTATTATCACTGGAAAGTCAGCTTCGGGGAGCCCCAGCCTTAAGTCTGGGCAGACAATTCTGTCCCCCTTTTGAGCATTTTGGCTAACTTTGCTGCAGGTCATAAACAGATAGACATTCAACAAGTCTTATTCCAGAGATGCTATACAAGCTGCATTTAGAAGGGTGAACAGCAGTCAGGCATGCCAGACATGGAAAGAGAGTCATTCATGTGAAGACAAAAAAACACACAGCCTCAGAAGTGGGGGAAATGCTTGTTATAGTACAGAAATCAAGAGGCCAATACAGACACGGTTGCAGTGCCCGGTAGAAATATGATGCAAGCCACTTGTGTAATTTTAGTTTTTCCGGTAGTCACCATAAAAAGTAAAAGAAATTAATAATATGTTGTTAAAACTCGATATATCTAAAATAGTATGATTTCAACATATAAGCTGTGTAGAAAATTATGAATAGGATTCTTTCACCTTCTGTTTCCCTTGTACTAAGTGTTTGAAATCTGGGTTGTATTTTACACTTCTGGTACATCTCAGTTTGGGCTAGCCACAATTCAGGTGCTCAGGAGCCGCATGTGGCTGGTGGCTCTACTCTATTGATACAGCAGGACTAGGGCATGGCAAGCAAGGAAGACAGTGCTAGATGAGGGTGGAAATATAGAGGGAGGATCCTATAAGAAGGGGCTTTGCTGACTACGGTAAAGTTTATGTGACCTTTGACAGAGATTTCTCTTCTAAAGAGAGTGAAAAACAGTTTGTTAACCATAAACTAGTCTTCATGTCATCAGGTAGATGGACCTGTAGGAATTGCTGCCTGTTCCCTGCCTAGGCGCCAGCACTCAAGTGGATTTTAGCCGAATCCCTTAAAGGTAAGACAAATGCCATCCAACTATTTTGAAGAAAGATATTAAGGAATTTACCTAAAAGGCGTACAGAATAAAACTGGGGAGGAAAACCCAGGCAACCTCATTGTAATAACCTTCTGTCTCATGGACTATATCCTTATATTGAACAGAGGCACCCTGCCTCGCAGTCTGCAATGGGCCCACTCTGTTTGCCTGTGACCTCTAAACATAGCTGAGCAGTTGGAACCCACTGGTGGCATCCCGGAAGCACCTAAAGAATGTGACAAAAGCTCCCAAATCTTTGTTTGTCTTCCCTAATCTACCCAGCAGGGGACAGAGGGACAGGTGTGGATTGGGTTCCTGTAGTTGCTTCAGGTATCAGATAACTCAAAAAGTCTTATTAATGAAAGCTGTATCATCGTCATGATGCATGATTGGTTCATTTTGTCATTCACCAGAAGTCTGGCATGCTGAGGTGCTCAGTAAATATTTTTTGAAAGAACCAGTAGATAAAGGAGCAGCTCCTTATTGGGCACCAGCAATATATCAGGCACTGTCAGAAGCCGTGGCTTCAATGATGGTGATGTAGAGACAGACATGGTCCACACCTCCATCATCATATCTTGGGATTAACTGCTTCAGAACACCTGGAGAGCTTCTGTAAATATGACTGTCAGATACTCACCTACCTGGTGAGTCAGTTCTTGAGGGTGAGTTTGGACCCAGGGCACTCCAGGTGATCCTGAGCCCTGTGACTTGGATGTGGCCACCAAGTTGGTCATTGCAAAGCAGCATGGTCCACACCTTGTGAGGGAATGGAGGCAATAGGGAGCAATAAAAGCATGTAGGGGGGATCCCTATACCAGCCTGGAATGCCACCTGGAAGAGGTGACTTCTAAGTTGCAAACTGAAGGACCAGCAAAACTTGAGCGAGTAAAGAGCGAGGAGAAAAGTGTGCTAGACAGAAGAAAGTTTTTATATGGTAAATTTATATTATTTTGCTCCTGCATCTTAGTCACCCATCTCTTAGGACACCGTAGATGTGTGAAAGTGCTTGGAAAGGTGTAAACCCCTCTAAGGATGGAAAGTATGACTGTTTTATGGATTCTGTTTGAGGGAACTTCAGTTGATTGATGGCTGAGAAGGATGAATATTTGATAGGCAGGGAATGCTCTTTATGGCACAGAATGTCTTTCCAAGAAGAAACTTTACTAGAGTCACAGCAAACCTCTCAGCCACAGTGCCCAAAATGTCATAGTTAGTTGAATTATTTACTATGAAAATGATGGTTAACTGAAAATCTCTTTAAAATATATGAGTCTCTTTTACTGTCTTGGACAAAAGCGCTATACAAGCAGGGGCCTTACCTGTCTCTTTGCTGGACCTGCAGCCCCTGGAGCAGTGTTTTATGTAATGTATGTGCTCAATGAATATATGTTGTCAGAATGTGTAATTGACATAGGTTACATTAGAAATTTTAACTTTAAACCATTTGTTTTGTCATGAATTGTAACAGGTTGGGATTAAACTATACATAACCTGTAATTTACTGTCATTTTGAACTATTTGGATATTTTTTATAATACACTTAATACACAAACACTTTTCATTATTTAAAAAAAAGTAGTTCAAATTACAATATATAAAATATGAAATTTCTCTACTTCCTCGTTCATCTTCATAGGTTATTACTGTCAGATGACTGGTGTGTATCTTTCCAAGCACTGTTTCATGACTTAATATCCCTTTATGTACATTATCTAGATTTGATTATAAACAGGATCATATTATATTTTTCTATGATTACCTTTTTGTCTTTCAGAGTATGTTTTGGAGCTTTGTCCTTAGGATAGCAATTACAAGTTTACTCATTCTTTTTATTGACTTAATAGCATTTCATGTATGGAAGTACCATAATTTATATAACCACTTCTGTATTTTAGTAATAGAGAAACAGTCTTACAATAAACATCCTTGTACATATGTTTTATGTATTTTATGCATATTAATGTAATCATTTAGCATAGATTCTTAGGACCGTCTAATTTTTTTTAAAACAAGAATAGCATTTCTATTCAATCATTGCCTTGTTTCTTCTTTGCCTGTTTTACTTAAAAATCAGGTAGAGGAAAAAATTATGTTTCATTGAGCATTTTTACTTGGCAGCTTTTTATTTGAGACTTTAATTGTGAAATTTAGATGTGTATGAAATCAAGTATTTCCTCTACCAAAATGAACAGTTTTTACTTGTGATTTTGGACATTTAGTAGTTTGTGGCCCTTGTACTAGGGAGCACTATGGGCCTAGGATACCCCTTGGGTGGGGTTTCTACCACTTCCCTGCCATTTGTATCATGGTCCTAGTAATGGAACACACTGAACTTGCACAGTGCACAACCCACACAGCCGTATGGAGCCAACATGATGTCTGGAGTTTTGCACTGTTGCTATTTTTACTCTTTTCTTGTTCTCAAGATCTCCAGCTTAACCCTGGGAACTTAAGATGCAGAGTCAAGACCACTTAAACTGTGCTGTTAAGAAAAATCACAGTTTTATGCCCCTTTGGGAAAGCAAACATTTTCAGCTTGGAAATAGACATTGGGACCTGCCAAAAAAATGCTTTTTGTTTTGTTTTGTTTTGTTTTTTTTGAGGCAGAGTCTCGCTCTGTTGCCCAGGCTGGAGTGCAGTGGTGCGATCTCAGCTCACTGCAACCTCTGCCTCCTGGTTCAAAGAATTCTCCTGCCTCAGCCTCCAGAGTAGCTGGGGTTACAGGTGTGTGCCATCACACTTGGCTAATTTTTGTTTTTTTAGTAGAGACGGGGTTTCACCACGTTGACCAGGCTGGTCTCAAACTCCTGGCCTCATATGATCCACCCACCTTGGCCTCCCAAAGTGCTGGGATTACAGGTGTGAGCCACCATGCTGGGCCCCTGAGTGATTTGTTGAATGAACAAATGAATGGATAAGTGTGAAACCATTGAAACTACACTTGAGGCTCCTCAAACCATTTTAGTTATTGCCCTTCAAACTGTTAGTCTGAACCCACCATCACTGTTAGGCAGCGACAAGAACGTGCTGGTTTAATTGGGACATTCATCTAGTTAACAAGCTCTCACTGGGTATTTAATGATGGAATGGGGCTGTCGCGTGGAAATTCCCAGTATACCACAACACTTGAGCCTTCATGTCGACTAAAAAGAAAAAGTGATGAGTTGCTGTAGAAGTGACTTTCGCAAGATACAAGGTCTTCCCAGATCAATATCCACCAAACAACAATGGCAATTGATAAGTTAAGCTGTGATGAGCCAGATAGTACCTGTGGGCTCTCTTGACAAATATGACTAGCAAGCCCTTTGCATTGTACATCATGTAAGGAGGAAATCAAAGATGAAATAGAGGGTTCTTTACTTTTCCCAGTTAAATGAGAGATTGTAGTTTTGACTGCCCATTTGTTTTAGAGTATCTTTCTTTAGGGGAAAGGATATATATTCATTCATAGTCTGTTTTTCTGCTGTGTATGTGTGCTTATTCATTCATTCATTCATTCATTCATTCATTCAATACATATTTGTGAAGAGATTGTTGTATGGCTGGCATAGTGCTAGGTCTTCAGATAGACTTCCATATCTATTTAGCAAATGTATCTATAAGTGCCATTTTTTAGATATTTCCCCTAATATAAATATATTTGCTATCTACTTTAGCACTGAATTCCCTGAGCAAAGGAATAGAGACTCATGTTCATGAATAGGTTTATTTTGGAGTTGGGAGCTTTTAGTCCCTGGGTATCTTCTTATGCTGTGCATTTGGGGGACAGGTGCATCTATTTTCTAGTACTTCATGAGAATTTTTGATTTGCCTACCTCTGTGATAGGCACTGAGAGTGACTAGCAAAACATGAAGCGCTGTGTCAGTATTCACAGGTTTAAAAATTTTGTCTGTCAGGCGCAGTGGCTCACGCCTGTAATCCCAGCACTTTGGGAGGCCGAGGTGGGCGGATCACAAGGTCAGGAGATCGAGACCACGGTGAAACCCCGTCTCTACTAAAAATATAAAAAATTAGCCGGGCATGGTGGTGGGTGCCTGTTGTTCCAGCTACTCGGGAGGCTGAGGCAGGAGAATGGCGTGAACCCGCGAGGCGGAGCTTGCAGTGAGCCGAGATCGTGCCTCTGCACTCCAGCCTGGGTGACAGAGCAAGACTCCATCTCAAAAAAAAAAAAAAAAAAAAAAAAAAAAAAAAAAAAAAAAAAAATTTGTCAGGGATTAAAATCAACCTATAACAAATAGTCAGTGAACAGTACAAGGTGGCCCATGATTACGTGACCAGAAGTTATGTTGGCGTTTTGAGAGGGCGGGAGGTCATTAGGGCCAGAACAGTCTAACTCTCCATCTTGTTATCCACATATTTCTAAACACATGCTGTGGACATGAGAATATAATGCATGCATGGAGATATTGACAAAGTGCTCTAATTAGCAGAACATTAATAAGTAAAAATCAACTCACTTTCAATAAAACCTAATTTCACTAAAAATCACTGGACCAGCCTGGGAATGGGAAGCTCTTAGATATCGTTGGGAAATTCATTCGGAGTATCAAGATAAAAATGAGAACAAGGTGAGAAATGAACTTCAAAACTAAGCCTGAGTTTGACTTACATTTTAATTTTTTTTTAAATAAAAGAGCTCTCACAACCTGGGGATTTCCCTCCAACAGCTGGTGAGTACCCTGTACTATCCCCACCATCCCATCCTAGACTGTGTCAATGTCCATGGAAAAAGGACTTCTATCATTTTCTGGGAATGAGTTCAGCTGCATGTAACAGAAACCCTGCCTTTAACAGTTGCTTAAAAAAATAGGGGTGTATTTTCTTTGGTAACAAGAAGACCTCCTGGAGGTAGGCAGTGTCTTAGTGATTGTTTTAATCTGCCTATTTGCAAGATGGCCACCCTATTTCCTGGAACCATGATCAAATTCACGGTAGGAAGAAAGGGAGAGAGGTGGCAGCAGCAGTGTTGCTACTGGAAAATCATATGCTTCCCCCGAGTATTCCCCAGCAGATTTTCACTGGCTTCAAGATGGTCTGAGAGAATGAGTAGTTGGCCATGGGATGGGAACAGGCAGGAGAAAAAGGTGTTAGGAATGAGCAATGGGCAAACTGAGCAGAGTTTCCTGCTACAGGAAGCTCTGTAGATGTGTAATTCAGTGCAAAATAAAAACTCAATAGACTGACTTGAGAAGCATCTTGCCTCTAACTGATTAGGTCTCACTTTCTTGCTGTGTAAAACAAAGGGCTTGCCTAGGGGTAGTCTATATTTTCAGAAGTTTTCCTGTTATAGCATTCCAGAATTTCTCAGGTACTTTTATAATGATTAAGAGCTTTATGATCTCAAACACAGCATAATTACAGAGAGTTACTGGGTCCTAGGTACTTAATGTGCATGATCTTATTCAACCCTCACCATGCCTCTGTGAAGCAGGCACTATTATGCCATCCATTTTACAGATGAAAGAAGTAAGTGCAGGTTAAGCCTCTCGGTGACATGGTTAAGGTGACAGTTAGATCATGGCCAGGTCAGGATTCATCCCAGGAGCATGGCTGATCCCAAAGACATTTCTTTAAGTACTAAGCATTCTAGCTCATAAGGTTCCTCCACATTCTAATGCTTTCTGTCTTCTTCAACCTGGCTGTATGTGTAATACGCATATTTTCATGATTCTCATTTTTCCAAACTTCCTAGTTTTGGTCTGGAAGGTCTTCTCTTTTTGTGAGTTGATTGCTCTTTGCCCAATTTATGTCCTAAAGAACAGTCTCAGGGCAAGGCATGAGACTTGAATCAGGAATGAATACAGTGAGTCATAGTGCCTTTGAGGCCAGCTGTGTTTATGTTTGAATGCCACCTCCCACTTGCTAGATGTAGATGTGTGACTTTGAGTAGGGTAAGTGTTATATCTTTAAGTGTCAATTTCTTCATATGCAATGGGAAGATTATGATATTAACCAATGGCATTTTAAATGAGAAGTAAATGAGATAATACTTGCGAAGTGCCTAACACAGCATGTGTCAGTGTATTAGAGAGTTGATAACTGTGAAAATGGTTAAGGTGAAAGGGATGTAAATGAAAATACAAACAAAACTGGATTATTTGGCAGATCCTAAATACTCTTTGACCAGTATAGTCTCACATTGTTCTCCTTCATTCTCAGTGTGCTTGTGTTGTGTGTATGTGCACATGCAAACTTTGCTTTTCCTCATGTCTGCTTTGTGAGCTAGAGTCAGCTATAGCTATGACAGCTCTAGAGCTGCTCACATGGTAGGTAGGTTCTGTCTGTCCCTGTCCCTCATCATTCAGGGTGTGGATGATACAATGACTGTTTACTATGCGGTCAAAATTCTAGAAGTACTGTCTGTAGCATGGAAACAGAGTCTTCTCTGCATATTTTCAAATGCAAGATAGAGATGGCAGTGGTGGACAAGGTATGAGGGTGGTTTGGTTGGGGGTGGGGTGCATCAGTTATACTGTGTTCTTTCATTGCAGCTAAAAATTTCAAAAATACCACCCATTTCGGAGTTCAGTGAAGTAAATTCTGAGAATCCAAACATCAAATAAGAGTTATAAACAACATAGTTTTATTATTACTAGGTAATTATTTTACTTTTATGTTTCATTAATATTATTGATTTAAATCAAATTAGCCATACCTATAACTTCAGGCAGGAAGGAAAGGTATAAGAGGAAAATGAAAACTTTCCTTTCCTTCTCTTCTCTGACATGCTGGCCTCTTGTCCTCCAAATATTACCATTGTGAAGTTTCTTCTGTAGCTTTTCAGAAAAAGAAATTATGCACATGTTGACATCTAAACAAAACGACACGGAGCCTTTAAAATCTTTACTTAAATGGCATATTATATACATTCTTCACACTTAGCTTGTTTCAAAGCATAGTATATCTTGAAGAGCAGACCTACCTCATTATTCTTAATAGCTGTACATATTGTTTTGTATTGATAAATCAAAACGCGTTTAACCCAATGGATGGTATATGGGTTTTCTTCTCCATTTTTTTGTTTGTTTTTATGGGCAATACTACAAAGGACATTCTTGCACAAATTCTGGCATACTATTTGGAAGTATATCTGTAGGGCAAATTCTTAGCAATGCATTTGCTGGGTTAAAGGGTTTGTGAATTTGCCATTTTGCTAAGAGATTGCCAAATGCTGGATATGCAAGAAATGTTCTCTCTCAACAACCAGACAGAAGGAAAATCTCTTCATTCCTTTCTTTTAATTTAATTTGCTTATCTTTCAATGGCCTTCTAAAAAAATTGAATGGCATGTTTTTTAGGTAGATTTTGTTTGGCAGTCACTCTGGGCCTCTGCTTTTATTAAGGGAGGGAAGGCAGATGAGCTGTGGTAAACATGGATAAGTCAGTGTTCTGGCTTCCTCAACCAATGTGAATTTGGATGGACTATTTTTTCTAGTTAAAGAAATCTCCATATGCTATGGTGATGTATCTGGAGTATATCAGTTTCTTGAAACACAAGATGATTTTTATTTTGCTTATATTCAGTCTCATTTAGTAACTGTCAAAAAATTTACCGTATTGCCAGAAAGTTGATCTTGTAGACCAGATGTCAGTCGGGACCTTGTTGCTCAATGGAGATCTAACTATAATGTACTCAAACTACCAATTCCACAGTTCATGAGAAGTTAAAGTTCTCTCCACCTTCTCTGTGAATTTTGTCTTCCTCTGGTTTCTCTGTCCAAGTGTCTGTTTTGCCCTACTTAACAGGATGTGCAATTTGTTTGCATGTATCTGTAACAGTCTTCTCCCCAGGCATTATTTTAATTTAGTTGTGAACTGGGAGATATTGTGAAGCGGTCTCATTGTGGAACATTTCTTGCTCCTCAGTTGACTCTTCTCCTCCTCCATCCCTTTTCACTTCTTCTCTCCTACTGGAAAAGAAGGTTTGCCTTTTTCTGCAAGGCCTTTATGGCTATTAACATCTATTCCCTCCAGTCTTTAACTCTGAGATGGTTTAATGAACATGACTCTCCTGCAAATTCTATATGTTTTCCTGAAGATTCTTTCTCAAACCAAAAAAACAAAACTCCTCCATATCCATTATAATTTCATCCAAAAATTCATGTTAGGTCATCTCCCTTACAAAGAACATTTCTCAAACAGCGTTTCTGTTTGTTTTTGTTTCTGTTTTAATTAGCTGGCATTCTGGTGTAAGGATTAACAGAAGAATGCCTTCTTAGGATAAATCCAGCACTTCAGTAGAAGAAAGATCGTGATCTTTGGGTTGGGAGACCTGGGGTTAAATTCAGGCCCTACCATTTACTCATTGTGTAATACAAGCAACTTAAGTTTTGAAGCTTTATTTTCTTCACTAGAGGAGATAATTCTTAATGGATTGTTTTAAATGTTGGAAATGAAAATATTAAGCATCCAGCACAGTACTTGGAATGTAGGAGGTGCTTAGAAAATAAGAGTGTTACGACAGTTACTCTCAACCACCCTCATTGTCATTATCATTGAATCCTGAGCTGTGTGTTTTCTTCACTCCACAGCATAGAATACATTTCCACTCTCATTCATTGTTTCAGCATCTCCTCATCTCAACTCCATAGTAAGGTACCTCAGAAGAAGGCCATGTCTAATTTTGTACTTGGTTGTTGAGCACACATTAGGTACTCAATCAATGCTTATTGATTGGTATTTTATTGATTGGTGATCTTTTGGAGGTCTGAAAATTCATCTCCTTTCTACCTTTCTGGTAATAACCTAAGGAAACAGAAATTCATGATGTTAGAAAGAATTTCATTTCTTCCCCAGCTGCCTTATTTTGAGTCAGGTCTCTGTACTCTGACATGAGACGTATCTTCATTTTTTCCCCTTCTAGCAGTAAGTCAGTCTTTCTCATTTCTTGCTCTTTTCCATGTTGTTTTGCCAATTTCTCTTTCTTTTGCTTTCTCTCCTACATGTGAATTCTCTCCTGTTCTTCTGGCTGAAATTCATCTCTCGTGTCATAAATGCCCTTCCTTCTGTATGATTCCCTTGTCTGCTTTCCTTTCATATGATCTATTCACCTTATTTGAAAGAAAATGTCATTTGTTTCCTAGCATCCGATCTGAATAACAGTGAAATGTTTGTTTAAAATTAATGTTTTGAGCAAAGAACCCTCTCTGTTTACTTGACTTGCAATATTTTAATATTTAACACTCTATGATGTAAAACTTGTGGAAGAAAAATATCCTGCTGTGATCTGGTTGCCTAACAATTTACATTCAGCTGCAATATTTTATTTGCTATAATTACTCACTGACAAAACAGGGAATCGAAATGCAAAAATACAAAATGCTCTCAGTTTGCATTTTATTTTGGAATGTGAAAAACCCTTGGTTCTTGAGGGAAAGAGCATAAAAAAGGAAAGCTAGCTTAGTCAGATATCCATCTCTACAAACAGACTCTTCAGCAGTAAGACGCAAACCAGAGAGGAAACTGTAGGGCTTCTGGAGGGAGTTTTTTAAAGAGGTCGTATGTTGTGGACTCAAGGTTGGAGGGCAGGGCCTCGGGCCATCACATTCCATCTCTTACTCCAGAGTCTCACTGTGATTTTTACACAGGTCCTTTCGCTGTGTGGCACCTATGGATCTGCTCTCTTAAACCATTGAAATTTATTAGATGAAAGGTAGGAATCCACTGGGCTCTTGTTAGAAAACGTCCTACTCTAACACTCTTTCCCCATCCTATTATTTGCACTCTTGAAAGTGACAGGTTTCATTGGGATTGTGGGTCTGAATGGAGCATGACAGCCAACACCTAGGCATTGTGTGGACCAACCAATAGCTCCTTGCTTGATTTCCACCACTATAAACAAAGTCCTTCCTGGATTCAGAGATAGAAACTCTAATATATCTAGATCTTAGCTCCTTCACACATTTACCCCACCTTCATTTGCAGTTTGAAAAGTGAAAAGTTTTTGTTCCTGAAATTCTGAATAAGAATGCTACAGTGCATTTTTCCAAGAAGTAATTAATAAGAGAAATCAAAACAAGATTTTTCCCTCTGTGATTAAATCTAACTGGTACACTCCAGTAGAAAACAAACCAAAACCATTCCATTGATTTTGGTATCACACTGGGGGAGAAAAGTCATTATACTTTTTTAAAATCTGGAAATGCCTAAGACACCCATGTATTGAGTTCTTATAATTGCAAATCTCATTTTTCTCCTACTAAGCTGCTTTCTTCCCAAATGTGCCACAGTTTTCATGTAACTTATTCAAAGTAGGTAGTATACTTTTAGGAGAAACTGCAGAACCATTTCCCAGGAACAGTTAATATGCATTTTAATATTTCTGACACATAAAGTAGTTAATACAAAGGATTAATCATTACATAAACCATGTGATGGGAGGATTTGGAGAAAGTTCTTAGAAATAAAGAACTTTGTTATGTGATGCATATTTAAAAAGATAGTTTTCTCCAAGCAATCAATAACACAGGATTTAGTGATCCTTAGTTAGTCCCCCAGTATTGATTCTACGGTCTAAATTCATTATAATTTGGTTTTGAGATAGCTAGAAAGTTGATTCTTGAGTCAAAGATTTTCTTTCTTTACAGAGAAACTTTTTGAGTGTGTAACATGAGGATGGAATTCAGAAAACATTTGGGTTTTTTTTTTTAACACCAATTATACCTTCCATTATGTTCTTTATTTTTGTTTATGGTTTAAGAAGTTATAGAGGCTCCCCAGGGTTAATAACGTCACTTTCCTGTTGCTGTGAGTCTGGCAATATGAAGAAATTGGATGACTACCATTTTTCCCCCATGTATCTGGGTATGTTGTTTATCAAAGCAAAAGGAAAACAAAACAAAACAAAAAACAACAACTCATGGAGCACGGTTAATGCTTATAAGTTCAAATTACCCTCTATGGATGACACATGATGTGATCACCCCATGAAGACCTGTTGAAGTCAAACCATTGTCGATTTGAAGAATAGCTAGTAAAGTTTTATAAGGAAAAGGTAAACTTATTGCAAAGCTACAAGGAGTCTTGTACTAGAAGGGGAGACCCAACAAGAATGGGGGGAGCTCTAGGCAGCCCTCATTCATGAACCTCGTAGGCACAGAAAACCTCTGCTCTTTTTGTTGGGGGCAATGAATATTTGGGTTACTGGCGGCTAATCGATATGGGCCTGCAGCAACCTCAGTTCTTGCCTCCTGAGAAAGAATTCAGCTGAGGGGCATAAGGCAGGAAAAGAGACTGAGACAAGTTTTAGAGCAGGAGTGGAAGTTTATTAAAAAGCTTTAGCACAGGAAAGAAAGGAAAGTATATCTGGAAGAGACCCAAGCAGGCACTGTGAAGGTCACATGTAACGTTTGACCTTTTGACGTGGGTTTTATATGTTGTTGTACTTCTGGGCCTTGTGTCCCTTTTCCCATGGTTCTTCTCTTAAGGTGGGCCACCCACATGTGTGTGGCCTGCTAACATGTGGGAGGTGAGCATGTGAGTGTGTTTAAGAAGTTGTATGTATGCCCACCTGAGGCTTTCTTCCCTTTTCCAGTGGAATGCCCCAGAAAACCATATTCTGCCATTTTGTCTCTTAATGCGCATGCTTGTGCTCACTCGCCCAACTCCTGAAAACTGCTGATTACCAGTTACAGGTGTTTCCTATCAATATAGGAAGACGGTCTTTCCCTGGTGCTGGCTGTGACAAATTATTATTTTAAAGAGAGTTAACAACCACCTGACCATCACCTGATGGTAGCGTGGCTTTCCTGGTGGGGGTGTTGGGAGGGCCCTCTCCTGCCCCATCACGCCTGACTACCTACCTACTGTAACATTTTCTTCGTTTTAGTTGCCTTGATTTTCTTACTCACTCGGTTCCTATGTTTTTAGAAGATCAACCTGTATTTGACCATCATGGCCTCTGAATACCATGACTCTCTGCCCAAGCTTTTGCCACTTGGTCTGTGTTTCCCAATTCACATTTCCCAGAACAATTAATATTTTGTTGTATTTTATCCAACATTTCGATGTCTCATTGTGAGGGGATTTTTACAAATCGATCATGTTATTTATCTTTTTTGGCCCTGAAAACATCCTCATAATCTTTCTTAACACAGTGTTGCTAGCTGTCACTATCAGTGGATTTGAGTTGGCATGCCTGGAGTAGATCATCTTTTGTGTCACTTTACAGCTAGTGGGAGTCAATTCTAAGAAAGAGCTTTGGAATCAGGGCAGATGTGGCATCTTTCAAAGGGAAAAGCAGGGAACATTTTTGTGTGATGGCAAACTACACATAACATAAAATTTAGCATGTTAACCATTTCTAACTGTGTCATTCAGTGGTACTGAGTACATTCACAATGTTGTGCAGTCATCACACTATCCAACTCCAGAAGTTTCTGTCATCTCAAATAGAAACTCTGTACACGGTCAGCACGGTGGCTCACGCCTGTAATCCCAACAGTGTGGGAGGCTGAGGCGGGCAGATCATGAGGTCAAGAGATCCAGACCATCCTGCCCAACATGGTGAAACCCCATCTCTACTAAAAATACAAAAATTAGCTGGGCATGTAATCCCAGCTACTCAGGAGGCTGAGGCAGGAGAATTGCTTGAACCCAGGAGGCGGAGATTGCAGTGAGCCGAGATCGAGTCGAGCCACTGCACTCCAGCCTGGTGACAGAGCGAGACTCTGTCTCAAAAAAAAAAAAAAAAAAAAAAAAAAAACACAACTCTGTACTCATTATACAATAACTCCCTATTCCCCGGACTACTTTCTCCCTCCCCCAGCCCCTGGTAATCTGTGTTCTACTTTTCTGTCTCTGTAAGCTTGCCTATTCTAGGTACCTCACAGAAGTGGAATTGTTACCAAAACACTAGGGGTTCGGTCTAGGTCCTGCTGTTTGCCGTGCAGAAAACCAGTCACTGAGATGATGAGTATTGCCAAGAAGAAGGGAGTTCAGTCTCAAATCCATTTCCCTGACCAAAACCAGACTATGTAAAACCAGGGGTTTATATAGCCAGGAAGAAATGTAATAATGTATAAGAAAACAGGAACTAGGGAGAGGCAAGGAAGCAATCCTGAGAATGAGGGGTCCAGCATCTCATTGTCAAAATGTGGTGATCTGGTGAGTTTCAGTTTGCCAATACTTTTTTTTTTTTTTCGAGAGGCCTGAAGGTCATTTCCTGAGGAAGGAACTCAGTTAAAACAAATATAAACTTCAAGCATTAAGACCACAAAGGTCAATTTCTACGTCTATCCAAAAAACTATCTATGGGATTATTGGGTTGGTTTCAGAATCACAATATCATCCTTTGTGACTGGCTTATTTCACTTAGCTTATGTTTTCAAGGTTCATTCATGTTGTAACGTGTCAGAATTTCATTTTCATGGCTGAGTAATATTCCATTGTATGGACCTACCACATATTTATCCAGAGGATAGCATTTTAAACTGGGCCTCTAAGCAGAGAGGCATGGAAGTGTTTGTTGGTGGCACATCAAAGCTCTGAAGCAACAGACCAGGCAGGGTTCACATTCCAGATTTTACTAGTATTCCACATATTAGTATATGACTTTTGGGATTTCATTTAACTCCCCTAGTCTACTTCTTTGGCGTCTGTCATATGGACATAATAATACCACTCAAAGTTTTGTGGTAAGGTTTATATGAAATAATGCATAGGATGTACCTGGCTTGGCTTCTAGTAGGTGTTCACAAAGTGAATCCCACTTCCCCCTTTATCACCCATTCTCCCACCCCCAGAAGTTCCACCCAGGACAAAGAATGAAGACATGCATAATAGTGGATGTGTTCCTCTTGGAGTGTGGGAGAGGCAGAAAAAAGCATCCCAAGTTCCCAGAGCTTGGATTTGAGAACTTTCAGGCAGGGATGGCAAGATCCCCAGACCAGGAAGAGTGGCCTCTGGGACCATTACCGCTCCATCTGTTCTGTGAATAAAGGTAGCTGGCTTTGGGGATCTGATTGATGTCATGAAAGGAAGGAAAACATGTTTTTCTGTCTGCTCTGCTGAAAACACCTTATCTAGGATAAAAGTATTGGCCCCTCTTTCAAACTGCTTTTGCTGTTTCCCATGAAGAAAACCTTTTTCATTTTGATAAAAAGCAATTTCTGTTTTCCTGCCAAGCCAGCAAAAAGTCTTTTGAGAAATGCTTCTGCTTTCCTGGTATCAGGGTGTAAAATCTGCATGACATGGAGACCGGTGGTGGCATCATTTCAGCAGCTGGCAAGGGAGTTGGCTGGAAGAACAACAGAGCAAAGCACACACCCTCCCGGGTAATGCACTTGAATCAATCAAAAGCGTATACTTGGAATCTAACTGCTGATGGTTTGGGTACATCTAAACTTGTAACACAATAAGGAGTGCAGAAGAGTTTCTCTTACAAAACTTACTGCAAACAATAGAATCGGGACAGGGTGGTGCAAATAGCAAAACAAAAGGAGCATTTTATTCTTCCCCCCTCCCCAATATATTAAATGGTTACTCTCAGGCAGAAAACCTTTTAGTTCCAAATAAATCTCAAGTAATAGAACCAGAAGCAAACCAAGCTTTCTAATCTACACCAAAATTTCTGGGAGAAATCTTCTACAGAATCCATTCCCTCTGTGTGTCTCTTAAGAGCTGTAGCCAAGAGAAACTTAAAGAAATAAGGCAGAAATATTGTACACTGAACCCCTGCCCTGCCAAACCTGACTCAGGAAGCCCTATGTATGGAAACTGCATAATGCTCTTGGCATTTGCAGAGCTGTGCTCTCAGATACCTTCCAGAAGAATGACAGTGTGTGAAGGGGGCAGGTCATGACTATTTTTTAAAGGACGTAAATGAGACTTGGTTGTGCCTGAAGCACTTCCACAACTTAAAGCTGGTATTTCACGTGTCTGGACATTATCCAAAATATTCATCTTGGCCAGCTGACAGGAATGTTTACTGAGTCCTTAGGAGCCACTTGTTTGGTACCTTCGAAGCTGCCTAGAAAGAGTTTGTGTTGCGTGGGAGTGGGGAGTGAGTGTAAGCTGCAGCATCAGCTCCGAGTTAGCCTTCCCGTTCCTCTAAGTGCTAGTTGTGTGACTGTTGGCAAGTCATTTAACCTCTCTGAGCTAAAGTTTGCATCCCTATAAAATGGTGAAAAATCTGGCCCTTCAACATGTTGGTTTCCAGGATTGAATGGAATCAAAAAGCTTTCTCTAAATGCCTTGTACACTGGTTGCCACGTGGCCAGTGCCTAGAAAATGTTGGTTTCCTCTCTTCTTTCTTCATTGTTTGCAATACAGTTTTTCTTGGTGCAAGTGCTAAAGCAATTAAGCTCTGAACTGCACCATCTTTATGACACAGAAATTGGCTGAGAGCCTCAGAAATAAATCTGAGAATTGGAAAAAAAAAAAAAAAGAAAGTCCATCACCATACATTTGTCAGTTGGCATCTCCTTGCTTTTTCTAGTTAGAGTCTTTCATAGTAGAGTGCTTATTTCTTTTTCTCATCCATGTATGTAGGACAGTGTTTGACAGGCATTTTTATGTGTGTGGTAGTATGGGGAAAGTGACAAAAAGAGGCCCACTCTAGATGTCACTTCCCTGTACTGCAAGCTGGAGTTGACAATGAAATCCCTCCTGAAGAACCCCAGTGGTGTTTTGGAGCATCTCAGCATCAAGAGGAGGGAGAGGCACTGAGCAGTCAAGGGTACCCTTCTTGCCATGTGAGAAAAGTATATGAGGTGTAGCAAAAAGATAGGAGGCCACGCTTTGGAATGGGGGTAGTTTATTTCTTTTTAGTTCTGTGAAAAATCATATAATGACAGGGTATTTTTTTTCCTGTGTTGGGCAACTGTCCTCTCTAGACAAACACGCAACCCACACACAGATCAGTGGGAGTTTGGAGTATACAGCAAAGGTAGCCATTCCCACTTCATTAATTTCTTAATGTAAAATGTAAACAAAAATAAAACACAAATTTCTCACCAGTGATAGTGATGAAATGCTATTATTATTGCGGAGGCTAAGGATGATATTTAAACATTTCTACCCAAAAATTTAGTGTAGAAAGAGATCTGAAGGTATAAACAACAGTAACCACCACCACCAACACAACAAAGAAAATGATGTAGAATTTGTTGATTCTTTTCCTGTGCTTAACCCAGCACCTAACATCTAGTAGTTCTCTATCTAATAAATGCTGTGTTGGGTATTATTAATAAGCAGATCAGGCAGAAGTGTTGCCATGTTCTCAGTATTATCTATAGGGAAAATAATGCGCTGCTGTTAAGAGGCTGAAAGAACTTCCTAGCTCCATCATTATGATAGAGTTCTGGATAATTTGAAAACCCTGGTGCTCATTGACAAGTGTGTGCTTGGGTTGGGATGGGAGTGGTACATCAGAGCAATGCCACTTCATTGGCAACAGGATCACAGGGTGCATTTACATTTGTCAGTAGAAGCTATGTTTTGTTTTGTTTTGTTTTTCTAATCTGACCTCAACGCTTTCATTTATCTCACACACATAAAGTGTTTTCCAGGTTCTGTATTAGAAGTTTTTAACTTTGTGCTTGAAAATAGTTTTACACTCTGTAACCGTTTTTCTTTCTTTTGCTCTCACCTGTCCTTATTTCTTTCCAGTAATTGTTTGCAAACTTATCATTTAGTTCTCTGAAGAAATTTGAATCTAATCCAAAACTTTAAAAAATTCTATGATTAAAACAGGAAAATAATTCATATGTAAAGTTAAACTGATTTTTTTCCTATCATAGCTCATATTTAGAAATGTTTTTGATGATTGAGCAAAATTATTAAATTTGTTCTCCTCTCAATAAATATGTGTGATTTTTCTTTTCCAGAGTAATCACTTGGAAGAATACAATATATATGGCTTCTGATTTACATTTGAAGCATACTCTGAGTAGGGTTGTGGATAGATTTATAAGCATGTTGAAAGAATTCGCATATGTCTGTCTGTATATTTTTAAGAAAATGTTGTTTCTCTATTGAACGTTTGGAGTTTTTTAATCCTGTGAACATCATGTGAGGTTATATGAGGAAAGGACTCTTTGAAGGTGGTAAAGTGATGAGATGAAGTAGTAAGAAATGGAGAGGACCACAAGGAGGCACAGCCAAAGTGCCTTAGGTATGACTCAGATATGACTTGCAGGAAAGCAAAAAAGCGGGGGTGGGGGATGTCTTCAAATGATAGACTCAATTTCTTTCCATCTTTTGGTATCTCTTAAGAGATTTTTTTATAAGGCATTAATGTTGATAGAGTTCTTTCATCCTTGTGACCTTTCCTTTCCAACTTGTGTGGCTCTTTCTCTCTGAAGGCAATGTGTTTTGCCATAGCCAGTTCACATGACGAACAATAACATGTCTAGGCAAAATGCATGTCTTGGAAGCACCAGAGAAAATACTAACTTAAGATTTCCATTATATGATAAAAATTTGTTGAGTATCTCGTATGTGACAGACATTTTGCTAAGGGCTAGGGACACAAAGATGCAAAAGGCAGAAGTCTCTGACATAATGGTGAGGGCAACAGTTTAGAAGTGAAAGAATAAAATGTTTATGGACTGACATATATATATGTATCTAGAGAGAAAATAATTGGGATAGCCTACTTTAGGTGGTGTGGTTAGGGAAGGCCTCTCTATGGAGGTGACATCTAAACTGGTATTTGAAAGAAGAGAAGAAACCAACCACGCTAAGAAAGAGGGAAAACACATTCTAAATGGAAAGAAGATACAGAAGCCAAGGTGCTAAGATGGGATGGAGCTTGGCATTCTTATTCTCATTCTCACTGGTCAGCATGCCTGAAGCATGGGGAACAATGCAGAGCTCACACTAAGATGAAAGCCAGAGAAAATATAATACTGAAGACTCTATTTTAAGTGTAATTTTATATTTTAAGTGCTTTGGGCTGGCAGGTTTAACTGCCATAAATTTGACTTTCTGATAAATAACACATACTTTGTTAGTGTAAGTTACATTGCAAATATTACGCGGGACATACTTATACTAAGAAAAAATTATATGTGTAATATATACTTATATATTTTATATACTATTTATATTATATATAATATATATTTATATACACTATGTATATATATTTTAGACATACTTTTTCCCATCCCATCCTAGATGGGATGCCCCTGGTGGCTTTAAATGTGGCAGTACAGTGATCTGATTCCTGTTTGTAAAAGATCAGGTGGTTTGGTTTCCTGTCTGGCTGCTACTTTCTGATTCCCAGGAAAAGGCAGGAGCACTCTAGCCAGTTCACAATGTTTATGACAGATCGATTTCTAGGATTCCCTCTTTTCCCTCCTACTGTTTTCAGATGAGCTGCCTACTGGTAAAAGAAAAACTGTAGACAAGTTTAATTTAACAGAGTTTGACCAAAGAGCAGTCAACTAATCGGGCAGCCCTCAGAATGAGTTACCAAGAAGTACATTTGCCAAAGATTCTAAGGACTCTAGGATTCCCTTTAGTACATGACCTGTGTTGGTGGCTAGGGATTCTAGAGTTTGAGTCTAGTTTTTCAGGGTGTACTCGTGATAGGCAAAGCTGCCCCAGGATGCCACTCGTTCTATTGCTGCTCTGATTCCTGCTAGAATTAATGCTGTTGCTTGTTTATTTCTGGTGTTCTTGGTTCTTATGGGATTATAGACTGTGACCCCTAGAGAAGCAAGAGTGGCCATCCTACATTCACCTCTGTTCCAAGTTTTTTATATACAAGGGAAAGCCACTCCTAAAAACAAGTGGCTCATGGGGTAGTCAAGAGTGAATATGGGGTATGACTTTTCCCCATTAATGGCCACAAACAAAAATTAGTCCAGTTGGGGTGCAAATAGAGGCTCCACAACATCTGATATCTATCCATTGCTGCCAAATTGGGTCTGTAGAGATATTCTTGCCCTGTTCCAATGGAGATACCCAACCAATCTTTGTTTCACAGAGTGGGTCAGTACTCCTACCTTCCCAGATTAGGCAGTTGTTTTGTTTGTTTGTTTTATTTTTTTCCTGTATGTTGTTATCTGAGAGAAGTCACCATATATGGTTTGTTTCCTTGCTCACAAGTAGAATCCTGTATACACTGTTACAGCCTTGGGGACTTGGCAGCTTAGAGTTGGATCAAAGCATTGAAGGGAAACCTCCACTTTTGTGTCATTAATACACAGTGGGTGCAAAATATAGAATCATTAATGCACTACAGATATAGATACTCAGATTTCCAGGTTCAGTTAATAGCAGTTGAGGGTGAGGGGTTCAGGTAGAATCTATTAAGTGCTGGAGAGATAAAGTGGCATGGCACCAGTGGTGGGCATATCTTACGGAAATGTACTTCCACTCTGTCCCTGTTCTAGGTAGTCTTTGATTTGATCTGGTGTCCGAGCCCTGCCTCCTCAGTCAAATCCTGCCTCCTCCTTAAGTTATGTCTAGGTGTTCACCTTATTTGGTCATGGTCTGATCAGTTGGCAGCCTGTGATTGGCTGAAGCTCAGCTGCTGTTACAAAAAAAAAAAAAAAAAGCATCCTAAATTAGGCTTTCGGTGTGTTTAATAGACTAAGTTAGGTTAGGCTGCAGTTCCTTAGGTAGGGACTCAAATTACGGAGACAGCCTCAGGCTAAATTTAATTTTTTTAACACTATGCATTTTTGTGAGTCTCCGCCTAAACATGACTCCTGCTGAGAGGCCCAACCTTCCCCTACCTCAAAGGCCCCATTAGGTACCCTCCTGTTATGCAGACCAGAAGCTCCCTACTTCCTTACTTTAGCAGAGCATTGATGCCCCGTGTTATAATTACTTCTCCTTTGCTGTCCCCTCTAGAATAGGAACCCTCTGAGGACACAAACTGTGGCCTTTCCCTTGATTATCTTCCATGTAGCCCAGGACCTGAAACAGTGGACAAGCTCAATGACTGTTGATTGAATGCATGAATTAATGGAGGCCTCTTTAGAGTAATCCCCTGGGCCTTACACCACATTCTCTTCTCTGAGTCTGATTTCTGGAATATCACTTGCTAAGGGGCGTATTTATTGAGCACTCCCAGCTCTCAGGTGCCATGAAAAATCTTGGAGATGCCTGGATCTAGGTCTCTGTCCGTAAGGAGCTCATAAACTAGTTGAGAATATGAGATAACCCAGAAAAAGATGGTGAGCAAAGCCATGAAAAATACAATGAAGTTTTTGAATAGAGAGTAGAATCTGTGAGACTCGGGGATCCTGCGCCTGGATTCTGTGGACTGCATAAGGATACATGAAAGGGCTTGCAGTAGAGGTCTGGGAACAGCCTGAAATTATATATATAGTATTTTATGCACATACATTCTTTCAGTAAGAAAGTCTTCAGTTTTGTTCAGATTCTCAAATGGCAAGTACCTAAGCCTAGGATGTTGGCAACCATCTGCTGCTCTAAGTGCTATAGGGCTTCATGATGGACTGAAGATCCAAATATGGAAGGCGAAACTATAAACCAAGAGTAGAAAAGATGAAATTTCTTCACAATTTCTTACTAGGGTAGAATTTCTTGAAATAATAAAGGTAAAATTTAAGGAATTTAATTATAATTAAAGATTTGTGTTCAATGAAATAAACTATGGGAAAAATGAACAAAGTACAAGCTAAGAAAATATTGGAGATACGTATAATAGCTGAAAAATTACGTCTAACAGTGGACAAGAGATTTATACTGGGAATATATCTTTTTACTTCTACTAATTGGTAAATAAAAGATGTGAATTCAAAATTTTTAATAAGCAAAGATATAAATGGGCAGTTTACGAAAGGGGAACTTTGAATGGCTAATATGTACACTTTCAGTATTCTGAGACATGAATATTTAAATAAGAAACACTGCTCTATAACCACCAAGTTGACCAAAAGCAACAAGAAAGATCATAATAAGTATTAGTGAGGATGCATAAAAACAGGAATTTGGAGGGTTGTTTGATATGGTAAAGAATTAGAAACAATCTATTTGCCTGCTGATAAGAGAATGAAGTAAAATTATTATTTATGCTTATTATAGAATACTTGTAGTAGTTAGAGGAATTAAAACCTAGATCACCCCTGTCTGGTAGAAGTATAATGTGAACCACATGTGTAATTTAAAGATTTTTAGTAGCCACACAAAAAAGTACCAAGAAAATTTATTTTTACTTTTTTAAATTTAAAGAATTAGGTGATCATGTTAATGCTGTATTTTATTTAATATATGTAAAGTAGTATTTCAGTATATCATCAACATAAAACTTACTGATATGTTTTACATTCCTATTTTGTACTATTTTCAGTATCTGATGTGTATTTTATAGTACATCTTAAATCAGAGGCTAAATTTTCATTGGAACTGATTGATTCATATTTAAGTTTTATAAAATGTACAACTGAAAAAAGAAGATTCATCAAGATATTCCAAAAATATTTAAAAGTATTCTCATAATTAAGATACAGGTTTTCAAATTTAAATTAAAGATAAATTAAAATTACAAATTTAGTTTTCCACTTGCATGAGCCGTATTTCAAATGCCCGGTAGCTGCATGTGGCTAGTGGCTACTATGTTTAACAGCTTAGATCCAGAGGTACACATACATATTCTGGTGGTTTTCAAAAGCATAATGATGTAAACAAATAGAAGAAGAACATAATTTGTAGTGAAATATCATTTAAATAAGTTGAGCATAAAACCCCAGTATTTTATTTTTCATAAAAACACAGCTATGCGTTAAAGTACAGGAAAATATTAGGGAAAAGTAAGCCTATGTCTATAGGGTGAGGTAGCAAGGGATCAGGAAAGGCAGGTCAGAAGGAAAATCCAAGTGACATCTTGGAGAGTTCTAGGCTGCTGGTGTGCTGTGGGTTAAGGAGCTTGCCCAACTCAGTTCTAGACACTCAGGGTTAAAACAAAAAGCAGCAAGAGTTAACTCTGTTGAAAAACTGTTAATACTGGACTCAGTGCAAAATTATGGTTTCACAATCATGTTTTCAAATCTTCCATTTTTAAGTTCCTTCTAAAACAGCAACTGAATGATGCTGGTTACTACCACAGTTAATGTCATCGGAGGGCATCACGGTGAAAAAGATCAAAGGACGTTTACCTGAAAGCCTTTCACTCTTCTGATGAACATGGTTTCCAAGTATCACATTCTCAGAACTTGTTGAATGTGGAAAGATCCAAAATAAGGCCCTATACAATTAAGCCCTCATAAAGCAGAGGGAAGTCCTACAATTCACCCACCGTTGCGTTTTGTAGAACGTTAACACACCTGCTGTTATGGGGTGCGTTGTGGTTTCCCCAAAAATTCACACCGAAGCCCTAACCCACAGTACCTCAGAATGTGACCGCATTTGTAGCTAAGGCCTTTGAAAAGAGAACTTAAGGCCGGTCGTAGAGACTCACGCCTGTAATCCCAGCACTCTGGGAGGCCGAGGCAGGTGGATCACGAGGTCAGGAGATCGAGCCCATCCTGGCTAACATAGTGAAACCCCATCTCTACTAAAAATACAAAAAATTAGGGAAGCGTGGTGGCACATGTCCGTAGTCCCAGCTACTCGGGAGGCTGAGGCAGGAGAATAGCTTGAACCCAGGAGGCAGAAGGTGCAGTGATCTGAGATCACGCCACTGCACTCCAGCCTGGACAGCAGAGTGAGACTCTGTCTCAAAAGAAGAAAACAAAGAAAGAGAGAACTTAAAATGAAACCATTACGGTGGGTCCCAATCTGGTCTGGCTGATGTTCTTATACGTGGAGGAGATTAGGACACACAAAGGCATACCAGGAAGGTGCACACACGGTGAAGACCATCTGCAAGCCAAGGGGAGAGAGAGGCCTCAGGAGAAACCAAACCTGCCCATGCCTTGATCTTGGACTTTCAGTTTCTAGAACTGTAAGAAAAATTTCTGCTGTTTAAGCCACCCAACTCACGGTTATGGCAACCCCACCAAACTGATACACCTACATTTTAAAATACATCAGATAGCTTTAGGTACAGAACAACAGTAAGAGCAGAACCCCTAAGTCAGATGGGGTTGATCTTAAATCTAGTCTGCTCGTTACTGGCTCTGGGACTCTTAGTATGGCACTGAGTGGTCCATGAAGTGGGGAATAATAATTGTACTTACCTCGTAGAGTTATTGGGGAGATGAAGTGAATGAATGGAAATAATTATTGCCTAAGTGTTTGTTGTTATTCTAATCATTATAATTGGATGTTGCATTCTGGTTGTCATAGTTTCACTGCTCACATATGCCTAATGCACCTGAGGAACCAGGGTGACCTAGCATATCGGTTCACGCCAGGTGTGGTCTTAAGAATCATAAACAAAGATAAGACGTTAAAGACTGTTGTCTGGTTTCTCTGTTGTTTTCAATGGCTCCTTCTACAAGAGCATGGCTTTGAATTAGCTGCTGGACTTTTGAAGTTGAACATGATTTATCCTGAGTTTTCTTTTAGGATTGGTCAGTGTCCATATGTGTAAATGTCCATATGCATTTGGAAGCACTGAGAGATTAACCTCAGCAGTTACAGGCACAAGAAAGAACAACCGCCTCTATAGCACTGTGTGTGACCACTAACCTCAGAAAGAACCAGCATTATAACAATGTGGATAGCATTCTATCATATCTTTAATTTCTTTTTCCTGCTAGAATGAATTGAGGATGGAAATAGCCCTCACAAACCAGAGGGCAGTATTGCTGTGCACCGACTGTTACGTTTTGTGGAACATTACGGCAGTATGCTTGCATTATAAAATTTAACAAATTCCTAGCAAAATGTCACTATTCACTGTGTGAATGCAATCTCTTCAGTGCATTTAAGTTGGTTACCTTCACACATCAAGTTCTAGCAGATAAAAGTGGGCACTTAATATTCAGTGGATGTGCTGAGAATAGCCCTGTTTATATACTTGATTTCCTAAAATCGCATAACTTTTTGTTATCTTGTAATGCGTAAAAGGGACAGTGGGATCAGAGAAAGCTGTTTACTATGTCAGATAAACAAGTCAGAAGGTTCCATGTAAACTACTTATGCCCTGCCTGGCATCAGAAAGCTTGGGCTGAGTTCTTTACATATTTCTCCAGAACATCTCTGATTTAAAAAAATGCTACCAAGCCCACTGTTTACAGACAAAATTTTTCTACTATCTGTAAACATTACTGGCTTTCTTGAGTGATTTCTTGTCTTTCTCATTCTCACCCCCTTGTTCTGTTTCTCCATATGGGATTGTTTCTCTTTCAGGTGTCCTTTCTCAGTCAGAGGCTAGCTCTGTTTGTCTTTTTTATTTTTCCCCCTAAATTTGTGAACAAGTCCTAGTGTCCATGAAAGTGGAGAACTAATGGGATTGCCTGGAGGCAGTCATATATACTTTAGACAGGTGCTGCGCAAACTTCTGCTGTCAGCTGGCCGAGCCCTCTTCAATTCCAGCTTGTAAACACCGATGGCAGCCCAGCCAGCACAGATGCAGCCAGCTACTGATTATTCCATTGACAGACGCAGCTGGTTGACCGTGCTTCCTGAATTCATTGGTGTTCTGTTCAAAATCCACCTGTTTATTGAACACCCTATGTTTGCCTAAATTCAACATTTGGTTCTGCAGAATGGTGAAACTGGGCATGTGTGAGATGGTAATTGCTTGCGAAAAAGGCAATGGAAAGTAGTAAATGAAGCATGTGAAAAGCAGCTTTATTGAATGGTCTATTGTGTTAAGTACTTGCTTTCGTTTTACACATATGACCCAATGCCTGCCTAGAAGTATTCATATATGAAATATTAGGCAGAAATATAGGATAAATCCATTCATACTTCTGGAAACACAGCTGATCATTAGTGATGGAAGAAAAAGGTTTTAGAAGGGCATAGGCTTTGATTGTAACCAAAAATTAGAGTTGGCTGTAGAAATGTACAGAATCTCCACCCTAACCCTCCTTCCTGGGCTCCAGATGGACAGGGCAGACTCCTGCTGGTGATCTCTAGTTAGATGAAACTCACCATGCCTTTCCAAGCGTGCTCTCCTCCAGGTGTTCCTCCTTATCCATTCTCCATTTCAGTTGATCCAGAGACTTGGAAATCACCCATGATCTCCCTGTTTCTCATCCTCACATTCAAATTTTTTCAGTTCTGCCTCCTAAGTATTTTCCAGATCAATCCATTTGTTTCCATCCTGGAGGCACATGTCTTCCCTGGAGGGGAGAAAGCAAGGTAGGGAGGTAGGGAGAGAGGGAAGGGGAGAGAATTCTTTTTCCTTCTTTTAAATTTTATTTTCCATTAAAAAAACATAAAATTTATCATTTGATATTGTTTGGCTGTGTCCCCACCCAAATCTCACGTGTTGTGGGAGGGATACAGTGGGAGGTAATTGAATCATGGGGGCAGGTCTTTCCCAAGCTGTTCTCATGATGGTGGGTGAGTCTCATAAGATCTGATGGTTTTGTAAGGGGGAGTTTCCCTGCACAAACTCTCTCTTTGCCTGCTGCCATCCATGTAAGAAGTGACTTGCTCCTCCTTGTCTTCTGCCATGATTGTGAGGCCTCCCCAGCCATGTGGAACTGTAAGTCCATTAAACCTCTTTCTTTTGTAAATTGCCCAGTCTCAGGTATGTCTTTATCATACCTGAGAATAATACATCATTTTAACCATTTTAAGTTAATGGAATAATACATCATTTTAACCATTTTAAGTGTACAGTTCTGTAGTGTTAAACATACTCACATTACTGTGCAACAGATCTTCAGAACTCACTCATCTTACGAAACTGAAACTGTATACCCATTAAGCAACAACTCCCCATCTTTGTTTCTTTCTTTCTTTTTTTTGCTGTTTTTTATGATGGCCAATATGGACAAGCAAAAGAAGGTACGTAAGACTTTGGGTCAAAATAACTTCAATTGATCAGTGTTTATTTTGAAATTCTTAAATGATGAGTTTTAAGCACGATTATTAGTTGTTGGCTCTGGGCTTTTCTTTCATGAGCTCATTGTGCTCACAGGGCTTGGCATGGGGACACTTTCCAGTGTCTCCCCAGGTTTCTTGCACTGCCTTAATTTCAACAATCAGAAAAGAGGGTAAGGTGACCTAAGATAGACACTTCTGTTTGGTTTTGATGATTCCTCATTTAGAAGAAAGCTTGTAACAGTGGAATGAGGTATACAATCTATATTTGAGTCTCATTTTCATCATTTATTTAATTGTGACCATGTGCAAGCAAAATCCTGTATCATATGAGCTCTTGAGTTTTGTCTGGTAGATCAATTTCTACAGGCCTTTACCATGATATCATTGTTGTTCTTTCTCCTCCTCTTCCTTCTTCTCTTCCTGTACCGTCATCACTTACCCTGTTAAAACACTTAACCAAGGAGTGCTGGGAGTAGAAAAGGGAATGAGGGACACGATTTGCTTTGCAACATTGTGAGGAAGGCTTACCCTGGGCACTCATGCTGAAAATGCGTTGAGTGATGTTACAGGGGGTTCTGCATGCTTTGGGAGTGCTCTGTTCTACTTAGAAGTTTGAAGACGTTGCCTCACAACTTTCTATATTACTAATGGGTAACGGTTAATCAAGGAGTTAAAACTTTTGAGTCTTAATTCACAAAAGACAGTTCATCTATCAAGATATATTTGTTCTTTTATAATTAAGATCTGTCACGTCTTTCTACTGTATTCAGCAAACCCATGTTTTCCTGATTTTAGGGTTTTACTTGGCTGTAAAATTTCCTCTGAGCTGCAAAGCCACACATGTAATCTGCTTAGGAATGAACTTTTCAGCAGAAGTCAAAGGCAAAAAATCAATTTAGCTGGTTTTGACTTACAACATTTAAAAGAAAAATGGAAAGTATTGGATTTTGGATAAGTACTTTTGCTTTAACAGTTTTAGGGTCGAGTAGATGTTCAAATATCACTCACCACGTTGGCCTGTCGTTTGGATTATTCTGTTTTATTATTTTGAAGACATAAAGTCAACCTAGTAATTAAGTAGGCTGCCACTGTCTGATGTTTCATATAAAGAAACATTAGGCTCTTCAGCACATCAAATACTAATCAGCTGGGTCGGACTTTTTTGCTTAATATGTTATGTCACTGATGGAGATGTGAGAAAAAGCCATAACTGTCTAATCAGTGGGAGGTTTATTGCATTAGTCATAGATTTTGGGGGGAGAAAATAGATATTTTATCTATCTATCTATCTGTCTATCTATAACATGCACAGAATATGTGTACACATATACTGGGCAGTTGTCATAAGTGCTCAGGTTCAAAAGGTTGAAAGAGACACTATTGTGTAAGGCTCAAGAGCATGGGGTTGATTTTCTAGACACCTTGATTTCAGATTTAACCTTTACTCTGTATTAGCTGGTAGCTTTAGCAAGACATGTAATCTCTCCATCTGTAAAATGGAGCTAGTAATATCAGTCTCACCTTGTGAAAATGGCATAAAATTATCATGGTAAGTGCCTGGCACGGTGCTAGAAAAAAAGTACAGTTCGTAGAAAATAGGAGGTATTGTTACTTATTATCTCCAACCAGGCAAGAAGAATAGTTTGTCATCATTATTGGTTCACACAGAATTATATTAAAAGTATTATCATGGGTTTAATGTCCCAAAGAATTGGCAAAAGCAGACTGGCCACTTCCATGCTAACTTAGGTGATGTCACCGTTGTTGTGGGTTGATGAGTTGGGTGCTGTGCAGCTGTTGGTGTTGCTGCTTTTAACTGTCCAGCTGTCAATGCAAGGGAGAATGAAGTAGAAGCCCAAAGTCCTTCACAGCTTGATTAGTACTCTAGCCAGTCCACTTTCCCCCAGGTTGAAAAGGCTGGCATAAAAGGAGAGGGTAAATTCATGAGCATAGAGGCTCCATGTTTTTTTCCCTCTGTTGCCCAGTGCCATGCATAATGCCTTGCCACAGTAGACACTTCATCAAGGTAACAAACAGCCAGGGAAATAGGTGGCAATGGTACCTTTCCTCTTTGAAATATGTGACAATGGTACCTTTCCACTTTGGGGCATTAGACATTATCCCAGCCACTAGCTTTTAAAGTTTTTATGTTTGGTTACTTAATTTTTTGAACATTAATATCTTTTTTTTTTACTCATCTCTGTTATGGGTTGAATTGTATCCCTTGCAAAGAAAGATAAGTTGAAGTCCTAATCCCTAGTGCCTCTGAATGTGAGTGTATCTGGAGACGGCCTTTACAGAGGTAATCAGGTTAAGATGAGGTCACTGGGGTGGGCCCTAGTGCAATATGACTTGTATTCTTAAAGAAAGGGAAATTTAGACATAGCAACAGACAAGCAAAGAGGGAAGACAGTGTGAGGAAATCCATCAAGAAGACAGCCATCCACAAGCCAAGGAGAGAGTCCTGGAACACATCCTCCTTCACAGTCCTCAGAAGGAACCAACCCTGGTGACCCATTGGTTTAGGCCCCTGTCCTCAGAACTGTGGGATCGTACATGTCTCTTTTCTAAGCCAGCCAGTTTGTGGTACTTGGTATTTTGTTATGCTCGTCCTAGCAAACTAATAGAGTCCTACAAAGGATATATCGATGGTAGGACTATGGAGGAAAGAAAAAAGTAAGATACTTCAGGTTACATTTTCCATTCAAAATGCTTTTTCAGTGTAGTGTGCTTTTTCCAAGCTCAGAAACTGAGGAGAACAGGGAGCTGCTTCTAATAAATTTCTAATGCCTTTTCCTGGGGGATTGATTGAACACAAAGAGCTCAGAGCTATCTTCCAGCCATCTGCAAGAGATGCGTTTTTGTACACCTTTGGTAACATCTAAGTAGGCCGGCACAAAAGGGCCTTCGTCTGAGAGTGTTCTGTGGAAAGGCGGCCATGATTGCAGAAGCATGTAAATAAGGAGTATTATTTTTTTATTGTATACTTCTTTAAAATGTGGATTTTTCCAAAAAGCTAAACAAAGTATATATTTCAGAAATGAGAATAAGAATTAGAAGGGATAAATTGAGATATTCATGGAAACATGATTTTTTAAATAGATTTTTGGTAATAATGGGTAAACCTCCTTATTTCCTAATCTGCCCTTCTCTTGACCTTTGTCCCAAAACAAATGCATTGTGGAAAGATTAAAAGAGGCAATTTCATGTATGAAGGTATGACAGAAAACAACAGAAATCCAAGTTTCTTTTGTGGGTGTCCTGAGTGGTCTCAGGTAGCATCTTCTCCCCATGACAGCTTTGTGAACATTTCTTCTCCTTCTTTATTCAGATCATCTCTGGGTTGACAGAAGTGGGGTCCCATAGACTAATTGAGATGCCGCCATTAATAAAGACCATATGTTGCAGGCATGTTCTGATCCTGTGCTCCTTGTTTTCTCCACTGGCCTAATGGTAAACAAGTGTGTGGCTAATTAACTTAGCATTTCTTCGAAAGGCTTCATTCCAACCTTGGCGGTAATTATTATTCAGGGCATTGCTATACTTTGACATTTTCCTGAAGTGTAAATTATTGCTGTCTGAAAGAAGTCATTGGCTCAAGAAAAAAACATAAAAGACAAACTAAAAGGAGGATGAAGGTACTTCTGAGTTGGTTTCCTCTCCTCAAAGGTCATTATCAAGGCAGCAAATGCTCCCTGGACATGTTGAAAATGCCCCCTGTGCAAGTGAGAGTCTGAGGAGCAGTTGGATCTGCAAGTCTCCTTCTGTCGGGTCATGTCAGGATCATAGGGTAGGTTGCTAATAGGATGGCTTCAGGGTTGGAGGTGGGAGATGTAAAAATATTTCATGCACAGGTACTTCTTGTTTTATTACTTAATTTTAAATGCATCAGTAGCTTTTTTTTATTGAGAAAAGTCCTTCAGAGAGATGTTTTGGATACATATCTGACACCTGTGGTTTATCTCCTTTGTAAACCCCCCTTTCTAGCTTTTAGGGGAGCAACAGGTTTGCTATTGTGAGGTCCTAATAAATCTTGAGGCCCCAGGTGGTTTACCCCCACCTAGAGTTGCCTTCAAGAAGTATAGATCAGCCACCCCATGTTAATTAAAAGGAAATCCAGTCTTGAATCTCTCAAAGAAACAGAAATCATGTCATTCCCCTCAGCAGTATTTCTCCCCTACATGTTGGTGCCCTGGAGTCACTCCAGGACCAGCTCCCCAGTCTCTCCTTCTAGTTCTTACATGGTCCAACTTTTCTTTGTGTTCGCTTCCTCTCCCCTAGTCCTAAATCTTTATGATACAGGCTTAGCCTCCGCAGTTCTCTTGAAGCCCTCCGAACCAATTTCACAGATTCTGAAGCATGAGAGAGCCAGAACCAGGCTTGGGAGAAGGGAATAGAGAAAAGGTAAGTGTGAGGAGGACAGGGGAGATTCACAAATGAATGTATTATGGCTCTGTTTCACCCCCTACTAATTATCACTGAGTTATGGTATGAAGAAAGGAAGGTCAAGAAAGAAGGAAAGGCCAGGCGCGGTGGCTCATGCCTGTAATCCCAGCACTTTGGGAGGCCGAGGTGGGTGGATCACCAGGTCAAGAGATCGAGACCATCCTGACCAACATGGTGAAACCCCGTCTCTACTAAAAATAGAAAAATTAGCTGGGCATGGTGGTACATGCCTGTAATCCCAGCTACTCGGGAGGCTGAAGCAGGAGAATTGCTTGAGCCTGGGAGGCGGAGGTTGCAGTGAGCCGAGATCACATCATTGTACTCCAGCCTGGAGACAGAGCAAGACTCTGTCTCAAAAAAATAAATAAATAAATAAAAAGAAAGAAGGAAATTATTCATTAGGTGACATCAATTTTTTGACACTATCTTTGTTGGACATGTTTATGGGTGTCATCTTAAGATAAACATTTGTTTGGTGATTGATTATTGTAGGCATTTGGCTCATTATTGTATTTCCATACCATATCATACCTGGCATATATTTGGCTCTCCATAAATATTTTATGACTGAATTAAAGAATGGTGGATCAGTGACTCTTCAGTGTAAATTTGTGAACTCATAATTTCTTCCATTTCACAGATGAGGACATTTAGACTCTGACAGGTTAATTACTTTGCCAAAGTTAAGATGGCTCAGAAATGACAGCATTAATGTTTTCAACTCAATACATTTGGTTCTAAGATCTTCCATTGGACTGCACTGCCTGAGATACTATCTTCCACCATCATCTTCCCAGTGTGAAAGTATTGAATTCACCATGTGAACACTTTATAGGACTATTTTTTGCTTTTGCTGTTATTACATTATTTCTATTATAACAGTATAGAAAAATAAGAGAAATTGAAAATAAGATATTTAGTGCATCTTTATACATACAATCTTAGTGATAATCCAGCTCTCAATTATCTGTACCTTAATTAGGTGCTGTTTTGATTATCTGCATTCTCCAAGGACTCTCTTGCCCATCACCTAAGCAGCCTTCCCCTCAGCAGTATTTTTCCATCACCTAGCTTTGTTGAAGTTTGGGGCATTAGACTTCATCCCAGCCACTAGCTTTTAAACTTTTTATGTTTGGTTACTTTGACAGCCTTTGGTCAACATGCTCTTATGCCAAAGCCCCATGTATGAAACAGATAAAAGTGGAGCTGCTCAGATGATGGGAGAAGTAAGGCCAAATGAGTTTTAAGACTAGGTCCTTAAAGGAACTTTGGCTTTTCTTGGTTTTCTTTCTAGCTTGAGATATATGTCTTGGGAACCTCAAGGCAATATATGATAAGTCTGGCTACCTTGAAGCCACCGTATGGGAGAGAGCACATGGAAACACCTTAAGGAGCCAGAGAGGGATGCCCCTAACTATTCAAATCCTAGCTTAGGTTTCAGGCATACATATAGAAGCCACTGAGATGGCCCTAGTCTCAGCCACGGTATGACTGGAGTGTCATGAAAGTTCAGAGCCAGACCTTCTGACTGAGATGATCCAAAATTCCTGACCACCCCCTCCAGAAACCATAAGAGGCAGTACATAATGACCGTTATTTAAGTCACTTAGTTTTAGGGTAGTTTGTTACACAGCATTAGACAATCGGAACTGTAGGCATTGTATGTGTCTTATTTTTTGTGTAGAAATTTGATTGTTGTTCAGTTTTGGCTTTGTGATCTTTGTTTCGCACCATGGTAGCTGTTTCTTAATGAATGTTAATTTTCTTTTCATGTTGCTTTCTTCTGCTCTATTGGAATATTCTGATATAAATTCTTTTATCAGTAGCGAGCAACTTTTTCAGCTTAAAAATGTATCCCTTTCATTTGTCACCAAAATTTCTCCCTTAGGAATAGTTCGAGCAGCATTCCAGGTGTTTAATGTTTTGTACCTTAATGAAGGCACAACTCATGAAAACAACTATTGAACTATCAAGCGTTTCATGCATATTGAGACAGTATTAAAGTTAAAGACAAACGTACAAGCAACTGTCTGCAGTTATACCTGAAAATATTATTTAAGGGCACTTGTTTTATTCTGACAAATTTTTCAGAGAATATTTAGACTTGAGGTAGGTGTTATCAGACTCTTAGATAAAATATATAACATTATTCCTAATATAATAGGCTTGGCAGATTTCATATGAATTACAGCAGTGGTTAACATTCGTAAATAGTCACATTTTATTCCCACTATAGTCTGTTGAATCAAGTAAGAAAGATTTGATTCAGATCAATAACTATAGCACATAAAATAATAAACCCTTTCAAAAATGTAAGAGTATAAATTATGTGTACATGTGGCAGTGGTTAGGAAACTGAACATAAAATTTTAAAATATAGCTTGAAAACCTACTAATCTATCAGCTATTAAAATAGAAAATAGACAAAAAGTCATTACTCTGAAATTTAATAACATTGAAAGGTGTTTGGGTGTTTATTTATTCTCAGTATAGAAGTAGCTCTGAGGCAAGGTACAGTGCCTCACACCTGTAATCCCAACACTTTGGGAGGCCGAGGCGGGCAGATTGCCTGAGCTCAGGAGTTCAAGACCAGCCTGGGCAATACAATGAAACCCTGTCTCTACTAAAATACAAAAAATTAGCCGGGCATGGCAGTATGCACCTGTAGTCCCAGCTACTTGGGAGGCTGAGGCGGGAGAATTGCTTGAACCCGGGAGGCAGAGGTTGCAGTGAGCCGAGATCATGTCACTGCACTCCAGCCTGGGTGACAGAGCAAGACTCCATCTCAAAAAAAAAAAGTAGTTCTGAGTACAAATTTTAAGACTTACTTGGTTTTAGGCCGGGTGCAGTGGCTCATGCCTGTAATCCCAGCACTTTGAGAGGCCAAGTCGGGCGGATCACCTGAGGTTAGGAGTTCGAGACCAGGCTGGCCATCATGGTGAAACCCTGTCTCTACTAAAAATACAAAAATTAGCCAGTGCGGTGGTGCGTGCCTGTAGTCCCAGCTACTCAGGAGGCTGAAGCATGAGAATTGCTTGAACCTGGGAGGCGGAGGTTGCAGTGAGCCAAGATTTCGCCACTGCACTCGGGCGACAGAGCAAGACTCCGTCTCAAAAAAAAAAAAAAAAGAAAGACTTGGTTTTAAGTAAGCTGAGTGGGTTAAATGGCCATCTAGATTGTTTATCAACTCTGGTGAGACTTCCTAGTGCCTATTTGGCAGTATGGAAAACATTTTTTTGAAGCATTATGTATGTATTTTCTACCTTGTTTTAGAAAAGGTTCAACTCAGACTACACAAATAAAAAGAGTGCATGATAAAATGAAAAGAATTGGATGAGCTAAATGGAGCAAAATAATAATCAGATAAATTCACGAATGAGGTTAAAACTTCAATGTTGGTTGTTAGCTCTTGTTAATGATGTCTTAACGTCGGACCGTGACAAGGTGACGTTGGTCTACGATGTTCCCCAGAACTGTCCAAGATTTAGCACACACTTCTCCTTTTCTTCCTTCTTCTCATGTTGGAAGTCAATCTCCTTTCACTAGAGGCAATTTCTTCCAGTGTTGAGCCAAGGAGAGGAAGTAGTGGTGAAGACTACACTGATATTTCCTAATGATGGTGACTGTATTAAACAGCTTAGAAGCTTTAAATTAACGGAAATTTTATTGCAGAAAATAAGTCTCAGTATTAGGATATGGCCCAATGTGTCTCTATCTTGGGGAAGAGCAAAAACAAACAAACAAACAAACAAAACCTGTTGACTGGGCAGTTACTTCTGTTCTATTTAGAATTCTCTCTTTGTATGCACCCTGAATACAGCTATGTAAAGGAAATGGATGCCCTTTGAATAGGACCAGGAGGAAAAGAAATGAAAACATTTGTTGGTTTAGGGTGGCGGGACTATGGGCTCATTTTTATTTCATCTTTATGATCATTTTAATATTGTTTTAAGTATCTTTATGATATAAATAAGAAAAAATAAAGTTTTATTGCTTACCACGTATTACTAGCCTCCAGGGTATTCGAAGTCTTTGGAGATGAAACTCTCATTATACAGACAGCCTTGTTCAATCATTCAAGCAGTATTTATCTAGCAAGGCATTATGGGAAACACGGAATTCCAATAGAGACACGGTTCTCAGAGAGTCATGAGAGTCTTATGAGGTAAAATAACATGCTCTGTATATTAACCATATGAACGGTTTCCTTTTAGCAGGAAGGACTGTGGTTTTCTTTTAGGAGGAGGTGGAATCTAACTTAGATCTGGAAAAATTATCAGATTTGGGACACATGGAGATAGGGAGTCATTGATGGTATTGACCAAATATTTTTAGTTCTTCTTTCTTCCAGGTGTATGGTAGCATTATGCTTCTTGTGGTTTGGTGGAACCACATGACTAGTTATGGCAGTGAATTGTGTCACTTTGGACTAAGCACCTAACTTCTGGTGTAAGACCCTGCAGTTTTCTCTTCCCCTTGGGATGGTTCCTAACAGTATTTGAGCTGGTTTTTGCTCTCTTAGCCTGGATATCAGAGTGCCAGAGATGGGCAGAGCTGATCTGCTGGCCCACCATGGACAAATAGCAGGCAAGAAGTAAACCTTTTTTGTTACAAGCTTCTGAAATGCTGGGACTGCTTGTTATCATAGCAACACCTAGCTTAACCTATTGATAGAAAGTCAAAAGATATTCAGAGTAGAAGACAATATTAACTAAGGCATATGAGGAAATACATAGCAAAAAGTTAATTTTGGTTGGAACCTTGAAGTGCTGGCGAGAATAGTGAGAAACAAAATTGGAAGGACAGTTGGGACCCATCCTAGCAAGCCTGGACTTTGGGCTAATGGTGAAAATAGAATAATCTGTTGAGGTGTGGCTGAATCTTGTCCTTAATTCATTGCATGATTCCATGTTCTACCCCCAAACTGAAAGTTTGCAAAACTTATATTTAAGGGAGGGACCTCCCTATAAAATTTTGACCAGTATAAAAAAATGTTTTTGGCTGGGTGTGGTGGCTCACGCCTGTAATCCCAACACTTTGGGAGGCCAAGGCAAGGAGTTCGAGACTAGCCTGGCCAACAAGGTGAAACCTCTTCTCTACTAAAAATACAAAAAATTAGCTGGGCATGGTGGCAGGCACCTGTAATCCCAGCTACTCGGGAGGCTGAGGCAGGAAAATTGCTTGAACCCAGGAGGCAGGGGTTGCAGTGAGCAGAGACTGTGCCATTGCACTCCAGCCTGGGCAACAAGAGCGATCTTTTTGCTGCATGGTGGCCATTCTGTGAAACCCACGTGGCGGTCTGACTCTCTTTTCTCACCTCTGGACCTTGGTATCCTTCTAGGACCTAGTGCACTATCTGATGTATACTCATCGCTAAGCTCATTTTTACTGGGCTGAGGAGACTCTCCCCGTCATAAGCAGATGGCTTGATCCTCTGACTCAGGTTTATATATTCAGTGCTCTGTGTTATCTTTTTATCCAGAGCATGATGAAAATGAGTTAAGGTTTATAAAATGTTTAAAGAGGCATTGGGAAAAATATCTCCTGTATGAATGAGATAGTGATAATAATAAAATTAGAACCGAATCAGAGATTGGTGAAGGAAATTTAGTTTAATTTGCATCAAACAAACTCAATGCTGTGAATGGCTGGTAAAGTGAAATCTTATTTCTGAAGTTCTTGAACATTCCCATTTCTAACATTTCTAACCAGGGCTTTAATATCATTCTAATGCAGTTTTTTACATGTAAATTAATATAATAAATGTCAATGTTGAATAGAATAAGGTCACATTTTACTACTTTGACCAGAAGTGTAATCTTCAAAGATTCAATTTTATTACCATTATAACAGTCATACTGGATAAGGTCACCAATATTTCTTTCCAAATGATATAATATATGATGACAGCCTTTATACCAACTTTAGTTTGTGTAATCTGGATTTATATTCTGAAACATGTTGACGAAGATATACCACGGACATTTCTTGGTCAAATGGCTGCCTAGGGAAGATGTTCCCCTCTAATTGATGGGAAATTTGAAAGTGGGTAAATGGAGTAGTTTAAATGTAGCATTTTCTTGATCATATCATCTTCTTGCCTACAGATAATTAAATTCCTGTGACGTTTTAGTCTCCTACTTGAAAGGGAAAGGTGGTGTTTAAAGACCTTTCAGTAAGTAAAAGCAAGAATTGCCCTGTATGTGTGTGTGAGCCAGCCAGCTGGCCAACCTGCACAATTCATCTGAATGACATGTTCATTGAATCAGAGGAGTTCAGGGTTATCAGGGATGTTAAAGGGCAACTAGCAAAGCCATTCACCTTGACCCTCTTCTGCAGCATCCTCACCAAGTGATCAATCTCTGCTCCAGCAGGGACAGTTAGAGTACCTACCTTATGAAATTGTTGTGAAGATTGAGTGAGGGGTTATATGGAAAGTGCTTAGAACCACATCTGCCCCATTATAAGTACTCAATCATGTAAGTCACTGCTGTTATTGTTATCTTGAATATGCTGTTGGCTACTCCCTCACGAGACGGTGTATTTTCATCTTCCCAGAGCCTGTTCTTAGATGAAGCTGAAAGCTACCTCTTTGTATTTTTTACTGATTGATCTTAGTTTTGACTTTTGAGAACATAAATGATAATGTTGATGATGCTAATACTTGCTAATTAACATTTACTGAATGTTTACTATGTGTTGGTCACTGTACCCAATGCATTATCCCATTTAAAATTAATTTTGAAATGTTTCAGACATACTCAGAAAAAGCACCAAAAACAATACAAAGGATGGCCTGTTTACCTTCAACCAGATTCAAATGTCATTCGGATTTTGCCACACTTGCTTCATTTATCCACTTGAGTTTTTGCTGAAATATTTTAAGGCAATTGCTAGAAGTATTTTCTTAGCTCTACACACATCAGCATGTATCTTTAAAGACTACGAAAATTCCCTAATTGGCAATATTATTATCATATTTCTTTTTCTTTCTTTCTTTTCTTTCTTTCTCTCTTTTTTTTTTGGGATGGAGTTTCGTTCTTGTTGCCTAGGCTGGAGTGCAATGGCGCGATCTTGGCTCACCGCAGCCTCTGCCTCCCAGGTTCAAGCGATTCTCCTGCCTCAACCTCCTGAGTAGCTGAGATTACAGGCATGCGCCACCACGCCCGGCTGATTTGTATTTTTAGTAGAGACGGGGTTTCTCCATGTTGGTCAGGCTTGTCTTGAACTCCTGGCCTCAGGTGATCCCCCCGCCTCAGCCTCTCAAAGTGCTCATTACAGGCATGAGCCACTGCACCTGGCCCCATTATCATATTTCACAAAATTAATAGGAATTTCTTAATGCAGTAGTCAAGTTCTTTGACTGTTTTAAAATGTCTTTTTATCATTGCTTGGTTGGATCAGGATCCAAAAAAGATCCACACCTTATATTAGGTTATTATTTGTTTTAGTGCTGTTTTAATCCAATATTGTTATGCCATTGAATTTTTTTTTAACTGAGTCAGTTGTCCTGTAGACTGTTCTATAGTACGGATTTGTCTGTTTGCTTCCCTTTAGTGTTACTTAACTTGTTTCTCTATCTTGTGTTTGGTGTAAAGTAAGTTAGCTCTAAGGTGGGCTCCAGGGTAGATGCTAGCTATAGGTGGCTGATTATACACTTAAGTAAAATTAGAAATTCAGGTTGCTTCTTTGCTCTAGCCACATTTCAAATGCAGCTAGTGTCTGCTGTGTTGCATAGTGTAAACAATCGCAAAAAGTTCTATTAGACAGCTGCGGGTCTATGGATTATTTTCAGATATAAGCATTTGTAGTAGTAGTATTATGTGCTTCAAATCACAGTGTATAGGGAGGCATAATGTCTGGATGTCCTGCTCTTAGAATCCTGAAATTGATCAGCAGATTTAGGTAGTGACAGCCTGGTTCTCCATTATAAAGTTTCCCGTCACACTTTCATCCAAAGCAGGAGTTCTTAACCTTTTTGGTTCAGTCACCTTTTTGGCTGTTGGTGACGCTTGTATACCTTTTCCCCCAATAATGTTTTTATTTTTTATTTTTATTATTTTTTTCAAGGTACGGTCTTGCTCCTTCACCTAGGCTGGAGTGCAGTAGTATGATCATAGCTTACTGCAACTTTGAACTCCTAGGCTCAAGCAGTCCTCCCATCTCAGTCTCCTGAGTAGCTGAGACCACACGTGCACGCCACTATGCCCAGCTAATTTTTTTTAGATATGGGGTCTCACTACTTTGCCCAGGCTGGATTGAAACTCCTAGCCTCGAGCAACCCTCCCACCCAATAATGATTTTAATTAAGGACAGTTAAGTATAGAGAAGTACCAAGGAAATTCATGTTATTTAATACCAGTTAACACAGTATTAACAGCAAATTTGTGATACAGTGAATTATGCATTTCTTTATTACATATTAAATAATGAGAAGTGGTAGCAGCTATAATGACCATCATAATTGTGTGATAGTAATTGTAATGATAAGTACTTCTAGAATAAATGATATTTCAAGGTAACTGCAATAACTATCAAGTTATTACTTTACATATTTTTTAAATACCTGTGATTTATACTGTGACACAACTCATAGGTACTGCTGTTACTACAGTGGTTCATTGCCTACATCTGTGATTTAATAAGATACAAAATTTTAGTTAAAAATTAGTAAAAATAACTGTGTGTCATTTTTTTCATTCATGTTCATGTGTTTCCTTCCTTTTATCCATGCACCCTCTGCTAAGCCTCTGTGGGACCCCCAGGTTAAGAACTCCTGACCTAAGCCCCAAATTACCTGTTGATAATTTTGCATGAGTCAGTTATATTTTTAGGGATTTAAAATGGTGGGGGTCCTTTTGCTTTTAATGCTAGAATTCTTTGAAGAATTGTCCATCATTGGTGCTGTTTGGTTACTCTGAAATGCAGTTCCATGAGAATAAATAAGCCCCATTTTGCAGGTGAGGTTACTGATAAGAGTTTATTTGCCCAGAGTCAAATGGCTAAAAAGTGGCAAAAATGGAATTGGAATCCAGATCTGAGTCACTCCACAGGTCATATGCTGGATTCAGATTCTGTTCTACCATTTACTAGTTGGTTCACCTGCATCTTTCCTCCTTCCTAGAATGACTGCCTTTGCAATGCTATAGTCAAAGGTTGACCCTTGTTTCCTCATTTCTCTTTTCTTTGATTTTCTTCAGCCATACTGATCTCTTTTGTGAATGTGCTATAGGCTGTTCCTGGTGGCTCCCAGGTTGACAGAAAACTCCATGACTATCCCTGTCAATAAGATCAGAGTGAGAAATCACCTCCCTCAACTCAACACCAGACTTGCATTCACAATCTGAGATAAAACGTGTTTTGTAGAAACAACATTTCTCTGTTGACTCTTCTTGAGCTTATTCTCTACAAAAATTTCCAAGCTGTTTTCACACATGCTGCTGCAAAGTGAAACTTCTCCATCTTGTAGTTCAGCAAATAGTGGACTGGACCAGGGGAGATCACCCATTGGAAGAATTCTCATTTTTAGATTTATCTGAGGACATAACTTGGGAAAAGGAAGACAACCCAGAGAATGTTATGTTTATGGTTATAAAACATTAAGAAAATAACAGTTATTTTTTCTACTCTCTACTTACTAAAATAATAGTTTTAGCTTTTATTTATTTATTTTTATTTATTAATGAAACAGTAATTCATTCAACAGTCATTCGTTCTAATAGTCATTCCCTTAGACATTTTTTCAAACCACCCACCCAGTCATCTACCATCCGTCCATGCATCCCAGCCATCCATCCATCCATTGACCCACCAATTCAGTGTTTAGCAAGTGCTCTATGGGCAGTATACTGTATCCAGGTAGAATACAGCTGAGAAGCAGACATTCCTGATTTCTGCCCTCATTTCAGTTTGCATTCTCAATAGAAAACAAGTAATCATAAATGAGTACTAAAATTTCAAGATTGATATAAGCTATGAGGGATACAAACAAATGGGAAGAAAAGGAAGGAGGGATACCTTCATGGGATGGGATTGATAAGTCTACTAAGAGGTGACATCTGTCCTAACCTGGGCTCCATATGCTGGTCTTTGGATCCAAGGATGAAAAATAAGTGGCCTCTGTTTTTAAAGAGCTTCTGGACCAGCGGCAGATAATGCACTACAGAAAGGGCCTATAGTGGAACATTGTGAAGGAAAACATACAGCTATAGCTGCATTCTGTTTTTTGTGTCAAAATAAGGATTTTGGCAGGAATTTTGCTTGTTGCGCATTATCCATATGGAATATAGAACATGCATGGTATTGATGTTACTCATTATGTAATCTCCCTTCAGTCATATTGTGATGTACAAGAGAACATTTGGTGGGGAAACCTTAATGCTAACAGCCAGGTTTAATGATGCATTCAGAGTTCAGGAGGTTTGATAATATAAAAGTTGTCAGAATCAAATGGAGTCACAAACAAAACCCTGACAAATAGAGCTAGGAAAGGCCATGACGGGAGCGTTCTCATGTACAAATGCCTGATAACAAAAACTATCATAAAAGACTCTGCAAAAAGCCACGCTGCACCAAGGCCATCACATTTGTACACACACACACACACACACACACACACACAGACACACACACACACACAATGCTTCTATGAGGACATCTGCCCAACAACTGCCTGTCCAACCTCTTTCTGGTGCTACAATGTTATTGATCCTAGTAACCAAGGATAATTACCTCAAAACAATTAGGTAATTCTCCTCACTTGCCCTTTAAAAACCTTTGTCTTCCTTCACCTGGCTGAATACTCATAATTTACTGTGGCACATGTATTCCCAAGACAAGGCCCATTTCTCAATAAATATCATTTTCTTTTAGAGAGCCTCTGTTATTTAGGTAGACAGTAACATGCAGTTCTCAGGCTACTTGGGAAACAAAAGAGAACTTTGACTTTAATTTTGCCAGGCAGTGTGGTGGGAGAATTCAGGAGCATATGACGACGGGTCTGCTCTTTCTGGAGAGAGACTGCATATATATGTCTTTTTAAAGTCACAGTCCTTGATTTTCCTTCATCTGCTCTCTCCTAATATTAAGATGCACATCACATATGACACTAGTTCTTGGCACAGGTTTTAAATTTGTGGCCTGTTACCTATATGTTTTATTTGCCCCACCCAATATTTTTTAACACATTGGAAGTACAAGTACCCCTCATCTTATACAGCAGTGTGGGACTATAAAAATGACCACGCAAGCGGAAACCATGCAATGTCCACTTAGTAATCAATGGGAAAACGTATGACTGTTCTATGACCTTTAACGTTTTTCTCTAATCATTAAAAACCCTCTATAAGTTATCAGAGTATAAAGAAATAGAAAAATATAATGAAAGAAGTAAAAAACGAACTAATACTAATTTAGTACACTGTAATTTAAAACATTAGAAACACTAAGAATTGAAGTGCTTTATTTCTTTGAAAATCACTTATTGAGAGTCTCTTGAACAATTCTTGCCTTGTTTTTCTTATCCTGCAACTAACAGTACAGATGGGGCATCTTTTCTGTGCTTTGGCTGATTGTCATAATCCCTCCTAAAGTGTGGATCTCCTTCCAATATTTCATCCTTTGTGTTTTCAATGTCATGAAATAGGACGTTTTTTAAAATGTGACTTTTTTGATGTCACTTCCTCTGGTACATCTTTTTCTTCTGCATCATAAATTCTTTGGTAATTTATGTTAATAAGTTTGTCTTTACTAAATTCCTTGGGTTACATATCTAGAATCTCCTGAACATCAGCGCAATTGGCATTCCCAAAGTCAGTTATTTGTTCTATAATTTTATTTACATTTGATTCAAAGTGCACTTCTGGGGTTGTCACATTTGGTTTTTTGTTTTTGTTTTTGGTCACTTGTGTTTCATATTTCTTGGCCAGTTCCCTCTTTCGATTATCCATTTTGGTGAAATATGTGGGTTCATCACTGGAAGATCAGTGGGATACAAAACTACATACTTTGCTGGCTGCCTCTGACTGAATACCAGATGTGCAGTGATCAGTCACTGACAGACTTTGGAAGAAGTGATGTGACTGGTCTCTGATCATCATGCACATCTATGATCTACATGGTAATTTGTGAATTGAAGAGCTAGTAGTGGAGCTTGTACTTTACCCAATGACCCAGAGTTAATGTGACATGGTAACTGAAATTTAAACCGTGTTGTTGGGGAATTGGTGTTGTTTAAACTGGAGTAACTGAAATATGTGCATATTGGAACCATGAGAAGGACTGCCTATAGTTGCCAAAAGTTAAATAGAAGAGAATTACACATAGCAATTCAAATTTCTAGTTTCTTCAGGAACAAAAAAATCTCTAGGTGGTGGCCACCCACCTTGGGGCATGTGTTTTCCAGTTGTGCCAGTTCCACCACTCCTTGTTACCATAAATTTGTGGCCTCTCCTGATGAACTGTACAATGTAATAGCTACTAGCTACAAGTGATTACTAGCTACAGGGTGGTATTTAAAATGTAAAGTTTAAATTTAATTTTTAAATGTAAAATTAAAATTAAAACAAAATGCAATTAAATATGGTTGATTACATCAGCCATATTTCAAGTGCTCAGTAGCCACATATGGCTAGTGGCTACTATATTGAACAGTATAGGATATAGAAAGTTCCACTAGACAGCACTGCTCTATAGGCAGTGATCTATGTTAGCTAAATTATGATGGATCGAGGAATATCAATAACACTGAAAATCCAAAATACTATCCTTCAATCTGAATTATTCTTTTTTTTTTTTTTATAAACTAAATGGAACCAGAAGAGATTCTGAGTTAAGAGTACGTTTTCAGGGAGAACGCTTGTGGTTTTTTTTCCTTATAGAAACATTAAAGGTGTTGGAATCTGAACTCTATGGCGTAGTATTCGAGGTTGCAGTCTCGCGGAGGAGCATTTAATCAGTAAGAAACTTGTGACACTTATTTTAGCTGTGGTTATTTAAGCAGTTTCTATTTTCTTTTAAGTGATGATGGTAAAGACAGTGACAATGGTGATGTTGGTAATGAGAGATTATGGGGCCGATGTCTGATTCCCCATGACAGAAGACTGTTGGTTGTCAAAGACATGTTTTTAATATCTAAGCATATAAAGAAAATGAGAGTGAATTTTAGGATTCTTCAGGAGGAATAACAATATACAAATGTGAAACTGTTGCAGAATTGCCAGAACATTTGTTTTGTTTCCACAGTTTTCTTTTTCCTTAGGCATGCTTAAATATTTTTTTTCAGTTATATACAAAATGAAATTCAAATATATAGAAATCTTGTAAGTTCATATTTTTATAGATCTTTGTGGATTATTGGGTTTACTAATTTTGTGTGTGTGTGTGTGTGTGTGTGTGTGTGTGTGTGTGTGTCTGTGTGTGAAACAGTCTTACTCACTCTGTCACCCAGGCTAGAGTGCAGTGGCGTTATCTTGGCTCACTGCAAGCTCTGCTTCCTGGGTTCAAGAAATTCTCCTGCCTCAGCTTTCCGAGTAGCTGGGATTACAGGTGTGTGCCACCATGCCTAGCTGATTTTTGTATTTTTAGTAGAGACAGGATTGCACCATGTTGGCTAGACTGCTCTCAAACTCCTGATCTCAAGTGACCCACCCACCTTGGCCTCCCAAAGTGCTGGGATTACAGGCGTGAGCCACCACACCTGGCCAGATCTACTAATTTAAACATTAGGTAAACCATATAGTGTTCTGTGCTGTCTAAACATAGCTTGAAAAATGACATTAGAGTGAAAAAAACTTGCAAATTCTAAATGCGTTTAAATATTTACAATATTTTTCCATTGTTTGTTTTCACATTTTGAGATTTTTTTTATTGTTAGCAACCATATTTTGAAAAAGTCGTAAGTTAGAACTGGAGAGGAAGACTAAATGATTATAAGATGATTAATTCCTAGACTCTGCTACCAGTGATGCTTACATTATGAGGGGGAAATAAAAAACAGAGATCAAATGAGAAAATGGAGATGGGTGGGTGAGTGGAATGTAGAAAAGTACAGACATTTTAAACATGAGATGAATGAAGATCTGGGTTCCAAACGATAACACTGGTGCTAGTGAGACACTGTTTCAATCACATAACCGCATTACCATTGCTGGATTGAGGGAAGCTTTGAAGGATTTCATTTCCATTGACTATTTTTTTTTTTTCTAAACCAACCATTCGTTCAGCTTTTATTTGTTGGTGTGAAATATGCTATTATTTTGAAAAAACACTTTTAACATCCCAATGAAGTAGGTACAGATATTAACTCCAATTTAGGAAGAGGACAGTAGGCTAGGAGATTTGAAGAAGAAAGAGTAGACAGGAGTTTTTTGTTTGAAACCCTGGATTTGTGAATGTATTTCTTTGACTGTTTTTAAAATGCCCCAGCCTCCCCTGTGATTGGCAGTTGATTTTATTAGGAGACAGGTGTAAGCAGATGGAAAGAACTTTTCTTTCCCCCCCTTTACAGGCCTTGGAGGTTTAGTGATAAATGCTGAGCTATATTTGCATACAAATCACTATCTTGAAAAAGTTTGCTTTCTTGACACTCTGGCAGTACAGTTCATTGCTGAGTAGCAGTTGTTGTTTTTAATGAATTGCTGCTTTGTTTTTAGAGGCTGCCTGATTAACTTACTCTATTCTGGAAGCTGCCACAGTGACATTAAAATGTCTTTTGCTTCCTGTTTTGGAAACATTTGGAAATCACTTGCTGCTGAAAGTTTTCACTCTCTCTTTTTTTTTTTTTTTCTGGTAGAATTTTCTGCATTTTTATTGTTGTAAATGATTTAGCTTATTCTTTAATTTTGAATGGATCACACAATCATCTTTATGTGTCCAGCTGCCTTTGTTGGAGGAGACATGTCTTAAATTGTTCACTGCTGAATCAGATTAAAATGACTTCGGTGTTATGGCATTAAAAAATCTTTTGTTTGTCTTTTATGGAGGCTTCATGCTTGTGAATTATGGCACATTGCTCAGACAGAGTGAACTTCTTTTCTTACTCTTTAGTACTGGGTATATTAGATTCTAAGCCAAAGTGAGCAAAAGTCTGAGCCTGTTTCTAATCATTCTCTTGGGGACTAATCTTCAAAGAATTCTTCTGATTTAAATCTAGATTTCTTATCTTAGTTGGGGTCAGGAGACTATTTAAGAATTTTATACCAGAGGAAAACAATGTGTGTGCGTGCACATATGCACCATTTTGCAAACAATTTCAGGAGATTCATAGAAGCCCTGGAGCCTATCTGTAGACCCAGGTTAGGAAACTCTGCTCTAGTTATTTCTGGAGAATTCTATAAATTCAAGAAAGAAAAGTCTCCAAATGGTGAGCTACATGACACTGTCCCACCCACCGTATCTCAAAATTACATCACTCTTCACCTACTACCCAAGCCAGAACCTTGGAATCCTCTTTGATCCTTCTCTTCCTTTTTGCCCCCATTAGTTAAGTCTTGTTGCTCCTACCTCAAACATACATCTCAAATTCTCTGCATCTCTACTGCCACCACCACAGGCCAGGCCTGCTTTGAATCTTTTACCTAGTCTGCAATAAAGATATTCCCAGTGGCCTTCAGCTTTGCAAAGAGAACCCAGAATCTGTCATACATCTCCACTCTCCGAAATGCTTCAGTGGCTTCTCCATGCATGGCGAATAAATACAGACTGCTGACCAAGGCTATCAAGGGCCTGCACTCTTTCCTGAAGATCCAGTTAGACCAAGTGAACTGGGCCTAGTTCACAGCCACCTTAGCTGGTTTGGCTTGTTACGGTCTTGCCCTTGCATTCTTGCACCTTTTCTTTCTCATCTCACCCCTTATATTTTCACAGTAGTTACTATGTCAGTTGCCTTTGTCTGCTCACCCTCTAGATTTCACATCTTTGGAAGGGAGAGGATGACTGTACCTGGTTGTGCTGTATCCTCAGTGTCTTATATAGTACTTGCCAGGTAGTCGGCTCTTAATTCACAAATATTTACTGAATGAATATACAAAAAAATACAGAGTTCTTGAAAGTCTTTTGGCTTTATCCTTTTCTCTAATATTCAACTTTGTGATCTTTCACTAATTCATTCAGAAGTTCATTCACTGAACACATGATGAATACCTCTCACTACGAAATCTTCACATTTATTTTAGGTTGCTAGCTCATGGAGGACTGATTTTAAGAGAGAAAGACGTTGATTCATATTCTGTGAGAATGCCAAATTAGTGTTAAGTGTGACTCTCTTTCATTTATTTGAAATAAAGGATGTTTCTATTAACATTAGTATCTGTCATAGAAGAGGGTTCCTCATTGTTATTAAAAAGCATAGAACACTGTTATCTTTGAACTTTTCCAAGCTTCACTGAGTTAATAGTTCTGAAGTTTTCCATTTAAAACACATGCACTACTTTTGATGTGTGAAGGAAAGACCAGTTTGTATTTATTTTTCTATCCCTTTAGCTGGGTATGTTACATTTGTATTAGGAATTCATAATTCTTTTTTTTTTTACCATGAAGTATATTTTTCTTAATGGTTTACATTTAAGTAAGTTGAGTCTGGACTGGTTCACTGGTCTTTTAAGAACCCACAGTTTGGGGAGCATTTTGAAGAAATTATTCATTAGAAAGAATTGTTTCCCAGATTAAACAATGAATAAGCCTACATGACATTTATTTTTTCACCAAGTATTTATTAAAGGCCAATGCTATGTTAAGCTCTGTGTGTAGCACCAGGAATCCTAGTTGAGCCTATCTATAAAGGAGTATTTCCTCTCTTCTAAGGAGGCTTCATCTGCTAAATACCACCCCTACCTTTAATCTCCTCTCTCCCTTTCTCTCATTTCCTATTTCTTTCCTTTCATATTTATAGTTTGGCTACTTTTTGCCTTCAGATGGCATCTGAACTGTGTTGTCTGGTTGCTCCATTGGCTTGGCCAGCTATATGGAAGATCTGAGGGAAACTGGAATTTTTAGTCTCTTAAATGACATAAGCAAACCTAAATTTGGAATCCATAATTTCAAAACCTGATAGAGCTTGCACTGGAAGAATCCTGTCTATGTGGGAGTTTGGGCCCCAGGTTTCACTCTAGCCACCCTATGGAGGTATGTGCTCAGGGCACTCCCCTCATTCACATACTGGTGAAATGAAACTGTGTATATGGTGAGGGTGCTATTAAATTATTTATGTTGCATGTGGTTTTCTAGATCTGCAATGAATTGCAGATTTTTAGTATTACTTTCTCATCTCTACTTCACTAAAAAGCTTTTTACAGAGTTTTTGAAATGATTCTCATAGCAAAGTGTATCTGAAGTTTAAAATAATCTCTCATTGGAGTTATCTTTAAATATTTCTTCAGCTGCTGAGTGCAATTTATTTCTTCTATTGCCATACTCCTTCAAGTCTTAACTCCTAAGAGCATTTTTACAACATGCTCATTTTCATATTGGTGTGTTCCCATTCTCATGTTTACACATTGTGGACAGACTCTTTCGAGTGACAGTTAATTTTCCTTTTCAGTACTCTCCTAACCAGAATTATCTAAATTCTAGACACTTCTGTATATCTCTAGGACAATAACAATAATAATAGATTTTCATAACGGTTACTGAGAGACATTGCAAGTCCCAGAAATGACTTCTATATCATTAAGAATGGGGGAGAGAGAATTCTTGAAAAAACATTTTTATTGCCGTCTAATTGAAGAATGGCAGGTACTTGGTATACACGCTAATATTTTTTTCCTCCCTGGTGGCAGCCAAAACTAATAAATTCCTCAGTTCTTTCCTCCTGCTCCTTATCAGAGCTTCAGAATCCTCTTCAACATGCTGCTGTAAATAGCTACTACAAGTTGGTTGGGGTTAGCAAAAGAGGTAAAACCTATTTAAGAACAAACTTGCCCTAGTCACTGTGACCACGATGCTCAGAGGCCCCTGCTGACCTATAATTCGGGGTCTCACTGCCAGAGCAGCTACCATTGCAAAGCATTGCTGCCTGTCTTGGTGAAGGAAATAAAGCTGTCGGTCACATACTAGAAGTTAAGGGCTTTAGCCCAGAAGTGACGTATATCATTTTCGCTCACAACTCTTTGACCTGTATTCCTTGAGCTTCACCCAACTGCAAGGGTCCAGAAGGCCTACCATATGCCCAGACATGGCAGTAACCTGAACTGTTTGGCAAACAGCACTAATGACTGCCATATCCCATTTGATGTATTTTAATGCTCAACTTCTCAGCATATTTCATTTCACAGAATGCTCTCTTTCTTTGCCCATGTGATTAATAGGACATGTACTCAACTTTTTGTTTGAAAAAACAGAAAAATTACTCAGGCCTCTCTGTGTTTTGGGAAATGATGCTCAAGGTTTCCAAAGAACATCCTCTGAAACATGTGTCCTGTGTAGTGTTCTACAATATTACTAATAATTAATAATCATTATTATTTTGTAGATAAGCAAATTTGAGCAGTGCTGCATACTATTTCTTATTTTTGAGAAGCCAGAATGCATAGTAGTACAGTAAATATGCTGATGAATACTGCGGTAAAGAGAGCTATTTTACTTCATTTCATGCAGTGTTTCTCAATCTTCTTTGACCGCACAGTTTTTTTTCTGTATAATGTATAACAGCATCCCGTGGAAGCAGGGCTCTGCTATCCCACTCTAGTAAACACTGCAGTAGGTATTATACATGGAGGTTTTTATAACCTTGAGAGGCATTGAAACAGCATGGACATTGTAACAGTGTTGTAGCACATGCCCCTGGCTGGGATTTTCACTTAATAGCTACGTGACCTTGGTTATGCAGTTAAACTTTTTTGGCCTCAACTTCTGAATCTGGACATTGGGAGGTGATATTATCCTAACTCAAAGGGTTATTGATTATCACTAGACCATACTAGGCAGCAAACAAATGTTATATATTGTTTCTTTCCTTTAATGATATCATTTACTTCTTTCCCACATACTTAGTTTATATGAGCATATTTTTTTCCAGATATGATGCTCTTCCCTCAATCAGTATAAGATTACTTTGCATTGAAAAGTTCACAGAAAAATATGTGAAATTCAACCAAAGAATCTGTACCAGAATGCTATCGGGCTGCGGACTCCCCTGTCAATTTACTTTCTTTGAAAGGCAACTGTTTGCTTCTCTCGATGAAAGTGATTCTTACTTTTGAGCATCCAGATCGGTACCGGAGTTTTGAGGGCAGCTCAGGGCATGTTGCCTAGACAAGGATACCTGGGTTCTCTTCCTCCAGATGAACAAGGTCTCATCATATCTCTGACCCAAAGCATATCCCAGGGCAAAACATGAGATAGTGGATATTTGTGAGATGCTTGCCTTGAGAACCAGCTCTGAGCAGAGTGTTATCATTATCTTAATCACACTGCTCTGGAATTTATCATATTCTGGAAATCACATTTGCTTAAAATTACATCTGTGTCATTTATGGTTATGGTTGATGAATATCCCATGAACCCTTTATTGAGTTACTGAAATGAGTATGTTAATCCCCACTGAAAAAAGGTGTGGCCCAAACAAAGCAAGATGCTTCTTCAGAATTGTATTTATTAATATTTAAGGGTGATATTTCTGCCTTTCTGATATGAAAATCCATCAAAGTGCTTACGTTGTGAATAGATTACTTTTTGAGATGCCGCCTACTTTGACTCAAAGCTCTGTAATTGTGCTATTTAAATCAAATAAATTGAATATTTTCTTGAAAAGTAGCTGACAGTCCATCCTGCTATTGTTTTGTGAAGTGACATTAAGAATTATTTTAAACATTTACAAGGCCTAGGAGTGTTTGTTAGAGCAAATAATGAATTATACAGGGTCTGCTGAGGTCTGCATTGCAAGCTGGAATGTTCCTTGCTTATCACTAAACTACACACAGATCTGCAGTCGAGATGAATACAGACTCTTTTTTATTAGTTCAGAAGAATGATTAATTCTGTGTTGTATTATCTGATACTGCCTTACTTCATATTAATATATACACAGGCTAATCAGCCTAATCAAAATCAGTGATATTTTGATGATTTGCTTTATTTTGGTGACTTCTATATTCTGAATCCCTAGAATAGATCAGATATAGAAAACTAAATGGGGGCGAGTCTGAGCAACTCCGATCATAATATTCTGCTGTCATCTTTAATTAATCATCTGAATCAGTACATTTCCATTTATCTGTCAGTGCTCCATGTTTAAATATTTCGTATTTGTCATGGAAATCCTCCTAAAAATATTTTTAATCAATTATTATCCTTGATGAGCAAATTTTGAACTTATCAAATTTATTTTGAATAAAAATGTGGCAACATAATGGAAATTTTATGTAGTTGGGAAGATTCTCCCTTTTGCAGCATCCCCCTTTGTTCTGACTCCACCAGTCCTTTGCAGTTGGTTCTGTGTTTCATGAGGCAGTGTGGGAGGCCACAGAAATGGCACATGCATCTCATGTCGCGTGCCCATTCTCACTGGTGTTGACTGCTCAGAGGTTATATTGGCAAGTATTTGGGGACACTTTGGTTAAAGGAGAGAATTCTGTGGTCGATTATTCTGCCATAAGTTTACCATTGGAAAATAGTGGCAGATGTGCAATGTTTTGCCATCTCAGTGTAACAGAAAGAGCTTTGGTTGGGGAAGCTCACCAGTTGAGCTCCAATCCCAACTGTGCTCCTAACTGTGTGACTTTGAACAAGTTAAGTAACCTTTCTCTCCCTATTTTTAAAATCTGACAGTGAAGGTATTGGAGTAGTTGATGTTTAAGATCCATCTCGGCTGGGCACGGCGGCTCATGCCTGTAACCCCAGCACTTTGGGAGGTGAAGGCAGGTGGATCACCTAAGGTCGGGAGTTTACGACCAGCCTGACCAACGTGGAGAAACCCCATCTCTACTAAAAATACAAAATTAGCTGGGCATGGTGGTGCATGCCTGTATTCCCAGCTACTTGGGAGGCTGAGGCAGGAGAATCACTTGAACCCAGGAAGCAGAGGTTGCACTGAGCTGAGATTGTGCCATTGCTCTCCAGCCTGGGCAACGAGAGCGAAACTCCATCTCAGGAAAAAAAAAAAAAAAAAGGAGCATCTCAACTCTAAAATGCCATCCTGTATTTACTCACTAGGACAGCCAAGATACCTTGGGCCCCTGTTAATTTTTAAACATCCCTGGAACTTCCTAGTGTCCATATCCCTTTTGACTGTCATCTTTCCACTCCTCCTTTTAGAAGACAGAATATCTCTACCTTGAATCTGGGTTGGCTTGTGATTTTCTTTGACCGATAGAATGTGGGACAATGTAAGCCTTAAGCAAATTCAGAGATTCTGCATCTATTGGGATGGAAGAGCATGTAGAGTGAAGGGCCTAGTGGATGCAGCTGAGCCCAGACTCCAGCCTACCTTCCATCTGAAAGCAGTTGCATGAGTGAGTCCAGGTGAGACCCTCAGCAAAAACCATCCACAGACTTATGGTAGTAAAACCTATCAATGTTGGTTTGTTGTTGTTGTTGTTGTTTTGAGACAGAGTTTTGCTCTTGTAGCCCAGGCTGGAGTGCAATGGCGTGACCTTGGCTCACTGCAACCTCCACCTCCCGGATTCAAGGGATTCTTCTGTCTCTGCCTCCTGAGTAGCTGGGATTACAGATGCCCGCCACCATGCCCAGCTGTTTTTTTTGTATTTTTAGTAGAGATGGGGTTTCACCACGTTGGCCAGGCTGGTCTTGAACTGCTGACCTCAGGTGATTCGCGCGCTTTGGCCTCCCAAAGTGCTGGGATTACAGGCGTGAGCCACTGCGCCCGGCCGATCAATGTTGTTTTAAGGCTCTATGATTTGGGGTAGTTTATTATGCAGCAGTAGATAAGTGATATAGAAACTGGAAGTCAGTGGCTCTCCTGACTCTAGAAGGTCTGAGATGATCTCTGACAGTTATTGCTGACTATCAGCTGAGGTGCCTTAGTTCTTTCTTCATGTTGCCACTTAACAGGCTAGCTGGGATTTTTTATAGCATGTTGGTCTCAGGCTTCCAAGAGAGCAATAATCAGAGGTTTCAAGGTCACTTAAGGCCTAACCTTGGAAAGTCACACAGCAACACTGCTATAGATTGGATATTTGACCCTCCAAACCTCATGTTGAAATTTGATCCCTGATGTTGGCGGTAGGGTCTAATGGGAAGTGTTTGGGGGCAGATCCTTCATGAATCACTTGATGTCATCTTTGTGGTAACCAGTGAGCTCTCTACTGCTCTATTAGTTCCCAGAAGAGCTGGTTGTTGAAAAGGGTCTGGCACCTCCCTCCTGTCTCTCTTGCCTCCTTTCTCACCATATGATCTCTGCAAACTGTTTTCCCTTCCACTTCTGCCATGAATGGAAGCATCTTGAGGCCTCCACCAAATTCAGAAGCCAGCATCGTGCTTCTTGGACAGCCTTCAGAACTGTGAGCCAGATAAACCTCTTTTCTTTGTAAACGACCCAGCTTCAGGTGTTCTTTTATAACAACACAAACACAAAGTAAGATAGACACTCAAGGGGAGGGGAAATAGACTGCAACTCTTGATGGAAAGTGGGGGAAAGCCAGAGAGCAAAACAGCATGTGTAGGATGGGAGGGATTCTTGTGGTCACATTTGCAAATAGCAAACCACACCAGCTCTAGGCACCTGACTAATGCGAATATGTCTTTCTTTCATTGTGTGTATTCTGAGTTGGCAGTGTGTCAGCAAGAGTTCAGCATAGGGCTTGGCATGTGGTCACACCACTTTAATGCAGCAAAAACACCTAAAGTGTTCATGTTCAAAAAGAGAGATAGTCAGTTCTGGGCTGGTGGTGAGCATGAAGAGGAGGAGACGAAAAGGGAAAACAAAAAGAAAGGATTGCCAAGTTTCTGGTAGTCTCTTGTGATATGAATCATGTGTTGTGAGAAGGTCCATAATTCTCAGTAATTAGACTGTCCAACAAGCAATGGATTCAGTGTGTCTGACAACCTGACCCAGTGATAGAGGCTGCAGTATCTAAACTTTCTCAGGAGTCTGGCCCATGATGGAGCCCAAGTCACCTTGAAGCAACCCAAAGTCAGGATGAGAAGGGGCAAAATGCCAGCTTTGTATCCCTCTTTACTTCCTCCAGTTCAGGCAAGCTGGTACTCTCCCCCCTTTTTGATCTTACGATTCTCTGTTAGGATGAAGGCATACTCACTGCCCAGTGCTGAGGCCTCCTTTCATTGTGGGATTGTAGGTCTCGTCTGCTTTCTTTTTCCAAGGTTAGGTGTTTCTTAAGCGTTCAGCATGTTTGCATCATAGCCTTCTATTTAATGAAAACAGTGGTTCCCTTCTATGAACAGAGTGACTAGGGAATGCAGGGCACAGTTTTAATAAGAGGCTAGGCAAAAATGGAGTCATGAAAGCTCTAACAAGCATGACATCACAGCACTGTCATTAATAACATGAACTTTAGAATCGGACAGACGGGTTGAATTCTAGTTTTAATCTCATTTTGAGTGTGCTGGTGTGGCAAGTTTCTAATTTTCTATAAGAAATTATTGCTTATAATTCATCTTCAACATGGGAATTATAATAGTATTAATAGTTTATGGGTTTGTTGGAAAGATTGAGTAAGTAAGAGTACGTACAAAAGTGAAATGGTGATTTGGGCCAAAGGAGGAACGCTTAACAACTTTCTTTGAAGCTAACCTTAAGTTTCTGGACCATTTTTAAGGACAGATTTTGGTCTAGGTGTGGAGAAATTGTTCTACTTTAAAAGGTGAAATGTAAAATGAGATGGAAAAGTTTATCTAACACCCTGAGGCAGAATTAGATCTGACCTCCCCTGTGCTCCCACAGCTTTCTATACTGATTTCTACCAATAGCATTCATCTCTCTGTGTTGTAATGATCTGTTTACACTGCATGACAGTTGCGGACATTAGAATGTGAACTCTTCAAGGTCAGCTACTCTGTCCTGGTCATCTTAGCATCCTAAGTTCCAGCATAGACCCTGGACTGAGAGGAGACTGCAGTGTTGGGATGGATGAGTGAGTAGGTTGCCAGCCCAATCCACTGGTTAAATCACTCCCCAATTTTTAAAGTCCAGTTTAAATCTCATCTGCTCTAAGAAGTCGCCTTTGGTTTTCATCTACTGTGAGAAATCTCCTTGTCAGCTATACAACCTAAATTATAACTATTGACCTTCGCTTCCTTTAAAAAATATTATTGCTAAAAAAACTCTATACTCTAGATTATAGGGAGAAGTGGTAACCAGTTCCACAAGTTTTCACACATGATATGTACTGGATAAAACATTTATTCAATTCAATATAGTAACTTTAATTCTTTAAAGGTTATCCTACATGTTGGCTAAGAAATCTTGACAGAGGAGATAATCCCAAGCAAACAGGATCCAGAAGTAAATGTGTCTTCATAGCCTATGTATAATATGGAATTTACCCATTAACAAGGCCTAAGAGGCTCCAAATTAAATTATATTGCATCTGTGATATTATTTTAAAACAATTGGCATATAAAAAGTGGCATTAGAATTACAAAAGCTATCTGCTGTTCTTCTAATTAATTTGCTTTCCCTGAGTTGTTTTTCTAGGAGCAACATGCAAACAAGCAAAATTGACAAACAATAAGTTTTTTTATGGTGTTGAAAAAAAACATTTTTGGATGTCATTGATATTACTAAATTTACATTAGATACATAGGTTGTCTGATTTATTCCACCAGTTTTCACAGTAAGCCATTGTTGAAGTGAAATGTCTTCCTCCCCCACCGAGTTGCTGTGTGTGAACATAGCCTAACATAGCACTTATGGACTTCGTTGGAAGCTTGCATGGTTGTCACCCTTGCTGTGGTTTGGTGAAGTCAGGCCTAAGTGAGGGTGTAATTCAAATCAGGGAGGAGGAATATGGGGAAGGGTCCCTTTTAACACAGAAAAAGCAGCTTCGTGGGAGTGGAGGCTGGCAATCTGCTCAAAGGAAATGAAAGGAAATTCTTCATTTCTAAATGGTTCATTGACCCATGATAATAAAGCGGGCCTGCCAAAGATGGATAATTATCTTTTTAAGTATCAGATGCCCTGTGGGTGAACGCCTCCCTTCTCCTCTCTTGAAAAATGAACTCTGATTTTAAAAATGCTTCTTTTCCTAGTTTACCATTGACATGAATTTCCTGATTATGAGCAAAATTAATCAGTTTCTTCTTTCTCTTCCCCTCTCTCTTATGGAAATCAGGCCTGACCAGCTGAGCTCAGTTGTGTTTCCCCTTGGGCTCTGAGTTCTACCAATAGCGGAATGGGGTTGATATTCTAGTGAGACTAGCAATTGCAGAATTATGGTTTTATTATGCCCCTCAGCTGCTTAGCTCCAGGCAGGAGCATGCTGTCTTAAAACAACAAGAAAAAAGAAACAGAAAAACGTACAAGAGTTTGTTTCTCTTGTTAGTATCTAAAAACTAAACAAATATTTATATATATAGTGTGTGTATATACACATGTGTGCATACATGTGTGTATAGTGACTGAAATGTTATTGATGGTGTAACAGTGAATATTAATTTCCTATCAAGAAGTAATCAAATTTCTATCCTTTTTTCTCAGATCTTATATGTTGCTGAGACCAATAGTGTAAATACGTTGCCTTGTCTAACTTGTAGAATGCATTAAGAATGCTTTATTTGAATAAACAGACAACCTTTCGTTCATGATTTACCTTCAAATGTCTTCTTTTGGATTCTAAAAAAAAAATTAGTCTGAGGAACTCTTGTCATAAATTGCTTAACCACATGGCACCTCTCTTAGTTATGGATAAAGTTCACTGTACATTTTCAGAATGTCTATACTCTTTTAAAAATAAAATAAACATCTACTTTTGTATGTTCATTGCATAATTTTCTTATTTCTCTAAAGAGATAATTTAAATTAAAAATTTATCCCCATGTTCTACCTAGAGAAACCAAGTAGATATTCCAGTTGCTTTTTCAACCTAGTGCCTTTGGCTGCTGAAGCGGACACAGCTTTAGAATAGGGGTCAAGAGAGAATGATCTAGAATAGATCTTGCCTCCTCGCATAATTATCTCACCATACACTTGAGTCTGTCTGTACACGAATGTCCCTTTCTTTTGCAAGAAATTCTTCTGCATACCACAGCTTCTCCTTCAAAGTGTAATTATCCATGTATGGGAGCTCTCTTTCAACTCTCTGGAGTTCAGTGGATGGTAAATATCTGTTTCTTCATTCCTTAGTCTTTGAGAGTTCAGGCCCTGGTCCGAGAGGATTCAATCCTGTGGGTATGAACTGCTTGGTAAGAACACTACCCAAAGCCAGCAGCATGGGCCTTAACAGACCTTGCTACAGATGTCCTTGTGTGCCCGCTGCGGCCAGTGGAGCGCTTCCATGACCTGCGTCCTGATGAAGTGGCCGATTTGTTTCAGACGACCCAGAGAGTCGGGACAGTGGTGGAAAAACATTTCCATGGGACCTCTCTCACCTTTTCCATGCAGGTGAGTGTACAGATTTCTCAGAAATGATTTTTCTTCCCTTTCATATCCCGGCATTGGGCTTGCTCCTCCTGATATCTTACCAGGAGGGCAGATGTGATTGTTTGTATTTTAGGTAGCAGCCAAAAAAAGAGATTTCTAATGCAGGGCAACCCTACTGTCCATTGGCCCCAAGATGGACCGTGGGATAGTGTCTAAGGTGATGTCTGAGGCTTGTTTACCAAGCAGGTGGGAGTAATGGATAAGTGATTTAATGGACATTCAGACATTCCAAATTGCTTACTGGAACTGGGACTGGAAAAATCATTTTCATTCCATGGTAACTAATTTTTGAGCACTGCATAGACTAAGCCCTGCTCTAATTCCAGGGTGGCAGTGATATGCAGCTTAGGTTGGGCCTTACCTTTTGTCTGTCTTTAATTCAAGATGCAGAGATTGATCACAGATTAGTTAGAAGCTAGATTCACTGGTTGGGTGTGGCCCACTGACCAGTGAAGAAATCAGATCCCCAGTCACTGAAGATTTTTAGGCAGAGGTTGAGCCAACAGTTGTCAGGTTGGGAGAAGGATGTCCATGGTGAGTCATCAGTAGGGAATTGAGTAAATCCGTAGTAACATACCATGAGCTCCTTCAGGCCCTCTATGGAAAGGGCTGGGGTATCAATGTATAAAGTCCTTCATGGCTCTGAAATTGGATGACTCTGTAATTGCCCTTTAGAAGGACACACTTTCAAAATGTGAGGACTCTGTACTCAGCCTGTTAGTTAAACTGAATGTTTGCCATTCTTCCTCCCCTCCTTAGCTCTTTACCATAGAGCTTCAAAGAGACCAGATAAAGAAAGCCAGTGTTTTCAGGTTATGAAGGCTCTGACTAAAAGTGCTCATCTTCTTCTCAAACAGATTTTTTTCTTTCTTTTTTTGCTGCCATGTCTGTGTTAAGAGTAGCTAAACTTCCCCCAAATGCTTTGTGTGTATGTGTTGTATGTCAAACCATTTGAGTCCCCTTCAGGCAGGTAGTTCAGTTCAGAGTGGGTTTATCAAGCTTATGTTGCAAACCGTGTTTCTGGAGAGACTAAATGAAGGCAGTGAATGAAAACCTCTGTTAATGTTTAGTGAGATACAAGAATAAAAATCACATTTATAGGAAATGGCCATTGCTGGTTATGGAACATTTTTCACTAGAAAGTTAATTCCATAAATGTAAGAGCTGACTTGTGTTAGCACCTAGAGTACTTTCGTATATGCAATGTGGTCAAACTATTTTTTACTGTAACCTACAGTAAGATACATATTTATTTCAAAATCATGCCTGTCTCCCCTGACACACATATATGAAATATATGCATATGCCTATATTGATAAAGGAAACCAGAGTTTCACAAAACAATGTTTACTCATTCTGTGCAGTCTAATAGTTTTTATTCTATTAAGATCTGATTTCTGGCTGGGTGTGGTGGCTCACACCTGTAATCCCAGCACTTTGGGAGGCTAAGACCGGCAGCTCTCTTGAGCTCAGGAGTTTGAGATCAGCTTGGGCAACATGGCAAAACCCTGTCCCTAAGAAAAATACAAAAATTAGCCAGGCATGATGGTGCATGCCTGTAGTCCCAGTTACTCAGGAGGCTGAGGCAGGAGAATCACTTGAGTCCAGGAGGTCAAGGGTGCAGTGAGCCGCCATCATGCCACCATACTCTGGCCTGGACAACTGAGTAAGACCCTTTCTCAAAAAAAAAAAAAAAAAAAACAACAAAAAAAACACCTGATTTACATTGTTTGTAATGCTGATTGCAACCCATTAAGTTGACTTCATGACCCACTAATGGATTGTGACTCTAAGTTTGAAAATCCCTGATATACACAGTTATGCTTAATCCTTACGGCGGGAGTTCTCACCCCGTTAGTCAGGCTCATAGAGGTAGACAAACCTGGCTAAAGTTGCAGAGGTGAAATTCTATTTTGGAATTTCTGATTGTGGAGCCATTGCTTTGTTTGGCCATCTCAACCAGCTGAGTATCTGCTTTTGCTTTATATTATGGCTGGTGACTTGGTGAGTTTGCCCATTTCCAACTAAGCTTCAGAAACAGAGAAAGGGAACCAGTTTGGGAAAAGGGTCCAGCTACAATGAACACTACCATTTGTCTCCCACAAGGTCAGAATAGCCAGAGGACTCTTCCCATATGAAATACCCCATATTCTTCCTTAATGGCTTATGTTTATAGCAGATTTCCTGAGTAGAAGCTTAAAGTAATCAGACATTAATTAAACCACCTCTAAACATAACCAGAAGGTGTGATACTTCACCTCCCCAAACATTTTCAGCCTTCCTTTAATGCAATTAAAACCATAGCCTAGAGCAAAGAGCATGAAAAGTAGCAAGGAGTTGGCTTGCTGGATAATTTATATCATTTTTATACATAACTTCGCACTTACTCTCAGGCGGAAATGGAGAACTGTCTAATCCCGCACATTTGAAGCCAATGGTCCCCATGAGAATACTATAAATTAACACACAATGAAATTGCATCTAAATTATTAATGGGTGATATTTCTGAATAAGCAGGAGATACCATCTATCTATTCTCACCTCTGTTGGTTTTTTCCTACTTCTAGGATGGCCCCGAAGCCGGACAGACTGTGAAGGTGAGTGCTTATTATGTGCATACAAATTAATAAGAGGCGATTATGAGAACTAATAAAAAATCACAACGAGTCATATGCAGCACATTGCTGTTTCATTATGTTATCTTCGAGGTCAGAGAGACCCTCAGTGTTAGAGCCGTAAATCCTGACATTATAAACTCTGCCAAACAATATGTTTCCCATTGGTTTACAAGACATTTACTTTTAGTAGTAAAATTATTATTGTGCAAACGCTAAAACAGAAACTAAATCAAGGAGTCCGGAAACATAAGTCAAAGTGGTTCATGTGAGAGAGTGTCTAGGAAATAGCATGTGAGCTTCCTGTGGGTTTGTGCAGCCCCATGTTAAGCCTGGGGTGTCTTTGACACACCTTTGCTTCTTGACATAGTCTGCTTTTGCTTCATTGTTTTTGAGTGAAGCAATAACCGCAGCAGTAGCATCAAGCTGCCTCCCTTCCTTTCTGTTCTCCTGTGCTTCTCTCTGTTCTCCTTCTCGTCACCCCCACACCTACTCTTTTCCTCCCTGTGTACTTAATACCAAAGTTCAAACCTAATGGAGTCAGTGGAGCTCAAAGATGGGTTTTTAAGTGTGCTAGGAGAAGAAAGGAGGATTTATTAGGATAGTCTCTGCTTCTGTAGTAAAAATAAAATAATAAAATCCTGGCTGATTCAGAAGCTGGGTTTCAGCTCTTTTCATACAAATGCTAATTCCTATACGGGTAGATTCTGCACCTAAGTCATAGAAAAGGCTCTATTTTTGGTGCTAGAAGTCAGAAGCAAGTCAGGCTGGGATGTTAATGTTACACTTTGTTGAAATAAAGTTTAATGCTTCGAAGACTAGCTGTGAGTGGATAAGGTGCTGCCCACACAAACAATGCCAAATAAACGTAAGTTCCCTTTTGATCTTACTTTACTTTTGTCTTTAACACAGCTATTCTGGGACTTTTAAAATACAATCTCTGGGAAATACTTCTAAGCAGTGAAAGTTTATGTAGGGACTGCCACCATATGGGCTACCAAATTCCTTATCATAAAAAAGGGCTAGCCTCCTAATTGCTCTACACACAGGGTATGGTGATAGACACAGAGGCTTTCAGCTTTCCTCTGTCCCACTGTCTCACCTCCATGTGAGGCTCTAAATATACGGATGCAAAGAAAGGATTTAATACCTGTGGCTTCTTTTTGAAATCACTTCTTGAAATGCAAAACACAAATGTTTAAACTTGGTTCCAAGATTTTTTAAAACTCAGTATTCAAATGTAAATTCCAACTATACCGGATTAGTTAGATGCACTATGCAATATCTATTTGATGGAATTCCTTCAGCCATTGAAAGCGATACTGTAGAGGCATAGCTAGTGACATGGGGGA